>NC_000017.11:17157777-17460807 GCF_000001405.40 Homo sapiens | reverse complement strand
TTTGAGGATCAGGTAGAGGCTCCTCGGGGAAACCTTGCGAGGGGCATCACCTCTGCTTGCTCCACGTAAAATCCTATCACATAACCCTTTGAATGTCAGTCTCTTCATTAGTCAAAGGAAGAAGCTGGGTTAGGTTTCTGGCTAAAAGACCCTATGGCTGTGTTTCTCCAAGGCTTTAAAAAGGACAGTAAATGAGAGGGTAATAAATGTTCAAATTCAAAAATAGTTATTCGGTGGTAGAATTATAAGTGCTGTTTATTTATTTTTTTATTTTTAGGCAAGTCGAGTGAAGCAGTGGAAGTGGAGAAGGAACAAAGAGATCTGTAACTGCTTGTGATCAATTAGTTGTAAATGCTACTGCGTTTAAAAATAAATAAATAAACAGCACTTATTGGAGATGTCTTCAATGGTGATGATGATCATGGTGATGATGGTGATGATGGTGATGGTGATGGTGATAGTGATGATGGTGATAGTGATGGTGATGATGGTGATGGCGGTGATGTGGCGATGGTGATAGTGATGATGGTGATGGTGGTGATGTGATGGTGATGGTGATAGTGATGATGGTGATGGTGATGGCGATGGCAGTGATGGTGATGGTGGTGATGGTGATGATGATGATGGTGGTGATGATGGTGATGGTGATGGTGATGATGGTGATGGTGGTGATGGTAATGATGGTGATGGTGATGGTGGTAATGGTGATGATGGTGGTGATGGCGATGGTCATGATGGTGATGGTGGTGATGGTGATGATGGTGGTGATGGCGATGCTCATGATGGTGATGGTGGTGGCAGCAATGATGACAGTCACACAACAGCCAACAATACTGAGTGATGCCTTCTGCCTGGCATATTCCCAAAGCCAGACATGAATTCACTGTTCAGTCCTCATTGCTCATTTCCAGCCTCATTGATAACTCCATAATTTATGGAAGAGGGAAGAGAGGCACAGCATGATTGGACCATGCACACAGCTATGTAAATGGTGGTACTGCCAGGGATAAAAGGCCACCAAAGCCGGGCTGTGACTCCTGACACCGCCTCTCCTCCTACTGAGAGACAGCCTCATGGAGAGGGGATAGGTTCGGTTGCTGGAGCATCCCAGGCCTCCAGAGGGTGATGAAGGGGAGGGAAGAAAGTCTGGGCAAAATGGCAGGCCGGCAAAGCTCCCCTTCTTGGGACAGAGTGCTCCTACACCTTAGACACCCTCACTTCATTCTTTTTTTAAATTTTAAAACATTTTTATTATAAAAGTAATACAAATAAAAATAAACATTGAGAAAAGACAAAGTCATCCATTTACTGCCTCCCATCCCACTGTAACCACAGTTAGTAATTTGATTTACTTTGTCATCTTGTTATCAAATGCTTGATGTGTTATTTCAGCCATGATTACACCCACTCATACACTTTTGCATCTTGCAAATTTTACTTAATGTAAAATTCTCATGTTTTTAATAATATTCATTATTTATTTTATTTTATTTTATTTTTCTGAGACCAAGTCTTGTTCTGTCCCCAGGCTGGAGTGCAGTGACGTGATCTCCGCTCACTGCAACCTCTGCCTCCAGGGTTCAAGTGATTCTCCTGCCTCAGCCTCCCTAGTAGCTGGGACTACAGGCGCACATCACCATGCCCAGCTAATTTTTGTGTTTTTAGTAGAGATGGGGTTTCATCATGTTAGCCAGATGGTCTCAATCTCTTGACCTCGTGGTCTGCTCACCTTGGGCTCCCAAAGTGCTGGGATTACAGGCATGAGCCACCGTGCTTGGCCCTAATTTTTAATAAGTACATTATGTATCGTTTGTATATACCTGTTTATCGACTATTTCCTAGACCCAGGGATGGCAAACTATGGCAACACATTTGTAAATAAAGTTTTACTGGAACAAAGCCGTGCCCATGTTGTTTATGTATTGTGTGTGGCTGATTTTATGCTTCATACAGCAGTGTTGACAAGTTATGACAGAGACAGTAGGTTTCAAAACCTAAAATAGGGCTGGGCGTGGTGGCTCATGCCTGTAATCCCAGCACTTTGGGAGGCCAAGGCAGGCGGATCACAAGGTCAGGAGTTCGAGACCAGCCTGCCAATATGGTGAAACCCTGTTTCTACAAATACAAAAATTAGCCTCGCATGGTGGCAGGCGCCTGTAGTCCCAGCTACTCGGGAGGCTGAGGCAGGAGAATCACTTGAACCCAGGAGGTGGAGTTTGCAGTGAGCCGAGATCATGCCACTGCATTCCAGCCTGGGCAACAGAGCGAGACTCTGTCTCCAAAAAGAAAAAAGAAAACACTTAAAATATTTACTTTCTGGCCCTTTATAGAAAAAGTTTGCCGATATTTACCCCAAACTTTTAAGTGGTTTATAATTTGGGCTACTAAAAGTAACGTCACTCGCAACATCTTTGTGCATATAATTTTTCATACCTTGTACAATTTGAGAGACATTAACAAAAGTGGAATAACTGGGTCTAATTAATGAAGACATTTTAAAAACTGATACTGTCCCACACTATCTCTCTTGTAATATTCAAGCTATGATATAATAAGGATGGTGGTAATAAGAATGAAAAGGAAGGCCCAGAACTCTTGTGGGTAGCATGTCTCCTATCCCTGTTACTCAGGACATGTAAGTTTACACTCTGGATGAACATATTTTGAGTTTTGATTTAAAGTTAACCAAAAAAGAGAAATAACAGTCATTGCAACAGGAGGACCAATTGAAAGAAATCTTTTACCTTCTACTGGGTAGGAAAAAGCAGAAGTAGGTGACAAGGTATGTATAAAATGCCATTCCAAGGTAGCTGCAGTGGCCAAAAGGCACTGGGAGAGTTGAGTAAGAGAAAGAGATGGCAGTCTCAACAATGAGCTAGCAGTGGGAGCAATAAACAGAGGCAACTATGAGTGCTATAAGTGTGGGATGACAAAAGCAGCACACAGGTTCCACCTGTCTGAACACATCCTAGGCGTAAACCTGTATACAACTGTAATTAAACTGTCTCTAGATAAGAAAGTTGTAAAGAAACCACCTATATTTTTTAAGAAAGAAAAAGTCTTCTACCTGGAGAGGTTTTTTTTTTTGTTTTTTTTTTTTTTCTGGAGTCTCGCTCTGTCACCCACACTGGAGTGCAGTGGCATGATCTTGGCTCACTGCAACCTCCACCTCCGGGGTTCAAGCGATTCTCCTGCCTCAGCCTCCTGAGTAGCTGGGATTACAGGTGCGCGCCACCACACCCAGCTAATTTTTTGGTATTTTTAGTAGAGACGGGATTTCACCACGTTGGTCAGGCTGGTCTCGAACTCCTGACCTCGTGATCCACCTGCCTCAGCCTCCCAAAGTGTTTGGATTACAGGCATGAGCCACTGCGCCCAGCCCCCCCTGGGGAAGTTTTATTCTTCAGAATGAAAACCTTATGGAATAGGGAAGTCAACCCTCACTATCTAAGTCAACCCTGACTATCTCTGAGATAAAAGACAAAGCAGTCTGACGGGTCTCAAATCCAATCTTGTATGAATAAAACAAGCATCAGGAAACATAGATGTCATCTTCTAAGAGAAATATTCTGAGGGTCTGGCAGCATAAATCCATCAGTAAGTTTATAATAGACTATTGTAGAATCAGACTCCATTATGGCCAGAGTAAAAGACATCAGCAAATCTGGATCACCTGGCAATTTTCAAGATGCCTTCAAGATCTCCCTTATCCTGTTATGGCTGAGGGAAGCAGTGATGGGGGTAGGCACCACAGTCTGTAACCCCTCCTCTTCTATCTCAGTACCAACAAGGCAGATGAGCTGGAGTTCTGGTAATCTGACACAGTTTAGTTCATGCCAGTTTTGCTTTCTATGAGGTCCAGATAAACCAAGAATGCTATATAAACATGGGTGGCATCTTCTGTGTCTAGTTCCATCATTTCTTTTTTTTTTGAGATGGAGTCTCACTCTGTCGCCCAGGCTGCAGTGCAGTGGTGCGATCTCAGCTCACTGCAACCTCTGCCTCCTGGGTTCAAGCGATTCTCCTGCCTCAGCCTCCTGAGTAGCTGGGATTATAGGCATCCGCCACCACGCCCAGCTAATTTTTGTATTTTTAGTAGAGACGAGGTTTCACCATGTTGTTCAGGCTGGTCTCAAACTCCTGACCTCGTGATCCACCCGCCTCAGCCTCCCAGCCTCCCGCCTCAGCCTCCTGGGATTACAGGTGTGAGCCACCACACCCAGCCTAATTTCATCATTTCTAAATATTTAAGGTGGGTGCCCATCCAGGCGTCCTCGGGGACCCACGAGGGAGCTCCACCGCAGTCGCCAAAGCCGCGAACGCCACACAGACCCAGGCCACTGCAGCCAGGGGTCAGCTTGAAATTGCCACGCTCCTCCATGCCGGCTGGTGCGGCGCTCCCGTGGTGCACACTTCATTGTAAGACTATTCTTGCTGGTGCTGTTTAAGAAGTCCTGTTCTCGTCTCTGTTTCTCTCCACACTGTCTCTCCCACGTGAGCCTTAGGAATGGAGGTGCTGGCGAGGAAGGCCCGAGGTGATGAAAGGAGGGAGAGAGTTGCTAGAGCTTCTGCAGCGACCCCCCTGGGACATAAGAACAACTCTGCCCTGCTGGGGTGAGCGGCCTGTCTAAGCATCGAGATCATAGAACTAAGACAACGGACGTCCCTCTCTGTGCAAGAAGCCTTCCTTAGTATCTAAATCCAATTTCTTTTTTTCTGATAAAGTAAGCTTAAAAAAATAAGCCTCAACCTAAATACATTTTAATGAGCTACTCGGTGGACTTGGCTTGGCAGGGTTTTTACATTTGTTGTTCAAAGCTTTCTTTGAACACAACAGTCAAGGTACCCTTGAAAATGGAATCCTCAGGGTTTTACTAGCCAGACTGACATCCTCAGAACTGGTTTCCTGGCTTCTCTCATAAGGGATATATGGGTGAGAATGAGATAGAGAACATTCTTTCAAAAAATGTCAAGAGTAGCTGGGCGCGGTGGCTCACGCCTGTAATCCCAACACTTTGGGAGGCCGAGGTGGGCAGATCATCTGAGGTTGGGAGTTTGAGACCAGCCTGACCAACATGGAGAAACCCCTTCTCTAGTAAAAATACAAAATTAGCTGGGCGTGGTAGCACATGCCTGTAATCCCAGCTACTTGGGAGGCTAAGGCAGGAGAATCGCTTGAACCCGGGAGGCAGAGGTTGTGGTGAGCTGAGATTGCGCCATTGCACTCCAGCCTGGGCAATAACAGCAAAATTCCATCTCAAAAAGAAAAGATGTCAAAGAGGATCCTAAACTGAAATGAAAGCGCAGTACCAGTGCCACCTCTGCATGGCCTCCTCCTGCCCACTGACGGCTCTGGTCTTGCAGGACGGACCTCACAGAGCACTTGGTTGGTGCTGTGTCCAGCCTGGACCCTGGCCAGCTGTGGCCACACACAGTGTGTGACTGAGTGGAGGCAGCACCAGGGCCTCCACTGTGGAACAGCTGCTCAAAGGAAGGGCCCAGAGCCAACAGCGACAGGCAGCAGCCATGGAAGGCCAGGTGCAAAATGCCAGAGGTGACAGAGGAGACTGCTGACTGAGGTGCAACTCCATGCCCTTCTCCAAGAAGAATAGCTCCAGTGTCCACAACTGTGTGTCCCCTGCAGCCCCTACTGTATTTATAACCATCTGCTCCTACCACGTGCCACCTCACACATTAGTGGCACTTATTTGAATACTGCAAATTACTATATTAATCTGTAAGCTTCTTGGGTATCAAAATCTCTCACATAACACCTGCTCCAGGTACTTAGGGATCCTGGGACTCCAGGTACCACTCTACACACCTGCTCCAGGTACTTAGAGATTCCAGGAACTCCAGGTACCATGCCACACACCTGCTCCAGGTACCACTCCACACACCTGCTTCAGGTACCACGCCACACACCTGCTCCAGGTACTTAGGGATTCCAGGGACTCCAGGTAACATGCCACACACCTGCTCAGGTACTTAGAGATTCCAGGGAACTCCAGGTACCATGCCACACACCTGCTCCAGGTACTTAGTGATTCCAGGGACTCCAGGTACCATGCCACACACCTGCTCCAGATACCACTCCACACACCTGCTCCAGGTACTTAGGGATTCCAGGGACTCCAGGTAACATGCCACACACCTGCTTAAGGTACTTAGAGATTCCAGGGAACTCCAGGTACCATGCCACACACCTGCTCCAGGTACTTAGTGATTCCAGGGACTCCAGGTACCATGCCACACACCTGCTCCAGATACCACTCCACACATCTGCTCCAGGTACTTAGGGATTCCAGGGAGTCTGGGTACTGCTCCACCCACCTACTCCAGGTACTTAGGGATTCTGGGACTCCAGGTACCTCTCCATGTACTTGCTCCAGGTACTTAGAGATTCCAGGGACTCTGGGTACCACTCCACACACTTGCTCCAGGTACTTAGGGGCCCTGGGGACTCCAGGTACCACACCACACACCTGTTCGAGGTACTCAGGGACCCCAGGTACTGCTTCAGTTTCTTAGATAATGCTAAATGCCCTAATTTCTTAACAGTTCACTTTCTCCTTTCCTCCCCAAGCCAAACTCCCAATCAATATACATCCATCTCTACTAGGTGCAAGACACTGTTCTGGACACAGGAGATGCAGGTGTGAACAAGACAGACAAGGTCTCTGCCCTTATGGAGCTGGTGCTCCCATGGAGAAGAGAGATTAAAAACAAGCCAACCAATGCATCAGATTATCTCATGGGACTAAGAACTCGGAAAGACACAGGGCGGAGCACCACAGTAAGTACTGATTGGACACCTTTTCCTCAACGAGGTGACATTTGAGTCATGGCCCAAATGTTGAGAAGCCACATTCAAGGAAAGAGGAAGCTGGAGGTGAGGGACCCATGGAGAGTGGCCCGCGGAGTGAGGGGAGAGGCCCTGGAGCTCACAGCTCAGAGGTCATTGTTAATGGGACGCAGCTGCAAGGTGCAGGGCGTTGAACGCACAATACTACTATAGCTGTTGGATTGCTTTGCTCTTCATTAGGGACCTCCACAAACATTACCTCATTTTCATTTTGCTCCTCACAACAGCCCTGGGAGTTTGAACAAATGAGATTCAGGAATTGACGCAGTCCACATTATCAATAAATAAAATGAACCCTCATAGCCCTCTCGATCTGTAGTTTTTAAATGAGGACACTTCTTTCAAAAGATTTGCTTCACTCTAAAAAATCCTATGAAATTAGTGTTTGTCTGTAATTAGGGCAGTTGCAACTGAACATCACAGCATCAGCTATTGTCTGTTTCCGAGCTCAATAATAGACTGTTCGGATTTGAATAAGGCCCACTTGCCTTGGTCCAAATGGCAAGATTTATGTTAAATTGAATTTTGGAGGCTGCATTCGTGTGTGACAGTTGACAGGGAAAAGCAGCCAACGCAAACAGCCCTCCCGGCTCCATCCAGCCTGACCCAGTTAGGCAACATAGGGGTGACCACAAACCTGAACACTGGCGACAAGGGGCAGGCACCCAATGGGCTGTAAGTAAGGGCACCAAGTCCCTGGAACCCAAGAAGGCTGCACCTACGAAGGAAAAGCTCAAATGACAAACGCCAGAATAGACAGACACCCCATCACGGCAGCCTGAGCCCAGCTTTGTTCTTAAGGCCTACTTCCAGGCTTGTACAAGAAATGGCGAGATGAATTTTCTCTCCCAATCTAGTTGCTTACTTGGGCTGTGGCTTGCATTCTCCAGACCCAATCAAACAGCACTGATTTTTTTTTTTTTTTTTTTTTTTTTTGAGACAGAGTCTTGCTCTGTTGACCAGGCTGGAGTGCAGTGGCTCAAACTTGGCTCACTGCAACCTCTGCCTCCCAGGTTCAAGTAATTCACTTGCCTCAGCCTCCTAAGTAGTTGGGGACTACAGGCATGCACCACCACACTTGGCTAATTTTTTTTTTTTTTTTGGTGGAGATGGGGTTTCACCATGTTGCCCAGGCTGGTCTCAAACTCCTGACCTCAAGTGATCCGCCCACCTCAGCCTTCCAGAGTGCTGAGATTAAAGGAGTGAGCCACTGCGCCTGACCAGCACTGATTATTCTTAAAGTCCAATGAAAGGGCCAAGATTTGTGTGCAAGTCTGTACATGCAGGCAGGCGGTGGTGGTGGGATTGAGAGTCTAAGAGGTAAACCTTGCCAGGGGCCAGCGGGGCTTTGTTGGGAAGCACTGCTTTAAATACATAGCAGCAACCACATTCTGAGTACCTTCCATGTGCCAGACCCTGAAAAAGCTTCTCTCACATGAGGTATTTAATTTAATTTTTAAAGTAGTATATTCAATAGCAAGCAAAGATCACCACTACAAGCCAGGCATCGTTCTAGGCATTGGGGAGACAGCAGCAACGGAGAAGACTTCCAAGAAGGCTTGCTTTTGGTGGGACTTCTAAAAGGGGAAGATAAAGACAACATTTAAACAAAAACATAACTTCAGATGGTGAAATTAGAAGCCCTGGGTTGATTCTCAGATACACTCTTGCGGCAGAGACTGCCTAGTTGTTCCCCATTATCGAGGCTCTTCTATAGCAGCAGAACCCCAAGTTTTACCTGCATGCATAGTCACTTAGGACCCAGACTTTATTCTCCCAGCCTCTCTTTCTGCTAGGTGAAGCAATTGACTAAATTGCAGCCAATGAGATGTAAGCTGAAGCCGTATATACAATTTTAGGAAGTGTCCCCTACAGGGACAGGGTGGGACCTTCCTCCCTTTACTTGTTTTGTTTGTTTGTTTTTGTTTTGAGACAAAGTGCAAAGTGTCACTCTGTCACCCAGGCTGGAGCACAGTGGTTTTTTTTTTTTTTTTTTTTTTTTTTTGAGACGGAGTCTCGCTCTGTCACCCAGGCTGGAATGCAGTGGCGCGATCTTGGCTCACTGCAACACTGCAACCTCCCGTTCAAGCAATTCTCCTGCCTCAGCCTCCTGAGTAGCTGGGATTACAGGTGCACGCCATCATGCCTGGCTAATTTTGCATTTTTTGTGGAGATGGGGTTTCACCGTGTTGGCCAGGCTGGTCTCGAACTCCTGACCTCAAGTGATCCACCTGCCTCGTCCTCCCAAAGTGTTGGGATTACAGGCGTGAGCTACTGCGCCTGGCCCTTTCCCTCCTTTTTGCTGCCTAGAATATGGACACAACGGCTGGAGCTTCAGCAGCTATCTTGGACCATGAAGGAAAAATAAACAATTTTGTTTAGTTCATGGTGCTCTGGAGTTCGATTTTTGTTATTCACAGCTGCACCTAATTTTGTTGTCTTTCCTATTAATTGTGTAACTTGGGGTAAAACTGGCTCAGACCTTCTGTTCCCTCAGCTGTGAGATGGGATTGATGATAATGCCTACTTCATATTGCACTATGCTGGTGGCTTTCAAACTTCAGCATGCGTCAGAATCCCCTTGGCATGTTAAAACACAGAATGCTGGGCCCCACCTGAAGAACTTCCGATTAAGTAGCAACCTGAAAACCAGTAAGTCTAACAAGTTCCTAGATGCTGTTGCAGCTGCTGCAGATCAGAGACTACACTGAGGCCTGCAGTCCCTGCAGGGAATGACCTAGGAAGGTCTAAATTGCCCATACAAAGCCAGCGTGTTTGGCTTCTCTCCCATTTAACAAGATTTATGCATCCTGTCAAATATGCTGCCAGTCACCTCTGGCCTCTTCTATGCCTGCTCCTTGGCTTCAGGGACCCTGATCCCCACTTTCTGGAGCAGTGAATCTGATGCAAATGCTGTTTACAGAGGGATCTGTCAGTGGCCCATCCCCAGGAGGGACTTCCATGTGACAAGCCCGGCCTCTGACCCACTCCTCCACTGCAAGGAAATGATCCCCACTCCAATGCGTCACAGAGCAGCCCATCGCATGGGTCATTCCGCAGAAGAACTACCTTCTGGACCCTTCCTTCTGCCACCATATGCCATTCTGCTATTTGCAGAGGTGAGTGGGTAGGGACAGCTCTTCACCAGGGGCTGCCAGACAGTCAGTCAGAAGCATCATTTTCTTACTTAGGATTCCCATGGGAGGCAGAGGGTGAATCTCAAGGCTGGGATCCCTGTCTCCACTGGCCGCTTCAGCAATGCCCAGACCACCGCTCTGCCCAGCGAAGGAGCCTGCCCTCTCCTCCGAAAGGAAGCTCCCCTGCCCTCAGGGAGGAGCCTCCCTCTGGAAGGGCTGCTGCCAGGAGCAGTGGCAGCCCAGGAGGCTTCCCCCTCCCTCATATCCCTCTTGGAAGGGACTGATCCTCCTCTCAGGGCTCCTGCATGCTGGCGACATCCCAAGCCCTGCCCAGGACAGCACCATCAGTGCAGCTCTCAGTCCCCCGCCCCAGCCATTTCCATCAAGGGGGTGGGTATTATCTGTTAAACCGCTGTGCGGCATCAGGCAGGTCTAAGGGGCGGAGATGCACTTGTGTCCCTTAACTAGTGGTTAAGAGGACAGCTCTGATCAAATCCCAGCTCTGCTACTCTTTAGTGACATGGCCTTGTAACTAAGGCCGCAGCTGTGCCTGGCCTGTGGCTGAACCTCTCTCTGAACCTCAGTTTCCTCCTCTGTAAAGTGGGGACAATAGTAGTGCTTATAAATGGCATCAACCAAGGTGCTTAGCTGTAAACAACATAGACCAACTCTGCTCACTTTAGCAGAAGCATTTCTTAAGAGGGTATTGGGTACACACTGGTGCCAAAAGACAGGCATAAGAATAGAATATTCCTAGCAGCACCATTCAAACATCAAATGTCCATTCACAATAGAACAGGTAAGCTGGTTACGGCCCTTCACACCAGACAGCACGGAGGATGGAGAAACCTCAGCTACGTACAGCAGCATGGATGACTCTCACCCACGCTAACTCAAAGAAGCCAGACACGAAAAGGGTGTGCACTATATCATGCTGTTTCTATAAAGCTCAAAAACAAGCAGAACCAATCTAGAAATCTGGTGGTGGTTATGTTTGGGAGGAGAGACCCTGGGAGAGTCTCTAAGGTGCTGGCCCTGTTCTATTTCTTGGTCTGGGTTCTGATTACATGAGTGTGTTTGCTTTGTCAAACTTCATTGAACTGCACACTTAGGATCTGTGATCTTTTCTGTATGTATCTGATACTTCAATAACAAAATTAACTTTGAAAAAAAGCAGAAGGCATGTTTGGTTGCTCATGGATGTGCTGGGAGAATCAGAGAGCTAGGCCTGAAAGCCAGAGTCCAGAACACTGCCCCTAATTTTTTTTTTTTTTTTTTTTTGAGATGGAGTTTTGCTCTTGTGACCGAGGCTAGAGTGCAGTGGCACCATCTCTGCTCACCGCACCTTCCACCTCCCAGGTTCAAGCAATTCTCCTGCCTCAGCTTCCTGAGTAGCTGGGATTACAGGCTCCTGCCATCACACCCAGCTAATTTTTGTATTTTTGGTAGAGACAGGGTTTCACCATGTTGGCCAGGCTGGTCTCGAACTCCTGACCTCAGGTGATCCGCCCGCTTCGGCCTCTCAAAGTGCTGGGATTACAGGCATGAGCCACCGCGCCTGGCCAACACTGCCCCTAATTAAGGCATGGAGCTGTTTCAAGGGAGGAAAAGGTGGCAGGCGTTGCAGCCAGAGGGGCTGGTTCAAATCCCAGCTCTGCCAGTCCTTAGTTATGGGACTTTGGACAAGTCTCTGGATCCCTCTGAGCTGTGTCCTCATCTGTACGATGGGGTGCCAGCCCACAGCTTATCCCACCACTGTCCACACTGGCACTGCCTGTTATCATGCCTGGCAGAATGGATCCCGGATGGTACCTGCCCCTTCACAGCTGAGCTCAGGGTGAGCACATCTGATTGGCCAGCCCTGGGCACATGACCACACTACACCCTGCAGCATGTGGAGGTCAGTGCGAAGCTGGGTGCAGGGTCTGGCTCAGGGGTTCCATGGAGCCCCAGGGTGGGCTTTACCCGCCAAGATTCTGACTTACCTGATCTGGGGAGAGTCTGGAATGTGGCTGTTCTTTTTAAGCTCCCCAAATGATTCTAGTGTGAGTCAAAGTTGAGAACCACTGCCCTGAATCTTTATCTTTGAATCCTGAAAACTTTCTAAAAGGAAAACGATCCCAGAACCTTCAGAGTTTCTGTCCATTCGAATCTAGTACTAGTATACCTCGTTTGAAATTAACCTCATCTAGCGCCATCTAAGCTCAGAAAATGAAGCCATTGTGGGATCATTTGCCAAAGGACTTGTTGACATCTGTTTTTATTCTTTTTTATTTTATTTCATTTTTCTTTTATTTCCTTTTTTGTTTCTTAATCCGAGTGAACTCATAAAGTCTGTTTTTAAGTGGTACTTAAGCAGTTAAAATATGACTCAGTTTGACTCCATTGAAACTGCTTTAAATAATTTCCAAACAAGATGAAGTTAAGAGTAAATAAAATAGTCACGTTTGGGAGCATGAAGGAGCCGGCAGCTTTTGACGGTCTGGTGATCAGGCAGCCACGCAGGACCAGGTCTCGACTGTCCTTGGGTTTTGTGGAGCATTAAAAAGGAATAAGGAAATGGGGTGGAGGAGGTCAGCTAATTCTGGGAACAAAGCTAAGACTGCTGTGACTGGGGACTGGTGGGGTCATCAACTCTTTCTTGGGTAACTTTGGCCATGCTTTTTTTTCCTCTGCAGAGTCTGAAAAGGCTACCTGCTTTAGTTTCCTGTGGTTGCTGTAATCATTACAACAACACAAATGTAATGTCTCACTGTTCTGGAAGCCAGAAGTCCAAAACCAAGGTTTCTGCAGGGGTTTGCGCTCTAAAAGCTTGGGGGGAGGATCTTTCCTACCTCCTCCAGCTTCTGGTGGCTCCAGGTGTTTCTTGGCTTGTGGCCACATCACTCCAATCTCTGTCTCTGTCTTTGCGTGGTCTTCTTGCCTGTGTCTCTGTGTCTTCTCCTCTTCTCTTACAAGGACACTTGTCATTGGATTTAGGACCCACTTGGATGATTCAGGGTGATTTCACCTCAAGATCTTAATTGTATCTGCAAAGACTCTGTTTCCAAATAAGGTCACATTCTGCATTTCTGAGACATGGACATCTTTTGAGAGGGTCATAATTCAGCCCACTCCACCACCTTTGCTCAAAGGATGCTTCTGCATTTAACTTAGATTCAGCATCCTGATTCCACAAGTGTACTTTGGCCTAGCTCTGGATTTCAGATTTGGCAGGGCCGAGGTCCTTGAACCCCAGTGCCCGGGTCAGCAGAGATCATTTACCATGCAGATTCTGAGGGAGTAAGTCTGGGCAGAGCTCAAGGTTCTGCATTTCCAACAAGCTCCCAGGTGATGCCAACAAAGCTGCTGGCCAGGAACCTCCCTCTGAGCAACACGTCTGGTGACTATGGGAAATATCCAGGTCCCACCCTGGTGATCCTGATCCAGAGGCCCATTCTTTCCAGGCAGCTTTCAGATCCCATTCTGAACCGGGGCCGGCAGCCCCTGCCCTGTGCTCAGGAGCAAGGCCTGCAGGCCAGGAATGAGCCAAGCCAGCCTGAGCCCCTAGCCACCTCCTAAGAAGGGTGTTTCCCAGTCCTGAAGTTTGGCTGGGAATTCCAATAGAATCCGTGACCTTTCAGGAAGCATCTACACTCTCCTAGCCCCCTCCCTCTTACATACCACCCCTCAGCCCTCTTTCTCTCTTGCCCTCTGATAAGTTCCCCCTTGGGTCCTCAGACAAGCCACAGGGCCCTGCCAGCTGCCTCCTGGCTGGATGCAACCCAACCTCACCGCATGGTGGGGATGGCCCAGGTGAGGGCACAGAAGGCCCACCTCTGTCTAGCCAGGCCCCACGTCAGCAGGGCTGCCAGCACAGGGACAGCGAGACCAGCTGGGGAACTGGTTATTTCAAGTGGCTCCCAACAAATCATGTCATTTCCTCAGCTGTGAAGACTGACAGCCCTCAGCACTGTGGCAAATGCAAGCCACTCTTTCCAATGATCAGTGTGAGAGGAAGAAAGGGAGACCCCATGGGGGAGAGGAGGCCTCCCCTGCCAGCCTGCATGGGGCTGAGCAGTGGGGCAGGGACAGAGGTGATGCGACCACAGCTGAGTGACTCAGCCAGGGTCTGCTCTCTCACATATGGTGGCCAGGACCCAAGATCCCACCTGTGGCAGGTGTCCCTGAGGGCAGTTGACACCTCAAAATAAAACTTGAGATTGCTCATGCAACCGTGAAAAGGAAACAATTTATTACCATAAAAGAGCCATTTAATGTGAGACCCCAATAGCCTCTGGCTGTCTGTCATCCTGATCTGACGTGAAATGGATTTGATATTATCTGCAAACAACCACACATTCCTTCAGAAGAAAGTCACCTCCACAGAGGATACATGACTTGTTTGTTTGTGGTTGGCTATGGCTTTGACTTTCCCCGCCACGCTGTTTGCCTTGGTTAATGACCAGCCGGAAGTGCCCTGCCTCCTGTTTGGCTGATGAAAACGCTGACCTTTTCAGGAATGATTCCAAACCAGGCATCTGTGGATGACTTACCTCATCCCTTTCATTGCTCCCCACCACACTGCATTCCCCATAAAGGAAGTAGCTATTTTAGGCAAGGGAAAATGAGATGGTGGGACTTTCCCCAAAAGCAGGCTTGTGCCTGATGCAGGGTGGAGGAGCCCCACGCCCTGTGGAAGGACAAACACAGCGTCATCCACAGACGTTGCCCATGGGTCCAGTCCATCCATCGGTGACTTATGGGCAAAAGGGAAGGAAGGAAAGGAAAGAAGATTGGTGAGCAGTGTTCTTTGCTATTAGGCAGAACTGGCCCAGTGGGTGGCAGTCACAGAAGGGGCGGAGACCAGCTCCGCAAAAAGAGTTACTTCTCCAAGTAGTGAGCATCCTGTCACAGAGGTTATATGAGCAGGGGCAGGATGAGGAGACTGTTTTTATTTACACTCTGATAGGAGGAGTAGAAGTGGACCCAGACCTTGAGGAGCCTAAAATTTTTCTGCAGAGGCAGGCGGGACCTGATATGGCAAGTGAACATCAAGGCCTGCCTTGCCTCACAGGGCAGCTGGGGACCAACCCATACGAATCCAACATGCGGAGGAAGCCAGAGCCGGAGCAGGAGGCAGAGACCTGAGGATGGGCTGGAGCCTGTGTGCGGGGCTTTCTGTCACTTGCAGAGTCCTGGCTGGTACACTGAGGAGCACTAGCTTGTATGGCATTCTTTCCATGATTGGAGTTCAACGATGGGAGACCAGGGAGATGGAGTAGTTTGAGCTCCTGGGGAATGATAACATCTGGATCCTGAGAGGGGAGGAAAAGCAAACGCCAGCAATGACATAGGATCAGAAAGGTGCTCAGCATGGGGCTGTCTGTGGGAGGGGCCCAGGTGCTGGCACCTACGTGACTGAGGGCTTGTGGGAGGGGGAGGGAAACTGCTTTGCAACAGCAGGGGACCCAGGTGGGGTATGTGTGGGGTATGTCCCAGTCACCTCAGGGAAGGGGGGCATTGAAGGGTGTGCTCAGGATCCACCTCTTCCCCGAGTTCTCCCTTGATGCAAGCAGCCTAGGATCAGACTTCCTTGAATTCTAGCTCATCTGCCAGGGAGGCACTACTTCAGCCAGAAGACCGCCTGGAGGACTTCATGGGGCTTCAGAACCCAGGGCACTCCTGCCACATGTTATCAATGACTTTGCAGTATTGTGATAGTGTGTGATACCACCCGTCATATGCAGTAACAAGGAGGGAGACTGACCGAACTTTGAAGGCATCCTTCCTGTTAGAATTTCAACTACCTCCATATCTAGTACAGGAGAGGGAAGTAAATGCAGTGGAAATCTGATTTTTTTTTTCACTCTGTTCCCCAGGCTGGAGGGCAGTGGCACAATCTCGGCTCACTGCAACCTCCGTCTCCTAGGTTCAAACGATTCTCCTACCTCAGCCTCCCGGGTAGCTGGGATTACAGGCATGTGCCACCATGCCCGGCTAATTTTGTATTTTTAGTAGAGATGAGGTTTCTCCATGTTGGTCAGGCTGGTCTCGAACTCCTGACCTCAGGTGATCCATCCGCCTTGGCCTCCCAAAGTGCTGGGATTACAGGCATGAGCCACCACACCTAGTCCCTGATTTTGTTTTATCGGCAAATTCACTGTTGAGGGTTGGAGCAGCCTGTGATATCCGTGTGAGTCCATTTGTGAAACTGAAACTTTGTAACAAGAACTAAGATAGTTATTGAGAAGTGCTTTGAAAATGATCCAAGGAAGCTTTCCAAAGTGACTCTGTCCCTGGGAAGGGAGGAAGGGACCACAATATGCCTGTATCAGATTTCTACTGCTGTGTAACAAATGACCCCAAAACTTAGTGGCTTGAAACAACAATGAACATTTATTATTTCATAGTTTCTGTGGGTCAGGAATTCAGGAGTGGCTTAGCTGGGTGGTTCTGGCTCAGGGATTTCATGGGGTTGCAGTCAGGGTATCAGCTGGGGTTGTGTCATTAGAGGCTGAACTGGGGCTGGAGGATTTACCTCTGAGGTGGTGCACCCACATGCCTGGCAGGTTGGTGCTGGCTGTTGGTGGGAGGCCTCAGTTTCCCACCACATGGACTCCTCTACAGAGCTGCTTAAGTGTCCTTACAACATGGCAGTTGGCTGCTCCCGAGGAAGTGATTCAAGGAGAGCAAGGCAGGAACCATGTCTTTTATGGCCTAGCCTTGGACATCATTTCTGCAGTCCTACTGGTTGCCAGATGGGTCCTATTCAGTGAAGAGGGGACTCTCCAGGATGTGACTACTGGGGCTCACTGGGCAGCATCTCAGAGCTGCCACCATGCTGCTGCGTGGTTGGCCCATCTGGAACACTTAGTCTTCAGTCACTTGGTTTGATTCAAGAACAAAGAGTTAGAAACTCTTCACCTTTTGAATGCAAGGAAGTAGGCTGACCCCTCAAAGTGTGCCAGACAAGCCATTTTAAGCATAGTTGGGTGAGATGCAAAGAGGAAGCCTGCATATTCGCTGCTTACGTGAAATGTTTGGCGCCTACTCATGCTTTCTATCCACAGAGTCTCACTGATAGTTTGTCAGCCTTGCATCCCATCTGCCCCATGTGGGTCCTGTGAAGCTGCTGGTCAACCTATCCCCTGGCTTTGGGGGAATGCAACCCATGTCTGGCCAACTGTGGTGCCCCATTTCCCAGTCTAGAGTTGTTGGTCCAAGAGGAGGCTCTCTCTTACTCTGAAATCATGAGCTGAGGGTTTACTGTGTATGCCTGAAGCTATCAGACAATGAAGAAAGAAGAGAGAGAAAGAGAGAGATTTGAGCACCTGGGTCCAGCTATGACTGAAGCTAGCAAGACACCCATCTTTGTTCTCTGAAATTATGTAAGAAAGTAAACTCCCTTTTTGGAATTTTGCTTGTTTACTTTTGCTTAAGTTAACTTGAGCTGGAATTTCATCATCACAATTAAAAACATCCTAACAACTTATCCCTTGAAAATCATGTGCTTTGCGCCCAGCCAGCCGCCCCGTCAGGGAGGGAGGTGGGGGGGTCAGCCCCCCGCCAGGCCAGCCGCCCCGTCCGGGAGGGAGGTCGGGGCGTCAGCCTCCAGCCCGGCCAGCCGCCCCGTCCGGGAGGTGAGGGGCGCCTCTGCCTGGCCACCCCTACTGGGAAGTGAGGAGCCCCTCTGCCCGGCCAGCGGCCCCGTCCGGGAGGGAGGTGGGGGGGGTCAGCCCCCCACCCGGCCAGCCGCCCCGTCCGGGAGGGAGGTGGGGGGGGTCAGCCCCCCGCCCGGCCAGCCGCCCCGTCCGGGAGGGAGGTGGGGGGGGTCAGCCCCCCGCCCGGCCAGCGGCCCCGTCCGGGAGGGAGGTGGGGAGGTCAGCCCCCCGCCAGGCCAGCCGCCCCGTCCGGGAGGGAGGTCGGGGCGTCAGCCTCCCGCCCGGCCAGCCGCCCCGTCCGGGAGGTGAGGGGTGCCTCTGCCTGGCCGCCCCTACTGGGAAGTGAGGAGCCCCTCTGCCCGGCCAGCCGCCCCGTCCGGGAGGGAAGGTGGGGGGGTCAGCCCCCCGCCCGGCCAGCCGCCCCGTCCGGGAGGGAGGTGGGGGGGGTCAGCCCCCCGCCCGGCCAGCCGCCCGGTCCGGGAGGGAGGTGGGGGGGGTCAGCCCCCCGCCCAGGCCAGCCGTCCCGGTACCGGGAGGGAGGTGGGGGGGGTCAGCCCCCCACCCGGCCAGCCGCCCCGTCCGGGAGGGAGGTGGGGGGGTCAGCCCCCCGCCCGGCCAGCCGCCCCGTCCGGGAGGGAGGTGGGGGGGTCAGCCCCCCGCCCGGCCAGCCGCCCCGTCAGGGAGGGAGGTGGGTTCAGCCCCCCGCCAGGCCAGCCGCCCCGTCTGGGAGGGAGGTCGGGGCGTCAGCCTCCCGCCCGGCCAGCCGCCCCGTCTGGGAGGTGAGGGGCGCCTCTGCCTGGCCGCCCCTACTGGGAAGTGAGGAGCCCCTCTGCCAGGCCAGCCGCCCCGTCCGGGAGGGAGGTGGGGGGGTCAGCCCCCCGCCCGGCCAGCCGCCCCGTCCGGGAGGTGAGGGGCGCCTCTGCCCGGCCGCCCCTACTGGGAAGTGAGGAGCCCCTCTGCCCGGCCACCACCCCGTCTGGGAGGTGTGCCCAACAGCTCATTGAGAACGGGCCAGGATGACAATGGCGGCTTTGTGGAATAGAAAGGCGGGAAAGGTGGGGAAAAGATTGAGAAATCGGATGGTTGCCGTGTCTGTGTAGAAAGAAGTAGACATGGGAGACTTTTCATTTTGTTCTGTACTAAGAAAACTTCTGCCTTGGGATCCTGTTGATCTGTGACCTTACCCCCAACCCTGTGCTCTCTGAAACATGTGCTGTGTCCACTCAGGGTTAAATGGATTAAGGGCGGTGCAAGATGTGCTTTGTTAAACAGATGCTTGAAGGCAGCATGCTCGTTAAGAGTCGTCACCACTCCCTAATCTCAAGTACCCAGGGACACAAACACTGCTGAAGGCCGCAGGGTCCTCTGCCTAGGAAAACCAGAGACCTTTGTTCACTTGTTTATCTGCTGACCTTCCCTCCACTATTGTCCTATGACCCTGCCAAATCCCCCTCTGTGAGAAACACCCAAGAATTATCAATAAAAAATAAATAAATTAAAAAAAAACAAAAACAAAAACAAAAAAAACAGATGTGGAAAAAAAAAAAAAAAAAAAAGAAAATCATGTGCTTTGTAGCAGTAACAAACAAATGAAGAGCAGATTTTCACTTGATTAAAGCCTGACCAGACCAATGATCCATACCCTGCTGTCTGCGGCCTACAGAAACCGCCCTTCCTCCACCACCAAAGGAAAAAAGATAACACAAATTAGAAGAAACAAACAGACCTAAAGCAAGCCACAGCTGTCTCCTGGTTGGTGCCAACGCGCCAGCATTGAGCTGGCCCTGCCCGGATGGTTTTCTTGTCACCCTGGTTGTCCTCAAGCTCTGTGAGCATAAAGACTGTGTTTTCTGTGTTTTCACAGCCAACTTCATATAGGAGTTCACAAGCAGATATTCAAAAGTGGCTCCTTAAATAGACTAAAACGCATAACGCTTGCTTTTAAGTTAATAGCCAATGTTCAATGAGTCCTATGTTCCAGGCCTGGGGCTGAGTGCTTTACCTGCGATGGCTCACTCAATCACCATGAGTGGAAGGTGGTTTCTATTATTATCCTCATTTTACAGATGAGAAGACTGAGGCCCCAGGAGTTGGCGATTTTCCTAACGTCACAGGCTGCTAGAGCTCATCTGAACGCTAACACCTTTTACTTGTTTATTTCACCCTGAAACATTGACATTGCTGACATGCTATAGGACTTCAATTCCTTTATGATGGAGAAATGAAAATAAATATCACCCCACTACCATCACTAAACACACACACACACACCCCTCTCTCACCGCCCTGGCCAAAGGCCTGAAACCAAAACACGGTGTTCTCTCTGCATTATTAGCCATTACCACCCGTAAGGAACCCAAGCAATGTTTTTCCGAGAAGGCCCAGGGTACAGGGGGTGCCATTCATGGAGAGCTCAAGTGCCCAGCCTGGCATTTCACAGGCCACTTGTGCATGTCTAATTGTCTTTTCTGTGTCAGGAGGGCGGGCTGTGTTTGTCAGAGGCTCATTAGGACCCTGGCCAAGGGGTTGTTTGTGATTTCAGGGCTGGGTGAGGAAAGTGCAGGGTGAGGGTTTCTGTTCCGAATGGACCTCCTGCCGAGCGCTGAGTCAAGGTTGCCAGCCAGCACCAGCCTCCCCTTCCCCCCTTTTTGGTTGGTTTTCCCCAAGCATCTGTTTGTTTTGCTCCTGCAAACAAAAGTCAAAGAGAATACATGGCTCCCAGTGAGTGAAGGAAGCAGATTTTTCTGGTCCTTCCAAAAGCACAGCAAGCCCACCTAGTCCCTTTGTACAGGGGGATTGAGCTGAGTCAGAGCAAAGAATCCCTTCACCTCACATCACTGGGCCAGCGATGCCAGCCAACAAGCCAGGAGATCCTTGTGCATTCCTGTCACAGCTTACCACGAGGCCACCAGGATCCTACTTGGGTCTATGGGTGGTATTATAAGAAATCCTGGTGCTTTGCCTGCAATGAGGGCATCCAGCCAGCAGGTGGACTGTGGGCGGTTTGCACAAGACCAAAAGAGCAAGGCCCTTGAGCCATATCTTAAGCCCGAGTAAATGTCAGCAAGATTGATCTTTTCCAGTCGTGTTTTGTACTATGTTGAACAATCTACATAGAGCAGCACCAAAACAAGGTGACACTGAGAGATTACCAGGCTAAAATTAATTAAAAATAATATATGCTTTCAATTGTGGTGAAAAATGTATAACACATTTACCATCTTAATCCCTTTTATGTGTACAGTTCAGTGCCATTACGTGCATTAACACTGTTGTGGGACCATCACCACCATTCATCTCCAGAATGTTTTTCATCTTCCCAAACGGAAACTCTATACCCATTAAACAGTAACTCCCTATCCCGTCCTCCCCCAGCCCCTGACAGTTACTGTTTTACTCTCTGTCTCTATGAATCTGACTACTTTAGGTACCTCATATAAGTGGAATTACACATTTACTATTTGTTCTTTTGTGACTGGCTTATTTCACTTAGCATGAAGTCCTTAAGGTTCAGCCATGTTGTAGCATGTGTCAAAATTTTCTTCCTTTTTCTTTTTTCTTCCTTTAAAAATTTCTTCCTTTTTAAAGTTGAATGATATTCCATTGTATGTGTAAACCCAAAGTATCTGAGACAAGTCTCAATCAATTTCAAAGTCCATTTTGCCAAGGTTAAGGACATGCCCGTGACACAGCCTCAGGAGGCTTCCAGGTCATAGGTGGATTCAAAGATTTTCTGATTGGCGGTTGGTTGAAAGAGTTTATCTAAAGACCTGGAATCAATAGAAGGGAGTGTATGGGTTAAAATTAGGGGTTGTGGAGACCAAGAATTTTATTATGCAGGTGAGGTAGCAGGCTTCAGAAAGAATAAATTCTCTTAAGGTCTCTGTTTTAATGTTAATATTGGTCAGTTATGCCTGAATTTCAAAGTAGGGAGGGTATAAGGAGGCATGCCTGACCCCTTATTCCCATCATGGCTGGACCGCCAAACAAAAACTTTGTTTTCATTTTTGTTTTTTTTTGAGACAGAGTCTCTCTCTGTTGCCCAGGCTGGAGTGCAGTGGCACAATCTCGGCTCACTGCAACCTCTGCCTCCCAGGTTCAAGTGATTCTCCTGCCTCAGCCTCTCAAGTAGCTGGGATTACAGGTGCCTGCCACCACGCCCGGCTAATTTTTGTATTTTTAGTAGAGACGGGGTTTTATCACGTTGGCCAGGCTGGCCTCAAACTCCTGACCTCAGGTGATCCACCCGCCTTGGCCTCCCAAAGTGCTTGGATTACAGGCATGAGCCACCGTGCCTGGCCTCAGATTAACTTTGGAATGCCCTTGGCCAAGAGGAGGTCCATTCAGTTGGTTAGGGGGGCTTAGAATTTTATTCCTGGTTTCTGTATGGATATACTGCATCTTGTTTACATATTTATCTGTTAATGAACATTTGGCTTGTCCCATCTTTTTGCTATTTTGAATAATACAACTATAAACAAATGTCTGTTCAAGTCCCTGCTTTCAATTCTTTTGGGCATATACCCAGAAGTGGAATTGTGGGTCATGTTGTGATTCTATGTTTAATTTTTTTTTTTTTTTTTGAGATGGAGTTTTGCTCTTGTTGCCCAGGCTGGAGTGCAATTGCACAATCTTGGCTCACAGCAACCTCCGCCTCGCAGGTTCAAGCCATTCTCCTGCCTCAGCCTCTGGAGTAGCTGGGATTACAGGCATGCACCACCACGCCTGGCTAATTTTGTATTTTTATACAGACGGGGTTTCTCCATGTTGGTCAGGCTGGTTTCGAACTCCGGGCCTCAGGTGATCCGCCCACCTCGGCCTCCCAAAGTGCTGGGATTACAGGCGTGAGCCACAACGCCCAGCCTATGTTTAAGTTTTTAAGGAACTGCCATACTATACCTGGCTAACAATTTTGATTGATACATAATCATATTATGGGGTCCACGTGATATTTTGATACATGCGTACAATGTGTAATGATCATGTCAGGGTAATTAGGATTTCCATTACCTCAAACACATATCATTCCTTTGTGTTGAGGACATTCCAAATCTTCTGTTCTAGGTATTGTGAAATATACAATGCATTATTGATAACTATAGTCACCTACTGTGCTGTCAAACACTAGAGCTTATTCCTATCTAACTGTATGCTTGTACCCATGAACCAACCTCTCCATCCCCTCTCCCTCCTGCCCTTCCCAGCCTCTGGTAGCCGGCACTCCATTCACTTCCTCTGTGAGATCCACCTTCTGAGCCCCCACATAGGAGTGAGAACATGCAGTATTTGTCTTTCTGGGCATTATACCTGGCTGAATTTAATGTCAATTCAACACATATGTATTGCACGTCGGCCATGTTGCCTGATGAGACCCGGAGCCCCCACGGAGTCCACAATATAGACAGACAAACCCTAGATGTGTGGGACTCTAAAGGCACGAGAAAGCTAGCCCTGCTGCCATCTGCAGCTGGAACAAAACAGCAGGGCCCTATAAGCCCTGGGCTTAGCTGGGAGTCTCCCACAAGGATGGAGCCCAGACATCAGAAGCGACTCAACAAGGAGTTCTTGGCCGGGCGTGGTGGCTCATGCCTGTAATCCCAGCATTTTTTAGGAGGCCAAGGTGGGTGGATCACCTGAGGTCAGGAGTTCACGAGCAGCCTGATCTTCATGGTGAAACCCCATCTCTACTAAATAGAAAAAACTTAGCCAGATTGAGGCAGGAGAATCACTTAAACCTGGGAGACGGAGGCTTTAGTGAGCTGAGATTGCACCACTGCACTCCGACCTGGGCAACAAAAGTGAAACTCTGTTTCCAAAAAAAAAAAGGAGTTCCTTTCTTTCCCACTGGCCTGGGCTTCCTTCCCTCTGGGCCTCAAGTTGATTGCCTCTTGGCCTTTTAGGGGGAGGAGAGGGCGATTCCTAAGTGAGACCACCCTCCCCAGACCACCTGACTATGCCAGCCCAATGAGAGGGCAGAGAGAAGTGATGGGCGATAAAATTGGGGGCCTGAGAGAGACCCTTGAGGGAACTTATGCCAAGCCCCAAGAGGACACTGCTGCTTGCCTAATGGTACCAGAACTTTCTCCGTGGGCAGGGTCGCAGGCAGCCCTGAATGACCCTGGGCTACAGTGCTCCATTGACAAGCCCCAGTCCTGTCAGGTCTATAGAAACCACTCTTAGCTTACCTGTGTGGCAGGCGGGTATCACTGGGCCACAGAGGGAAGGGTCGGCACTGAAGGAGAGTGGCTGAGCTGTCCTAAAGTGGGGTCCTCTACAGCCAGGTAAAGTGTTTTGCTGGACTTAGCCAAGGGCAGAGGGTGAAATGGGCCCATACACAAAGCAGTTCGTAAAATGAGCCAGACAGAAACCAGGACTCCAGTGCTCACTGTTCTGGGACTCAAGTGAGACACAGTCACACCAGCTGTCCAGTGATGCTGAAGGAAAGAAGACCACTCTCCCTGCTCACTCCCACTCTCCCAGACTCCAGCCATCAAAACTCCAGTAACCGGGCTGGGCATGGTGGCTCAGGCCCAGCACTTTGGGAGGCTGAGGCGGGTGGATCACCTGAGGTCAGGAATTTGAGACCAGCCTGGGTAACCTGGTGAAACCCCCGTCTCTATTAAAAATACAAAAAACTTAACTGGGCACGGTGGCGGGTGTCTGTAATCCCAGCTACTTGTGATGCTGAGGCAGGAGAATCACTTGAACCCGGGAGGCAGAGGTTGCAGTGAGCCGGGATTGTGCCATTGCACTCCAGCTTGGGCGACGGAGGGAGACTCTGTCTCAACAACAACAACAACAAAAAACTCCAGTAACCAGCACCCCACAAGCAGCCCCGGCTGCATCCCATTTCGTTTTAGTGTTTATTGTTTTTTATTTTTGTTTCTGAGGCCGAGTCTCACTCTGTTGCCCAGGCTGGAGTACAATGGCACGATCTCAGCTCACTGCAACCTCCACCCGCTCCGGGTTCAAGTGATTCTCCTGCCTCAGCCTCCCGAGTAGCTGGGATTACAGGGGGCTGCTACCGTGCCCAGCTAATTTTTTTATTTTTAGTTGAGACATGGTTTCACCACATTGGCCAGGCTGGTCTGGACCTCCTGACCAAGTGATCCACCCTCCTTGGCCTCCCAAAGTGCTGGGATTACAGGCATGAGCCACCGCACCGGCGTGTTTATTGTATTTTATTGTTTTAATATCCTGAATTTTAGCCAACTATAATGTGGCCACCAGCTGATACTCCACTCACCAAAATGAATCACCCACTGTTGCCCACTTCCTGATTCTTAAGAATGAAGGGGAGTGGGGGTAGGAGGGGGACCACAGCCAGATGGACCCCTTCATCCCTCCATCTGTATCGTCACCTCATTCATTGTCCCCTGGCCAGCGTCATTTGCAGCTGCGACACAAATGCTGAGCCTGGCCACCCCACCAGCCACCTCATTTACCACCTTGAGGGGATGCAGCACTATTTGATGTGATGAAGGCTTCTTAAGCAGCTGGGACTTTGGAGGTCAAGGCAGTAACTTAACCGCCAGCTCACAGCCCAACAGCACTCTTGGGAGGTGAGGCAGGCTCAGCTCCTGCAGCCAGGGGGCTGCCCGTTGATCCAGCCTCTGAAAAGTGACTCACATGCCGATTGGACTCTGATGCCTCCCAAAAGCAATAAACAGCCTGGTCTCTCTCATCTTCAGACAGTGTGCTCATGATACAATCAGAGCTTTGCAGGCAAAATTTCCTTTTCTCCACGTATTTCTGACAGGTGACTCATCCTCCATGATCCAGTTAACCTAAACACACACAAGCATGGAGATAAAATCCTAGGGTTCCCTAGGAGGGTATAGGAGATAAGTACAAGAAAGAGGAATGGGAGAGAGAGTGAGGGAGGGGTTTGGTTTTCACTGTCACAGCCACAAGAAGACACTCAAAGCCCCTGGGGGTGGTAGCATAAGGTGGGCATCTTAGGGCCGTGTCACTGGCACACACAGAACTCAGATTTCCCAGGCAGCTTCTTGAATCAGAATCCTTGTCTGCTAGAATCAGATGGTGTCTTTGAGATTGTCCATTCATCCCTAGAGCCACAAATGCTGGCTGAGCTCTTACTGTCTACAGAAGCTGTGCTTGGCACTTGGGGGCATATGGACGTACTTGGAAATGGATCCAAGCCCACAGTTTAGTAAAGGAGATAAAACTATAATAAAAGGTAGAAAGCTATCATTGTCAAAAGAGAGGTACAGGAGCCTGAGTTTGAGTGTCTGAATGTGGCAGACACCACAGTGACCTTCCCAGGCATTCTTCTCTTCCTATTGACAGAACTCAGAATCCTGATCCTACTCAGGGAGGAAGTTGATATCTCTAGATTTCAGAGAAGGAAGTCCCAGTCTTGGGGTGGGCTTTAGATCCAGTTCTGGATGCTGGAAATGTCTGACAGGGCTTTTGGGAAAGGCATTACTGCAGCCGTCCCTGCTTCCTGGCTTTGAAAGTTGCACAATAATGGCTGGAGGCACAGCAGCCACATTGTAATTAAAAGGCAATACTCTTAAAGACCAATAAGCAACACTATGAGGACAATGGAGGAGAAGGAAGAAAAGATTTGCCTGGTCTTTAATGATTCCACGGGTAGTTGAATCAATGCCTGTACCTGCCCATTTCCCAACTTCTTAATATATGAGGGAAATAACTCCAGATATTATGAAGCCACTGTTGGGCAGGTTTTCTGTCACTTGCAGCCAAAAAATTCCTGGCTGTTCCATTTGGATACTGCAGGGGTATGGAAAAAAAGAGAAATTAATTTTCAGTTGAATGGATTAGGGAGAAATGGGTTGAGAAGCATGTAACTTAGGCCTTAACAATGACTTGTATTTTGAAGGCTGGAGAAGGCATTCTAAAGGAAAAGTTCATCAATACGATGATGAAGAAGATGATGATGATGATGATGATAGCATCATTTATTTGGCATCTACTATGGTCCCAGTGGTGTTCTAAGACTCTACACATATAGTATCTCATATAATCCTCAAAGCAACCCATCAGGAGAGATGTTATCATGTGCATTTTGCAGAGAGAAAATAGCTTCAGAAGAGTGAAGTAACTTTCCTCTTAAGTTGAAGAGGCAAGAGTCAAGCTCCACCCTGACTCTGCAGTCTTTATTTATTTATTTTGAGACAGAGTCTTGCTTGTCACCCAGCCTGGAGTGCAAGGGTGCAATCATGGCTCAGCCTGGATCTCCTGGGCTCAGGTGATCTTCCCACCTCAGCCTTCCGACTAGCTGGGACTACAGGCATGTGCCACCATGCCCAGCTAATTTTTGTACCATGCTCTGCTAATTTTTGTATTTTTTGTAGAGACCAGGGTCTACTGTGTTGCCCAGGTTGGTCTCAAACTCCTGGGCTCAAGCAATCTGCCCACCTTGGCCTCCCAAAGTGCTGAAATTATAGGTGTGAGCCACTGCGCCCAGCCTAGAGCCTTTGTTCTTAACATCCACCTCTCTGTCTCCAATCTGAGAATGTGTCCCAGATAAAGTGATACCTAATTCAAGAGCTGAAGGGTAAACAGGAATTGGAGGGGCAAAAGCTGGTGGGGGAGGGGCAGCAGGTGGGGGAAGTTAAAGAGAAAGCACCAGAAACGATGTGAGCATGTGGTTGTTCCTTACAGCACTGTTGGAAAGAGGAAAGACTGGCCATGACCTAACTGCCCATCAACAGGAGAGGGGGTAAATGCAATGCAGTGCAGCCACGCAACGGAATGTTGTGCAACTGCATAAGAGGTCTGTATCAGTCTGTTCTCACACTGCTCTGAAGAAATACCCGAGACTGGGTAATTTACAAAGAAAGGAGGTTTAATTGACTCACAGTTCCACATGGCTGGGGAGGCCTCAGGAAACTTACAATAATGGCAGAAGGCACCTCTTCACAGGGCAGTAGGTGAGAGAATGAGTGCCAGTAGGGGAAATGCCAGATGCTTATAAAAACCATCAGACCTCGTGAGACTCACTCACTGTCACAAGAACAGCATGGGGAAGACTGCACCCATGATCTGATTACCTCCACCTGGTCCCACCCTTGACACGTGGGGATTACAATTCAAGATGAGATTTTGGGTGGGGACACAGCCAAACCATATCAAGGTCTCACAGAGACCTCTCTTAGGAGATCTCTACATAAGAGGTTTCATCTTCTCTGCATAAGAAGATGCTCACAGTGGACAAATCCGGAAAGCTTTCCAGAATATAGTGAGAAAGTGAGGCGCAGAGTAGGGTGTCATCAGGCTACTTTTTGTGTAAAAAGGGAGGGGGAGACAGAGAATGAGGGTCTATTTCTGTTCGCCCGCATATGCATTAAATCTCTAGAAGGAGAAACAAGAAACTAAGACACTACGTGTTGGGGACGAGGAGGAAGGGAGAGTAGTTACTGTGCAGTGCTGCGTTCTGAACCATATGAATGCTTGCCTTTTGGAAAGATAATAAATAAAGGTTAAAGGGAGAAAGCACAAGGCAGTGAAGGGAGCTGCCCAGAAGCTCTCATCAAACCTGGAGAGTAGGAAGCGGGGGTGCATGGAGGGAGCTGGCACAGCTGCAGGGAGAAAGTGGCGCACCCACATTACAAGCGTGGCCTTTATACAGAGAGTGCTGGGGAACCAGGATGCTCTTTTATTTATTTATTTGTTTTACTTCTTATTGAGGAAAATTGCAAACATGCACAGAAGTAAAAATAATACGATAATGAATCTCCACATGCCCATCATCGAACTTCAACAATTATCTGCAAATGGTCAATATTACTTCATTTATTCCACTTCCCCTCCCCCCACAAAAAACTGAAATTTTTTAAAGTAAATTCCAGACACCACATAATTTCATCTATAAATTTTTCTGCATGTACCTCTGAAACAGCTCTTTTTCAGACATAAGCTCAAAACCATAACCACATCTGAAAAAATTCCAGTAATTTATTAATATTGTGAAGTATCTAGTCAGTATTTGCATTTCCACGATTGCCTCCTAAGTGAGTGTTTCTTGGTTGGTTTGTTCAGTTCAGGCCAGTTCAGGACCCAAACAGGCCCACGCCTTGGGGTTGGTGGACTTGGCCCTGAAGCCTCTTTGGGTCTGCAGTTTCCCCGCCCTCTTTGTCCTTTCGTTCTTTCCTCCAGGAAGAAGCCAGGTAATTTGGTTTTGGTCCCCTGTGTTTTGTGTGTTCTTTTGTCCCACACGCTCTCCATAAACTGGGAGATCCAGAGGCATAGCCCCAGGTTCCCAGCTTTGTCTTTCTTCTTTTGCAAGACAACTTCATGGACAGCGCTGAGCACCTGGCACCAGGCACCCCCTCCTGGTTCCACCCTGAGTGCATGATGTCTGGCACCTCTCTTTATGGTGCTGAGATCCATCTGTGGTTTCCCTCGTGGCTGGCCTCACGGTTTTGGCAAAAGAGTGTGAGCATATTTGGATTTGAGAAGGTCCCTTGTCACTACCACGTGGAGAACTCAGATTCCACCTCATCCTCAGGACTCGGGGGCAAGGGCCACCCTTCCTGGCCTGAGGAAGTGGCTGCAGGGGCCACTTTTTTTCCCTGTTATTTTGTTTAATGACTACTTTTCTTTGTTCTTTTGAGATTTGACTCAAAACTGCCAATCATATCTATATGATGGAACTAAGCAGAGACCAAAGAAGGGAAACAACACAGTCCAGCAGCCTCATTTATATTTACCCTTTTTTTTTTATACTTTAAGTTCTAGGGTACATGTGCACAATGTGCAGGTTTGTTACATATGTATACATGTGCCACGTTGGTGTGCTGCACCCATTAACTTGTCGTTTACATTAGGTATATCTCCTAATGCTATCCCTCCCCCCTCCCCCCACCCCACAACAGGCCATGGTGTGTGATGTTCCCCTTCCTGTGTCCAAGTGTTCTTGTTGTTCAATTCCCACCTATGAGTGGGAACATGCAGTGTTTGGTTTTTTGTCCTTGCGATAGTTTGCTGAGAATGATGGTTTCCAGCTTCATCCATGTCCCTACAAAGGACATGAACTCATCCTTTTTTATGGCTGCATAGTATTCCATGGTGTATATGTGCCACATTTTCTTAATCCAGTCTATCGTTGATGGACATTTGGGTTGGTTCCAAGTCTTTGCTATTGTGAATAATGCCGCAATAAACATACAGGTGCATGTGTCTTTATAGCAGCATAATTTATAATCCTTTGGGTATATACCTCGTAATGGGATGGCTGGGTCAAATAGTATTTCTAGTTCTAGATCCTTGAGGAATCGCCACACTGTCTTCCACAATGGTTGAACTAGTTTACAGTCCCACCAACAGTGTAAAAGTGTTCCTATTTCTCCACATCCTCTCCAGCACCTGTTGTTTCCTGACTTTTTAATGATCACCATTCTAACTGGTGTGAGATGGTATCTCATTGTAGTTTGGAGGCATCACACTACCTGACTTCAAACTATACTACAAGGCTACAGTAACCAAAACAGCATGGTACTGGTACCAAAACAGAGATATAGACCAATGGAATAGAACAGAGCCCTCAGAAATAATACCACACATCTACAACCATCTGATCTTTGACAAACCTGACAAAAACAAGAAATGGGGAAAGGATTCCCTATTTAATAAATGGCACTGGGAAAACTGACTAGCCATATGCAGGAAGCTGAAACTGGATCCCTTCCTTATACCTTATATTTACCCATTTTTAAATAACAAAGGCTATCTCTTATAGCTGGAAGGAGGAGACCAGGAGCGTTGCACTGTGACTTCTTGCAGAGCAAGCATCTTGCTTTGTGTTCAGCCTGTAATTGGCTCTTTTCTTTCCAAAATCCACTACTGTTATGAGATACTTGGGATGTCACTTTTCTGGCCAGAAACATCTGTGGCTGGTACCATTTTTGCCCGAGTTTTGCTCAAACCCACTGGGCTCATTCTGCCCACTCTCTGCAGTCAGAAATCACTGGTTGTCCCCATAATTGTCAAAGGTGACAAATAACTCAAAAGAAAAGCTTCCTTGATTCTGAAAAACAAAATAAAGGATCAGCAATGTTCCAAGCAAAAAGTCAAAAAAGATTACTTCAGTCTTCCATAAGTTCAGTCCACCCAGTCAACTCTTGTTCACAATCTCCGAAGTTATCAGAAACCTGCACTCGAGGACTATAATCCATTTTTTGAAGAGGATTAAAACAAGACAGCAATTGCCTGTGAATATCAGTGTCCTAAGGTAGTCACAGTCAAAAACATGATTGGCAAAGAAATTTGATCACCTCTGTGGTCAACAATAACCTAACACAATAACCCTAATTATGATTGAAAACACATACTCAGACATCAGAATTTTAGAAATCCCATACATTTTGAAACACATATTAACATTATTCACTAAAATGTAACCTGAAGAAGATCAAACACCACTTTATTTTGACAATTCCATGTGACTAAACATGTCAGATAATCCTGTTTACCTCTGCTTTGAATGCTCCAGGGGTCAGAAAAGACAATTTTGAAGCTGAAATTTGATTTTGGGGAGCCTATCAAATGTGTTAAAGGTTTAAAACACTTGACATTATGAAATAGAATTCCAGGTTACCATAAGTCACTTATTTAGCCAAAATGCTGACTCAAAAAAAGAAGGTAAAAACCTTTACACATTAAGAGAGAAGACTTAGCTTTCTAAACAATCTGTCTCTTGTTTTTCCCTTTTTCTTTCGGTAGTTTATTTGCAAGGCAAACAAAAATCTTTCATCATCCTTTAACATTACCTGAAAATCTTAATCAGTTTGACCATGAGCTGAGATTCTCCTAATCCTTTTATAACCCTTTACAAATCTTTGTTAAAGAGGAGGTCAGTGCTCTGAGAAACTCTTGTGCTTTTATTCCAATGTTCAATTTACAGAAAAACCAAATAATGCCCTTGTGAATTTAGTCGATATGTTCACACACAGCATTTCTTTTTCAAGATTAATCTTTAAAAACCTCCCATAACTTGTTTAAACCTTTAGCTTTATCTTATCTAATTTAAAACAATCCTTTAACCCTCTGAACTAGGCAAAAATTTACATTCCGTGCCTTCTTATATTCTTTTACTAAAGACACATTTTACTTTCCTTACACATTTTACATGTAAATCTCCTTTTAAGTAGTCTCAAATTACATGTTATAATGGTAACTCTTGGCAATTTTTAATTTTGGTGTAAAACCTGGTAAGTTATTTTAATTATGTGTTAGTTGCAGACAAGGTCTGACTCTTTCCAGTATGGATGTAGTTAACTCTCTATGTCCCTAGGCCCTACAAAACTGTAAAGCAGGAAAGTTAAACAATTTTCAAAAATGAAAGAAGCAGTTTATAACCTTTAAAGCATTTAGCAAACCTAATATCTGACCTGCATAATTTGGACCGTATGTCTACATGTTGAAGATATTTTATTTTTCAAAGATGAAAGTCACGTGAACTAAAAGGCATTACAGCTTTATCTTTCTTTCAAAATATTTGACTTAGGCATTTATTTTTCTTTAAGCCAATCAATTAGAGCTTTTTTTTAATGTGTCACACCTGACACATATATAACTACACAAACAGACAGAAGAAGATCCAGTAGTTGTAAAATTTTTCACTTGCCAATCTCCTAATTGGATTTGCCAATCTCCTAGTTGGATTACTGGCCTTGGGGTGGAGTCCTTCAAGAACCAGGGCTAGGAAAACGTGCAGTTTCTAAGCCCTAATAGGTAGGCCTAGGTGGAAGACAAAAACAAATTTTGAGAGGGATGCATCTGCTTCTAATCCCTGGAGTTCTGTGAGGAAAATAGGTTTTTCCCAAAACAGGGTCCATGGCGCCTCCTCCATTTTCCCAAGGAGTCCCAGCCGTCAGAAGTTCTCATGGGGCCTCTCATGTGTGCATTAAGAGTGGCAAGACAAAAATGAAGAAAAATAATTCAGTCGACTGAGAAGAAAAAAACCTTTTTCCAGAAAAACAAGATCCATGAAGAGAAAAGACAACAAAAGCCTTTTAAATATACTTATAGCATGGACATCCATCTTTAATTAACCTGACCTATAGCTTGCAGCTTGGATACCCATCTTTTTTTTTTTTTTTTTTTTTTGAGACAGAGTCTTGCTCTGTCATCCAGGCTGGAGTACCGTGGTGCGATCTCGGCTCACTGCAACCTCTGCCTTCTGGGTTCAAGCGATTCTCCTGCCTCAGCCTCCTGAGTAGCTGGGACTACAGGTGTGTGCCACCATCCCTGGCTAATTTTTGTACTTTTAGTAGAGACTGGGTTTCAGCATGTTGGCCAGGATGGTCTCAATCTCTTGACCTCATGATCCGCCCACCTTGGCCTCCCAAAAGTTGACTTTTAACCATAGGGCTCCTCTTTAAGAAGTCCTTTTAAATCTCTTATTACCTGACCTTAGCCACGCCAAATGGCCAATACTTCAATACTTCTAGCTTTTGAACTCATGGAGGGGCAGATAATACAGTGATTTTTACCATGACTCTTGACATGGTGGAGGAAAGACCTGAGACGCCCCTCACGGTCATGCATCTTGGGGACTCTGAGGTTTGTGAGCCTGCAAGGTGGCTTTTAGAGGCTCTGCTTTTTTCTTGTATTGCCTTTCTCTTTTTTGGACTTCCTTCTGGTCCCTATTGTAAAAGACTGAGGTGGCCACTTTTAGGAGGTTCTCTAAAGTACTATCTCGTCCTATAGCCTGTTTCTGTAGCTTCTTCCTGATATCCGGAGGCCACCTTTGTGATAAACTTGTCCTTTAGGATTAGCTGTCCCTCGACTGAATCAGGAGCTAGAGAGGTGTGCTTTACCAAAGCCCCTCTTAGCCTTTCCGGAAGGCAGTGGGATTCTCATCTAATCCCTGATCTATCATGGCGATCTTGGAGGAATTGAGAGGCTTAGTCCTAGTTCTTCACAAGCCCTCCAGTATGTACACCTGAATGTGTTTCCCCCTCCATTCTCCCATTTCATCCTTAGGGTCCCATTTAGGGTCCTCCAGTGGTGCTGCTATTTTTCCAATCATATAAGTCTCATTCCCTTCCTTGGCCCTATATAAGATACAAAGCTCATCCCCCAAATTCTCTACTACTTGCAGGGTGGCCTGCTTTCCAGTGGTGGTCAGGGATTGATTCAAAAGTAACATGACATCCTTCCAGGAGAGCTCAAATATTTTGATTAAGTTCTGGAAAGCCTCTATATCCCTGTCAGGGCTGCCTGAAAACTTGCCAAGATCTGCCTTAATTTGCCTTAAGTCTAGTAGAGAAAAGGGGACCTGGACCTCAATGGGGCCATATTCACCAGGCATCTGTTGTAGGGGCAGTTGAGACTGGGACCTGCCTAAAACGAGGATTCCTAGGCTGGGGCAAGCTTGAGAGATAACCTGGATAGGGAGGAGCAGAGGGGGTTGATTCTCCTGCTGGAGGTACTTCTGGGGTTTGCTTCCCTGGTATTGCCCCTTGCAGCCTCTCCTGAGATGGCCAGTAGGAGGGCTGAATCAATCCTACATCAGCAAAGGTCCAGGCTACCCTGCAAGGCAAAGAAGGCCTGCACATATGGGACCATGGACCATTTGCCCCCGCGTTTACAGAAAGGCTTCCTTCCTGAGGCCGTGCTTCTTTTCTGTGCCTCAAGGTGCTTGGCACTAAGTTATCACCCAAGGAAATGACAAGAACATTTTTGCCACAAATTTATGTACAGATACCAAGGCACACTTGGCTTCTGTGCTACTCTTAACCTTCCATTTTAGACTTCTGATGACTAAGCCAAATGCTCATTCAATCCAGTACTAGCTCTGGTTTGCAACAACATCCTTAACATTTATTTTTTTTTTTTGAGACAGAGTCCTGCTCTGTCACCTGGGCTGGAGTGCAGTGCCACAGTCTCAGCTCACTGCAACCTTTGCCTCCCGGGTTCAAGCGATTCTCCTGCCTCAGCCTCCTGAGTAGCTGGGATTACAGGCACCACCACGCTGGGCTAATTTTTTTGTATTTGTAGTAGACACAGGGTTTTGCCATGTTGGCCAGGCTGGTCTCGAACTCCTGACCTCAGGTGATCCACCCACCTCAGCCTCCCAAAGTGCTGGCACAGACATAAGCCACTGTGCCTGGCAACATCCTTAACATTTAACATGGTACATAAAGAAGAAATAGGAACCTTGATATCCTGAAAGAAAGAAAGAATGTTAGGAAAGACCGGAGGTCCTAGTGCTGACACTGTAACAGGTGGTCAGGGACTGGAGTTAGTCCACGGGCCTTTGAATTAGGCCAAAGGGTAGCCTTGGCCAGATACCCTCAGTTGCCTCAGGACCTCCTTCTGGTCCCACACAATGGCTAGACCTCTGTGAAAGAAAACTGGTTTGGAACAAAGCCAACATTCCCAACATCTGAGGGTAATGGAGGGTTGCCAGTGTCCTCCCCAGCAAGCCTGTCCTCCGTGTCCTAAGTCTGGCAGCCACACTAGTTGCTCTTAACTGGCTGATAGAGGCCTGGTATTTTTCTTTCATTTTGACTATTGTGGAGTTTAGAGACTTTGAAAAAAGGACAGAAAGAGTAGATCTGCGCACATGTACCCTAAAACTTAAAGTATAATAAAAATAAAATAAAATAAAAAGAGTAGATCTGCTTTTACTCACCCTTCTGCAGATCCTGGACAAGCCCTCCAAAATGTTATGGGATCCTTGAGGTGTTGCTTTTCTAGCCAGAAACCTCTGTGGTCAGTGGTACCTTTTGCCCGAGTTTTGCTTGGACCCTCTGGGCTCATTCTGCCCACTTGGCCTGGCAGGCTATGCCGGCTCATGTTCCTAGCCTGGATCCCATGCCTGGCAAGGGCAAGCCAGGCATGGGGCGGTGAGGGGTGCGTGAGTGAATGAGCATGGGGTCTGGTCACTGCACACAGGCACGCCGGCTGCTGCAGCAGGGCGGGCAACTCCAGGTGCCAGCATGGGTACAGGCTCTCTGTGAGGCTGCAGCTGGATCAGGTGCAATGCAAGTAGCTTCCATAGCTGCCGCCAGGGGACACAGTGGTGCCTGGAAGCTTGGAGACTCCAGGAACTGCAGCATCCCAAAGAGAGAGGCACAGCCCTGGCTCAGGGAGCTCCCAGGTCTGGGATCTCTGAAGGATTACAGCTCTTCTCTCCTGCTCCTCACCTGCAATGTCACAAACAAGGGGCATGTTTCAGCTCTGTTTGTGTTATAGACCTTTCAGACCTGCCATTCAACAGGTCCCAAGTTCTTGTCCCACATCCAGGAGGAATGAGGTATGTGGACAAGTGGAGAGTGAGCAAGGTGAAGAGGAGCTTTATTGAGTGATAGACTAGCTCAGAGGAGGCCCTGGAATGGGTAGCTCCTTCTGCAGGCAGGTCATCCCATCGTTCTCTGAAGCTCTCAGCAGAGAGGAGACCCTGGAATGGGTAGCTCCTCTCTGCAGCTGGTTTTCCCAACATCTGCTCAGCTCTGGCTGAGTCTGGGGGTTTTATGGGTCTCAGAGGGAGGAAGTGAGTGCCAATTGGTCCATGGGCAGCCATGGGGGGATCTGGAAAAAGCACCACAAGTTCCCACTTTGGTCCATGGAACTGGTAGCCTGGCCCCGAGCCTTCAGGCCCTTTCTGGCCTGAAGGTAGGGCCTCACCAGAGACCCACCCTCTTCCACCCAGGAACCTATTTGCCTCCTGCTGCCATTCATGGTGGCCAAGCTGTAGGTGCCAAGGGGCACCTGCAGGCCAGCACTGAGCTACCATCTGTACCCCATTGGCTTCTCTCTTATGCTTGCTGGTGTCCAAAGTTTGGAGACAGCTGAGGCAGCAGGGGACTGGCATGTCAGCATTGCACTGAGTGTGTGTATACCTGGCCAGGCCTTGACAGTGCCTGGGCTTGGCCCCAACTTTGCTCCAAGATCAAAGTGGGTGCCAACAGCAGGGGGAAGCCAGGTACTTCCAAGCCTGCTAGGGCAGGGGGAGCCTTCCTGGGCCCCTAAGAGTGCAGGGATGCCTGGGTCCACAGCAGTGGTTGGGGTGGACTGCAGCTGCCCTGGTGGGGTTGGGCCCCTGCCTGCTCCATGGCCCGGGAGGCCCAGGTCTGCAGCCACAGTTTGGGCAGTTGTGGCTGCACCCAGGGAACTCCTGCCCCACCAACTCAGAAGGGGCGGGGCTTCCACTTGTCCCAGGTTCCCACCAGCTCCATGGAGTGTGCAGTCCCAGCTGTGCCTCCCTGCTGCAGCCAGCGTGATGGCAGCAGCTACTCCAGACAGCCCGCTGCTGCCATTGTTATGGCTGATAAAAACTGCTGGTACCATCAGGATGCAACATAGGCCAGCAACTTCCAAGAGCAGAGAGGTAGGAGTCAAACATGCCACCACACAAGGAGCAGCATTTTTCAGAGCTGGACACTGGATCATAGTGCAGCTTTCTACCTTCTTGGCATTGCATAAGTCCATACAGTGGTGAAGAGGGCCAGCAATACCTGAATCAGATAAGCACCGCTTTCTGGGCTGCCATATTGAAGGTCATGTCCATTGATGGCTAACACACAATCATTCTCCTCCAGCTGACCATGTCAATCAGCCACACTACCATCTAGCACGTTGAAGATAAACACCCCAGGCTCATCCACCTTGCACACCAATTTTATTCCAAGCTGTTCCTTGGGGCTACTTTTGTTGCAAATCACATGGCAGCTGTCATCCTGGGGTCTGTAGGCATCCAGGGCCTGTCCACTGTTCCTGCTGCAGAACTTCTGGTTGTGCAGCATGGTCAGTCACAACACCTGGTAGGGCTGCCGCAGGAGATGCAGAGCGTAGTTGTGAGAGACTTTGCTAATGTCCATCCCATTGACATTTAGGATGATGTCTCCTGGTAGTAGCTGGTCATCTCTGGCATTTGCCCCATCATGATAAATGTGTTGGATGATACGGACCAGTGGGGTTTCACTGCCTCCCATCAGCATAATGGAGAGGCTTTCACTGGGATCCACTTGATTGATCTTGATGCTGGTAATTTCACCATCTGGGATCAGGTGGTACAACCTTGGAAAGACTTCAGGGGTGGTGATGTTTTCAGAATTTTCCTTGCCCTGGTTAGCTCGGTTGGCGACTACACTCCCACTCTTTATCCTTCGAAGAACACTCAAAGCTCGATTATTTTTGGAAAGATTTGCTTCTAATTGTTCTGTGATGACCGATGCTGCCGGACAGCTTTCCTACGTGGTTGTACGAGTTGCTGGATTGCTCAAAGGGCTGTGTCCTAGTTTGGTTGCTCTGGCCAGACAGAGTTCCCTGGGCTGATTGCTGGCTGACTGTCCTCTGCCAGGCACACAGGCGAGGTTGTCTAGGCCAAGCTTGTCTGTCATTAAGGAGGTGGTGGCAGCTGCAGAAACCTCTGGGGAGGGTGCCATGGCTGTGAGGCTCACACAGCTGTCTGATCAGCCATCTTCTGAGCCCCTCTTCCTGTCTTTTTTCAGGCCATCATGGGAGGTCCTTTTGTGATGAGTAGAAGTTCCTGACGATGTATGGCATTGAGGGGACACAGAGAGAGGAGTGATAATTTTCAACAGGGGAAGTCAGAGTGGCTGCAGGGGTAGAGAGCAGAGGAAATATTTGTGAGATTAGAGAGAAAGAATGGACATCATGTGGCCAGGGACTGGCTGAGCCACAGAGGGAGGACTGGCATGCCCAGCGAGGTGGCCCACCAGCCCCTCTGAGGTCACCAGGTGGGCACAGAGGAAGGCGAGGTTGAGAGGCAGATGGCAGGTCCTGTTCTGGATGCAGGGAGTCTGAGAGCCCAGGGTGTGGCCAGGAGGGACGTCTAGTGGAGGCTGGGTGGCGAGGGCTAACCCTCAGAAAAGAGGGTCCCATGACAGGGAGGCATTGACACAGCCATGACTGAAGCTCGGGGAGTGAGTAAGATCTCCCATGGCTGTGGGAAGTAAGAAAGAGAGGGCCCAAACTGAGGAGCTCGCAATGGGTACAAGGCCTTGATGGGCCCTGGCAGAAATGCACCCAGGAGGGGGTGAGGCCCCAGGAGCAGAGAGGAGGGTCTCACTGCCCAGAGTGGCCAATGTCATATGCTGCCCATCGGTCAGGGAAGTGGCCAACCACATGTGTGTGGATCCACCCACCATGTGGTGGGCAGGGTCCTGGAGAGGCCCAATGGCGATGACAAAGAGCAGCACTGGGGTGCAGGGAACAGAGAATACGATGGCTGCTCATCAGTTAAAACACTTCCACATGAACTGGTACGACCATGTAGGAAAACTGTCTGGCAATATCGGTCATCACAGAACAAACATCTACCCCAGGACCCAGGCGTTCCAGGGCAGGCAGACACCTGACAGATGTGCAAGAAGGGACAGGATGCAAGAAGAGCCAGAGCAGCTCCACTCATGAGAGCCCCATCCAGACAACAACCCAAATGAGTCACCCTATTCGTCCCATCATGGAGGAACAAATAGAGGGCCTGTGATCCAGCGGATGGTGGCATACTGCTCAGTGACCCTCCATTGGGAGAATCCCAAAGAGAGACCCGAAGGGCACATGCCAAAACAGCCCACCTCAGGCAAAACCACCACATAGGAGCAGATCAGAGAGTGGTGACCTTGAGAGGAGGCTCAAAGAGCCCTGGGGGCCTAGCTGTGATGCTTCTTCACCCAGGTGCAGGAGGCACAGGTGTATCCAGTGTGAGGACATCCTGTGTTCCATGATCTCCAGGAGAAAAAAGAAATAAAAGATTTAAAAACAAAAAAACTTGAAAAAGGACTGTACTGTCCTCTGTATGCGTGTTTGACTTTAATAAAAACTTACTTTAAAAAATAGCCCACTTCTGGGGCCAAGTGCAGTGGTGCACACCTCTAATCCCAGCACTCTGGGAGGCTGAGGTGGGAGGATTGCTTGAGTCTGGGAGGTAGAGGCTGCAGTGAACCGTGATTGTGCCACCACACTTCAGCCTCGGCAATGGAGCGAGACCTTGTCTCTTAAAGAAAGAAAAGTCAACTTCACAGGCACCCAGTGGCCTCTAAGATAAGCTCCACATCCTGGGCAGCCCCTTCCTGCTCTGCCCCCACCTCCCATCCCAGCCCTCCTCTACACCTTCACTCCTTCTGCCTGGGACACCTACCTCAGCCCAGGCTCTGTTGGCCTGACAGGCTCCTACACACCCCTTGGGGCCCTCCCAAGCCTAACTCGAGCAGAGGGAGGCCCAGGCCTCAGTGTCAGCTGACTCTAAGGAATCGTGGGGATGAAGATAGATTCCTCCTGCTTCTCTACGCGCCCTGCCTCCTCTCCACCCTGGCCCTGAAAGGGGAGGCGCCTGCGTTTGTGCTCACCCATGGAGGTTTGTCATGCTTTGGCCACACGTCAGGCTGAAAGATGTTGAAAGAGCAGGGGCCTGGGAGTTTCTGAAGACGGCGATCTCTAGGGAGCAGGGCTGCGGCTTGGCTCATGCCTCCAGGTCCTCCAAGTCTCAGCATCAATGTCACTTCCTCTGGGAGCCCCGATGGCCATCACCAAACCAGGCTGTTGACTCCACAAGAACCAACAGGGATCTGGAAACCGGGGTCAGGCCCTGCCCCTCCACTCTCTGCTCCCGTCAAGCCTCAGGAAGTTCTGTCATCTCTGAGCTGTTTTCACATCCAATAAATGTGACTTCCTATCGGGTTGTTGTGGGAATTAAAGAAGTTCAATCACCAAAATCCTGTCTTCAACACAGATCCGGGATCTGAGCACCTCTGCCCTTCTCCTCTGATCCAAGCCACCTTCCCACTCTGTGGACCATCAGGGGTCTCCCTGCTTCCTCCTTGCACACTGCAGCTGGAGTGTCAGATCATGTCCCTCCTTGGCTCAGAGCCCACCAGCGACTTCCCGTGTCCTCTGGAGCAAAGCCCAGGTCCTCGCAGTCTCCCAAAGGCCCTACCCAGATGGTGTCCTGTTGCCTCTCATCTCCTCCCACTGTCCCTCTCTCCCTCCACAGTAGCCACACCCAGCCCCTTGCTACTCTTGGAATGTGCCTGGCACACCACTGCCTCAGGACCTTTGCACATGCTCATCCCTCTGCCTGGAACCCTGTTCCCCCAGATGTCTGGGTGGCTCCACTCTCTCCACATCTTTGCTCAAATGTCACCTTCATGAGCTTTTCCATGACCACCTACTCAAAGTGTAGCCACCATTGCCCAGCACTTGTGGTTCCCCTTACCCGGCTTTGATTTCCTCTATGACTCTTACTGCCATCTGCCGCCATGAATTTCATTTAATCAGTTGTTTATCATCTGCTCCTTTCCACTAGAACAACAGCTTCTTGTGGTGAGGATTTGGACTTTTTTCCACTGGCACATCCCCAGCACACAGAACAGCACTTGGCATACAGTAGGCACTTGATGAGGGCCCTGGCTGGGTGTATTCCAATGGCTGATGGCCCGTGCCATACCAGTTACTAAGGATCTGAAAATCACTTCTAGTTGGGAACCTCTATTTGGACCCAGGCAGCGTTAGGTTTGCAGACCTGAGAGGAGTCAGTGCATTTGGGGATCAGAGGCAGAGAGGGGTCCCTTGCCTCTAAAACAGTGGTCCCTAACCTTTTTGGCACCAGAAACTGATTTCATGGAAGACAATTTTTCCACAGACTGGGGGTGGGAGGGGGATGGTTTTGGGATGAAACTCTCCCACCTCAGATCATCAAGCATTAGATTCTCATACAGAGTGTGCAACCCACAATAGGGTTCACGCTCCTGTGAGAATCTAGTGCCACTGCTGACCCAACAGGAGGCGGAGCTCAGGCAGAAATACTTGCCTGCCCACTGCTCACCTCCTGCTGTGCAGCCTGGTTCCCAACAGGCCATGGGGGTTGCCTGCCCTAAAATACCTTCTTATTTAGTTGCCACAAGGCTTCAAATCCCACTGTTCTCACTCTTTGGAGTTTAATTTGTTCCTAATGGTTCTCTTTTTTTTTGAGACTAAGTCTCACTCTGTTGCCCAGACTGGAGTACAGTGGCCCAATCTCAGCTCACTGCAACCTCTGCCTCCTGGGTTCAAGTGATTTTCCTGCCTCAGCTTCTCCAGTGGCTGGGATTACAGGCACATGTCACCACACCCAGCTAAGTTTTTTTTTTTTTAATTTTCAGTAGAGGCAGGGTTTCACCACGTTTGGCAGGCTGGTCTCAAACTCCTGACCTCAGGTGATCCGCCCACCTCAGCCTCCCAAAGTGCTAGAGACATGAGCCACCACACCTGGCTGCTTCTCTTTTCAAATGAAAATGTTACAATGCCACTGGCATCTGGCAGCTTGACAGGGCGATTCTGCCGATCTGGCCTGGGCTTGGCTGGGCAGTTGTGGTCCAACAGGCTCACTCACATGTCTGCCATTGGCTAAGGTCAGCGGCCCCTGGCTCATCTAGGAGCCTGGTCCTCCAGCAGGCTAACCTGGGCATATATCCTTATGCCAATCACAGGGATCAGGGTATGGGAAGGTTGGGGAAAGGGAGAGAGGGAAGCTGAAGAGCCTCTTGAGGACTAGGCTTGGAATTAACACACCATCATTTCTGGCACTTTCTATGGGCCATAGATAAGGCCTGAGTCAGATGGTGGGGAAATAGACTGTACCTTTTGGTGGGAGGAATTGCAAAGTCACATTTACCATGAGTGGTTCAAGGCCAGAGATAAGCAAGTCTCCCACATGTTTGTTTGTATCTTTCCACAATGTCAGGCTTTTTTTTTTTTTTTTTTTAATGCTACTTCGATCATAAAAGCCACCAGCTCTATGGAGTTCCCAAAGAGGAGGAGACAATTTTTAGCACTTGGCATTCACACAGGCTCAAGCCACTTCACAGATCAGTCAGTATTGCAAGCCATACATAACATACTTATCAATATATAAACATTATAGATTGAAAATTACGCATCAAACAAAGTAACATGGCATGAGAAAAGGGATAGGAAAAAGGGTTAATAAGCCAGTCCAGGGAGAGCGATGTGAACAAAAAGAATATTCTGGTCTGGCTTGGGCAGCTCAGCAGCATCACAGCTTTGCAAGGAAGAGTCTTTGATGTAGGCAGAGTCTTTAGAGGCAGATGCCAGGCGCTTATCAAGACAGCTGTTATGAGCGGTGGAAGTCCAGCTCTTTTTATGGCCACAGAGTCCTCTGGTGAGGACTGACAGTGGCAGGGTGTGTTTGGTTATGTCCTTATCTGGCCGGTTGCAATCTTTATTGATCAGGCAAAACATCTGTTCCCTGTTGGCAAAGAGCCTTGCGAAATGTAAGATTCAGACTTCTTCTAAGATGGAATTACTTATGTCAAGGCTACTGTATATGACATTCAAAGGAAATGGATACAGGTTGGGGATGGAAAATTGGGGCTGTTTGGGGGTATGAATCTTTAACACTGCCTCCAGTGTTTCTTTTAAATTGAGGATGAGTAAGACAGCAGTGGACTAAGAATCCATCTCTGGGTCCGTTTCCCATCTCTTGGAGCTTTGAGCTGCCATGTCAGAAGTCCAGCTACTGGGCTGAGAAGGCCATGTGGAGAGCCCCAGAGGAGCCCAGTCTTCCAGGCACCACCCAAGCCACCAGGTACCCTCTAGACCCACACCAGTGGCTAGGTAAGTACCCCTGAATGAGCCCCAACCACAGCCATGTGGAACCGAAAGACCTTCTGATGGAGGTCCACCTACCCAAATTCATATCTAATCAAATGGGCCTGTTTCAAGCCACTGCATTTTGGGATACAATAAATAATTGGAGCTGTATATTGAGCCAGGCTTGTCTAACTCCAAGATCTGCCACCATGAAAAGACTGACTCCTAGAAGATGAGAGACTTGGTTTGACAGCAAGGGAGATGCTCCAAAAAGAAGTTTCGCACAGCCTCATCTTTTGAAAATGAGAAAAGAAAGTCACTCTGCGAGCTCAGGACAATGCTGGAACCTCTATGGCCTGTCTTGGGCTGGCCCAGCACTCCTCGACCCTCTGGACTTGCACACCTGAGCCTTCCTGCACCTGGGGAGTAGGCATGATGCATCTGACAGCGCCACGCCACCCTACCCAAGGCCCGCTTCCTCTCCCCAAGAGGCCTTCTCAGCAACTTAGAGCAGCCTGCGGAACACATTGCAGTAAAGGTCCATGGGCTTCCTGCCTATCAAAAAATACAGCTTTCTGACCAAGGCTTATTATGCGATCTTCCCGGGAGACGTCATTAGTAGCGTGAATGGCTCTTGCCTTGCCGGAAGTGAAGGTGAGGCAGTGACAAGGTCATGTCCAGAGTGAGTAATTATTGACTTTTTGTCCTTGTTCCTTCATGTCCAAATTACATCTATAGTTTGTAATGCTTTTGGTTTATATTCAAAGAAAATGCAAACGCAGAACACAACAGGAAGGGCGCCATGACTCAGATTGCTGTGCCCCTTCCTGTCTGCCCAGCAGCCTGGATGCTGTGGAGCCTTTGTGCAGAGCCCAGAGCTTTTGTCTGAACCATGCGGTGGCAGAGCCACACTGTGACTTCGTGTGTTTGTGCTCTCTGTGTTTGCCAAGCACTTGTGTGTTCTCTCTCTCCACCACCTCACAGTGACTCAGCACTGTCCTTATTTTAACTATAGCTGCTTTCAAACCACTGACATCTGCAAAGCCATAGTGGACAAGGTTTCCCACTCCCATCTCCCCACAGAGCCACAGCCAATCCAGCAGGCCTACCTGCAGTGAGTCCAGACTGCAGGTGTGTTCAGTTTGTTCTGCAAGGTATTTTTAAAAAGGGGGGGTCAAATTACCAACCAGAATTTCACCTAAAAGCAGTGGCAGATGCTGATGTTTACCAAGCTGATGTTTTCCCTGCTTCTTTAATTACAAATCCTGATTTTTAGACAGCGCAGCAATGTGCCCAACTAAAAGACTACATTTCCCAGCCTCCCTTGTGGCAAAGTGAGACCATGTGACTCAGTTTTGGCCAATGAGATGAAAGAAGAAGGTGGCGCAAGGGTTAGGGGGTGGCTTTCATTCTTTCCTCCTTTCTTCTTCCTGCTGCCTGGATAAAAACAAGTGGCCATTTTGAACTCTGAATTGGCCTTGACAGTGGAAGCCACTGGCTGAGAATGGCACAGGAGAGAGAAGAACCTAAGTCCCTGTAGACTCTAAGAAGCCACAAAACCAGCCCTGAACTACCTACCTCCTGACTTCTCCATAAGTAAAAATGCACTTCTTTCTTACTTAAGCCACTGTAATGGTGAAGTTACTGTTATAGGTAGCTAACCTAATCCTGAAACACTGCTTCTCTTGAAAACTCAAAATATCTAGTGATCTGAGCATATGCTCTTTTCTTCTTTATAACAGCTTTATTGACATATAATTCACAGTCCATACAATTCACTGATTTAAAGTGTACCATTGGCCAGGTGCAGTGGCTCAAACCTGTAATCCCAGCACTTTGGGAGGCTGAGGCACAAGGAACACTTGAGTTCAGGAGTTCAAGACCAGCCTGTGCAACATAAGGAGACTCCATCTCTACAAATAACTTAAAAATTAGCTGAGTATAGTGGTGCATGCCCGTGATCCCAGCTGCTTGGGAGGCTGAAGTGGAAGGATCACCTGAGCTAAGAGTTTGAGGCTGCAGTGGGCCATGATCATGCTACTGCACTCCAGCCTGGGTGATAAAGGGGAGACCCTGCCTCAAAAAAATAATAATGATAAATGAAACAAAAATAAGGTGTACCATTCAATGGTTTCTAGTATATTCACTCCTATCCCCACTATATATAGCACCGCTGTCTACTTTCAGAATATTTTCATCAACTCCAGAAAGAAACACTATACCCATGAACTGTCACTCACCAATCCCCCCTAACCACACTCTCACCAGCCCCTGGCAAACACTAATCTACTTTCTGTCTCTATGAATTTGTTTATTCTGGACATTTCATATAAATGGAATCATGCAACGTGTGGTCTTTTGTGCCTGGCTTCTTTCACTTAGCTTCATATTTTCAAGTTTCATCCATGTTGTGTCATGTTTCATGATCCAAGAAGTCTTAAGACTGGGAACAACCCCTACCACAGAGTGCTTTAATGCTGTCTCATTTTGATCCACAGAAGAAAACAGTGAAATGGAGAAAGTACGCACTGTCTTCTCTACTTTACAAAGGAGAAACAGGCTATGCTCAATCGAGTAATTTGCCTAAAGTATCCAGTGCACCCTCCATTCAACAGCCTCCCACCATTCTGCCTCTGAAATGTCTGCTGCACAAAATAATTGGAGATTCACATTTTGTCAAAATCCTCAAGGTCTAGAAAGTTCTAGATCAACAATAAAGTGGTAGATGAGGAGACTTAATCCTTTCCTATGGCCTGTCCCCTCCACAGTCTGCAGGACCTGGAGACAGAAGAGCGGAGGGAGAAGCAGAGCCCGACACACAGACCCCGTGGGGACGCCTGGGTTCTGGTTCACACTGGGCTGTTTGGGAGCTGAGCCAAAAATCCGAGCCAAAATCTCTGTTTTGTTTTGTAGTGCATGGTGGGGAAATGAAAATTTTGGTTCCATCTGAGGTTTGCAAATCAGCATGCATTGTTTTGGGGCATTCAGTTTCATTGAAACCTCGGGAACACAGCAGCTGCCAACCCCACAGCCCCAGGGAGAGCTGTGTCTCGAGGTGGAATCATCTTTTTTGGCAGAGGTGAAGCCTTCTCTGAGTTTTTATAATTTCTGGTTTTTCGCAGGCAGATAAACACCACACACTGAGTCAGAGCCAGGGAACGGTCGCCCGTTTCTAAGGCTGTGGGTGAGCTTGGGAGGGTGGAGATGAGCAGGGACGAAAAGCTGAGGCGCTCCCGCTACTGGGGTGTTCCCAGGACAAGCTGATGGATGGGCATGCTCATCCTTCTCTACGACAGGCACAGAAAATGTGAGCAGAGTGCCCACCGGCTTTCCTTTGGAGGTGGCAGGGGTGAAACGCCCTGCCCGGATTTCTCTGGCAAGTCACTGTGGGGATGAGGGTGGGGGCAATGTTTTGGGTTATTGGTTCACATTGACATTGTAATCCATAATTGTGCCCGTCCTGTTGTCACGAGCATGGGGTAAACCCAAAGTAGGAGGGAGGGAAACAGAAACCATTTTGAGCCTGTTCTTTGAGGAGTCACCTGATCAGCCTGGCTGGGGTAGGAAGGAGAGAGAGGAAACACACTTAGGACTCAGTCCTCAGGGATCTCGCAGTGCTGGTCCTCGGGGACCGTGAGGAGGAGTTGCCCCTTACAGGGGAATCAAAGGAGGCTTCCTGGAGGAGGTACCATCAGGACCAGGTGTGGAAGCGTGGGCGGAAAGTTTCCTTGGGGCATTTCCAGACAGAAGGAAGAGCTTAAACAAAGAAGAGTGGCTGACTTCTATGTGAGAAAGGACAGTGGGAGAGGAATCGGGAAGAAATAACTTTGCAGGAAACCTGAGTGGTGAGTGGTGAATATACATATTAATCAGGAAAATGCAAATGAAGACCAGGGTGAGCTATCTTCTTACACCCAGTAAATTGGCAAAAGGTAAGAAATCTGACATTATCGTGGTTTGGCGAAAACTCCAAACAGCTCACCCACAGTTGGTGGATGTGTCAATTGTTATAAGCACTTTGGGGAACAATGGAGCATTGTCTTGCCAAGTTGAATGTTGCATTCAATTTCATTCCCAGGTGTACACATGCTTTGGGCAATGCATACGAGAATGTTCTTAGCAATTCTCAGCAGCACTTTCCGTAGCTGGAAAGACCGGAAATCACCCAAATGTTTACCAGCAGGTGAGGGGGTACATAAAGCCAGACTTAGTCACACAGTGGAGTGCTATACAGCAGTGAAAAATGAACCAAGTACCGCTCTCCCCAGACAGTTGCTGGGTTGACTTCCACTGGCACAGATTGTGTTGTGGATCCAACCCTAAATCAGTCATGGCCAGAGGGATAGAATGTTCTAATTGCTTGAGCCAGGCAGGGCTCTCTCTTGAGGCTCCACTGAAACCCAAAAGGCTGGGCTGGGGTAAGGGAGGAGTGGATCCCCAAAGAAAATGGGGGTACAGTAGAGGACAATGTTGGTGTCCTTCCCAGACTTCCTCACATCGCTTTTTAACATGTCCTTGTGCCCAGCTACTATGCACTTTAGTGCCTCACTCCTGAGCCCCTGGTCACCTCAGAGAAGACCCTCCCACAGAGCCTAGGTTCCTGTTCTGCACTCCCTGGGGCCTCCTGTGCCAGCCTGAGCTGTGAGGAAGCAGGACCGCTCTGCTTCCTTGCCTCCACGCAGGACAGGCGAGGTGGAATTCATACCTGAGAGCTGGCCCAGGTTCAGGCTTGAGCTAGGACTTTCCCTAAAATCTCATCCAGAGCTTCTTCCCCCTCCTGGTTCTGCTTCCTTCATTCTCTAACGAGATTTCTCCTCCAGGAGAATTTGAACCTTTGACTCGGCGTCTGTCTGTGGGGGAATCCAACCCCGGACAGGTACTATTTTATTAAAAGAGAAATGAATGGAGACTGAGCCACCAACACGACAGATGGCAAGAGGAACAGTGGGGAGAACTGGAGTTTACAAACTTGGATAAACCTCCACACCTCTCTGGACCTCAGCTTCCTCATTCAAAAACAAAAGATGTGATGAGGCAGTTCACAGAAGAGAAGACTATGAATGGCCAGGAAACACTGGGACACGCAGACAGCATCATGAATCATTGAAGGAAGGAATGTAAAACAGGCCAGGCACGGTGGCTTATGCCTGTAATCCCAGCAGTTTGAGAGGCTAAGGCAGGCAGATCGCTTAAGTCCAGGAGTTTGAGGCCAGCCTAGGCAACATGGTAAAACCCTGTCTCTACAAAAAAAAATACAAAAATTAGCTAGGCAGAAGTTGTGTGCATGTGGTCACAGCAACTGAGGAGGCTGAGGTGGGAGGATCACCTGAGCCCAGGAGGTTGAGGCTGCAGTGAGCCAAGCTGTGGTTGAGCCACTGTACTCCAGCCTGGGTGACAGAGTGAAACCCTGTCTCAGGAAAAAAAAAAAGAAGAAAGAAAAGAAAAAAAGCACAACATTTTTCATCTGTCACAGGGCAGGGAACAGAGAGAATGTCATCCCCAACATTGACTGGGTGTGGAGAGAGGCCCCTCTCCTCCTTTATGGATGGGAGTATAAATTGGTACAATCTATTTGGAGGGCAGTTTGCCAGTACCTATAAAAATGTTAAATGGGAAAGCCTTTTGACTCAGCAATTCCACTTCTATGAATTTAACCTGCAGCAAACCTCAAGAATTCAAAGAAGTAGGTACAAATATGTTAATTACAACACTGTTTGTGATAGCAACAACTTGGAAACAACCTAAATATGTTTGAGTTGGGGACTGGTTAAAAATGACAGAAGGTCCCTGGGATGGAATGCTACACAGCCATGAAGAGGAATGTGGTCAGGCTCTGGAACAGGTGAAGAAACTAGCCTATGATATATTACTAAGTGAAAAAAAGCAAATTACAAAGCAGAATGGAGAGTGAAATATCCTTTTGCAAGAAGTGTTTCTGAGCATACATATTACAAATTTGCAAATGTCTAGAAGAACAGTCTGGAAGAACATATACCAAACTGTTTTACCTGTAGTTACTCTTGGGAGTATGGCTGGAATTTTTTTTTCTTTTTTTTCTTTTTTTTCTTTTTTTTACTTGGAGATGGAGTCTCACTCTGCCACCCAGGCTGGAGTGCCGTGGCATGATCTTGGCTCACTGCAAGCTCTGCTTCCCAGGTTCAAGCGATTCTCCTGCCTCAGCCTCCCAAGTGCCTGACACTAAAGGCATGTGCCACCACTCCTGGCTAATTTTTTTTTTTTGTATTTTTAGTAGACATGGGGTTTCACCATGTTGCCCAGGCTGGTCTCAAAATCCTGACCTCAAGGTGATCCACCCGCCTCGGCTTCCCAAAGTGTTGGGATTACAGGCGTGAGCCACCATGCCCGGCTGAAATTTTCTAAAATGGTTTTTGGATTCTCTTGTGTTTGAGTGTTCTTAAGAACAGGTATCACTTCTTTCTCTTTTTTTATTTAAAATTTGTAAATAGGAGTGATTTAGTGCCTACTTATCAGGACTTGGTAAGCATCTGCTACAGGTTACGCTATCCAGCCCTCACCAAAGCCCTGTTGAAGCAGTCATTGCTACAAACCCGTTTTACAAATGAGGAAGCTGAGATCTGGAGAGCTAAATAAGTTGGAAGTTGCAGAGCCAAGATCCAGCGCAGGCAGCCTGATGCCAGGTCTGGACTCTTACCCGGATGCCACCTTACCTCACAAGAGTAAAATGAGGGGTTACCCAACTTTGTTTTTTAGCACCAGAATCCCTTTCTCCAAATAAAATCCCGAACAGAAGCCCCGTTTGTGAAAAGGAGTTTCTCTGGTAGAAGGGAAGCTGAGGAGTGGTTACTCTCCCTTCACAGTGCTCCCCCTGCGCCCACCCAAGGACCCAGGGGGTTCCTAGGGCCCTGGTTTGAGAACCACTCAGCTGGATGTCCTTGAAGGCCCCTCCTGTATTTCTGACATGCCAGGTTTCTAAGCACTTCCATTCAAAGGGGCTGAAAGGGGAGAAAATGAAAATGTGTCACGGGGCTGCTCAGACCCAAGTGAAGAATCGTCATGCTGAATAAAGCCGTGTTAAGTTGCTGCTGACTTAACCTCAGCAAGCAGCTGGATCCATTGCCCCTGAGAGAAAGCTGTGAATGCTCTTTTGACCAAAAATGTAGACCCTCAACATCACAAGCCTGGAATAGCTCTCACTGCATGCACATGCGTGCGCATGCACACACACACACACACACACACACACACACGCACACTTTATTTTGTTTGTCTCTCCCTATTAGAACTGGCAGCAATTTCTGCCTGTTTTGTTCATGGCTGTGCCTCCAACTAGAATAGCTGTGACACATAGTAGATGCTTCAGTACCTGTCGAATGAATGAATGGTGAATGAATGAGTGAACAAACTAAAACAAGTTTGACTAATGTCCTTCAGGCACAAGAAATGGTCCTTAGCCACACTGGCATGGAGACCAGAGAGGAAGGGAGGAGTGAAGAGAGCTCTGAAGTCGTTTCAATCTCCGTGTGGCCGGGAGCTCTTGCCAGCAGGCTCACCTCTAAGCCGACACCACCACTGTCTGGCAACCTCCATCCATGAGCTGCAGCCCCGGCCACCTCTCAGTTCCTGCCTACCACAGTGGTGTGCACCTATGAGTGATGTTGCTACATGGTTTTCAGCCATGCTTTCCTGGAGGTGACATCTCAGGCTAGGAGGGCAGCAGCCTGTCCCCAAGGTTTGAGGGGAAGCCCAGCGGTCAGCTCAGGGGGCCTCAGAAGCAGCCCTTGGAGATAGCCACAGACCCATGAGGTGGGTGACAGGTGCCGTTGAACTGGGACCAGCCAGGCAAGCAGCCGGAGCCATGATAGGTCAGGAGGAAGAGCAGGCATGACCAGGGCTGGCGGGAGGGGAGGAGGCTGCATGGAGGAGGTAGGTCTACACATTGGAGGAGGAAGCAAAGAGGAAGTGGCCACCGGGAGGGAGGAAGAGTACCCTGGAGGAAGAAGGAGGAGTTGGCCGGCCTGTAATCCCAGCACTTTGGGAGGCCAAGGCAGGCGGATCACGAGGTCAAGAGATCGAGACCATCCTGGCCAACATGGTGAAACCCCGTCTCTACTAAAAAATACAAAAAATTAGCTGGGTTGGTGGCGCACGCCTGTGGTCCCAGCTACTCGGGAGGCTGAAGCAGGAGAATCACTTGAATCCGGGAGGTGGAGGTTGCAGTGAGCCGAGATCATGCCACTGCACTCCAGCCTGGCAACAGAGCAAGACTGCATCTCAAAAAAAAAAGAAGGAGGAGTCAGGGCAAGAGTGCCTGCACCTTCCTGAGAAGCATCGGAGCCCAGGGCTGGGGCAGGGAAGGTACCAGATGTGGCTGGAGCATCAAGTAGGGCCAGAAAGTCAGGACGAGCTCAAAAAAGAGGGGACTGTGGAGAAGATGTGGGAGCCAGCTGGAAGTAACTCCCAGGAGTCAAAACTGGAACAGTCCAGCAACACATCCAGGTACATTATACTATTGGGTTTTAGCTCATCAAATAAAATAAATATCCATTAATCCATACTGATATAAATAACTGATTGCATAAGTAAATGGGGAAGAAGGGACCATTTTTCCTTCGAGAGGAGTTCCCTTTAATGAAAGTGGAAGGAACCAGGGAAACAGCAAATCACCATCTGAACACCACAGGAACAACTGCTGCAGGCAAGACCCACCGATGGATGCTCGGACTCGTAGGAGAAAGTTTAAGGAGAAACAAGAGTTGCACAGATGCAAAGCATTTCCCCCAATACCTATCAATTACAAAGGGGAAAATAATAACTTTATAATGGAGAAAGCTGGCAAACACCACTGTAACCAATAGGTCAAGGTCAGTGTTACCAGTAATAAGCCACACTGACATCATGTACTTCCTGATATGATGCACTGAGAATGACACATCATCACTCCTGGGGTAGTTTTTCCAATAATGCATAACCTCAATCTAATTATGAGAAAATATCAGACCCAAATTGAGCAACATATTGCACAATACCTGACCAGGACTGTTCACAGATATCAAGGTCATGAAAGACAAAGAAAGGCCGAGGAACTGACGACTAAAGGCAATGTGAGACCTGGAAATGAGAAAGAACATTGATCAGGGATCAGCAAACTACAGTCTATGGGCCAACTCTGGCCCTCTGCCAGCTCTTGTAAATAAAGTTTTATTGGAATTCAGCCATGCTCATTTGTCTTTCTGTCTTTCTTTCTTTCTTTCTTTTTCTTTCTTTCTTTCTCTTTCATCTTTCTCTTTTTTCTCTTTCCTTTCTTCCTTTTTTCTTTCCTTTCCTTCCTTTCTTTCTTTCTTTCTGACAGAGCCTCACTCTGTCACCTAGGCTGGAGTGCACTGGTGCAATCACAGCTCACTGTAGCCTTGACCTCCCTGGCTCAAGTGATCCTCCTGCCTCAGCGTCACAAGTAAGTAGGACCACAGGTGCACGCCACCACACCCAACTGATTTTTTAAAATTTTGTTTTTGGTAGAGACAAGGTCTCACTATGTTATCCAGGCTGGTATTTACGTATTTTCAGTGGTTGCTTTTGTGTAGCCATATGGCTTGCAAAGCTGGTCCTTTACAGAAAGAGTTTTCTGACTCTTGTATTAGTGAAAAACTGGTGGCAACATAATAAAGTCTATAGTTTATTGAATAGTATTTTAACAATGTTAATTATTAGTTTTGAGGATAGTACCATGGTTCTGTAAGATGTAAACACTAAGTAAAGTGAGTGAAAGGTACATGGAAACTCTCTGTACTATCTTTGCAACTCTTTGGTAAATCCGAAATTATTTCAAAACAAAAATCTTTCTTCAATGAAACAAAAAAATGCCCAGGATGTTTGGGCAGGAGGGATGTGTGAGCAGAAGAGGCCAGGCTCAAAGTGGGCCAAGGTAGTCTGCTGGTGCTGGAAGAGGGGGTCATCTGACTCCGGATGCTTGGATTATAAGAAACAGAAATCCACTCCAGACAACTCAGGGGCACAAGGGGGAAGTTCTTGGAAGCTGAGGGTACAGGCGTAGTCGTACCTCACTGGAGCCTGGACCCACAAACCTGAAACCAGGACAACAGTTGCTTTGTGTAAATGCGTGTTTCTCCCGGTGTATCTCTTTGCGTTTCTTTGTATCTGCCTCTGTGTCTCCCTGTTTCTCTGTGTGTCTCTTTCCTCTCTCTCCTGCCTCTTCTGGTCTTTGTGTCTGTCCCTGTCTTTGTGTCTCCCTGGTCTCTCCTCATCTCTCTCTGTAACTGCCATTTCTCTGGTCTCTTTCTATCTCTGTGTCTCTCTCTAATCTCTGGTGGGCCCCTGTCTCTCTCCTTGTCTTTCCCAGTCTGTCTTCCACCATATTTCACTGTGTGTCTGTCTCTCCCTGGCCCTCTCTATTCCTTTCCCTATCTCCCCATATGTCTTACATCTCTTCTCCTCCCTGTTTAGTCCCTCCCAGTCTGTTTCTTCCTGTGCACACAGTGGCCCACAGCACCCAGGGTGACACTGGGGTCATATTAGCTGTTGGAGGCCTTGGTCATGAAGCACACACCCGCATTTACAGATGCAGAAACTGAGGCTCACTTAGCCCCTTGCTTGTGATGCAACCTACGGGAGGAAGAAAGGAAATGTTCTGATTCCTCCATGAGCCAGATGCGGTGGTTGGAGCCTAATAGATATTTGTAGGACCCCATGGACCGGATCACACAGGTCAAGTCTCAGTGGCTAAAGTGACATCGCCCAAAATCATGCAAGAAGAAAGGGGTGGAGATGATTCCCCATGTCCTTCATGATTTTTTCGACAATATGTCCAGATGACTTAATTTTCTTGCACTTTCTTCTATACACAAGACCCTCCCAATTGCTAGAAAAATAGAACTACTTCTAAACAGGTTATTTCCCTAAGTGCCCAGAGATCTGGGGGGGATGGAAGATGGGGGGCACTCTACTCTCTACAGGAGACAGGAGGGTGCATCCCTCTCTCAACTTTGGGATTTTCCACAAGGATCTGTGGCCAAGCTATTTCAGGAAAGGCTTTCTTCATCGGGCACCAGGGAGGTGAACATGGCTCTGTTTATTTTGCTCTTTCTCTCTTCTTCTCCAAGATGTGTTTGGCAACAGCGTAAGAGCCGTGTAATCCTCCCTCCAGCCCAGCCTCAGCACAGCGTGTCCCTGCGGATGCCAAAGGTCACCAGACGCATGCAGGATAGGTTGAGCTCTGAGCCAGGGCTGGACACAAAACCTCTGGTGACAGCACTGGGGTGACATCACCAGGACAGGTAGGTACCCATCAGACAGCACCAGGCCCGGAAGGGGCCCAGGAAATCTACCTCTGCTGGGGCTCAGCTGCACTCTGTGGGGTCCCAGTTGGCCTGTGAAGGAGGCCAGGGCCCCACACGCCCCATCTGTGCTCCCACTTTCTCTTTATGCTGAGATTCCATGGGAGATTGTTTGAAGAGACAGCTCTGGGGGGAAAGGATGCAAGCAACTCAGTTTCCATCCAAGCACTTCACTCAATGAGGAAGCAGCCCAGGGAGGGGATGCCTTGCCCAGAAGATGGGCCTGGAGGTGGGGTGCATGGGTTGTACATGCTCTCCCACCTGTATGTGTGGACACACATGGGGAAGGCCCTCCATGTGCATCTCATTCCCATTTGACTTGGCCCAGCTGAAGTTGGTTCAGAGCAATTTGCACTCTGCAGAGTGTCTCTCATAGAGACACCAAACTAGGTCAGGGGGTGGGTTAAATGGAACTGGCTCTGTCTGAGGGAGCCCAACAGTGCCTCTTGGGGCCACTCTGAAGTAGACTGGCACCTCCTCCAGCGCCTTGTCTTATCTTTCCAGAATCCAGATCTCCTGGGTCCTGATTTGCTTCCCCACATGCACATGCGGGATAAAACAGTGCCCTATTGGGGCTTAATTTTCCACCACCTCTGACTCAGTGACTTGGACAGAATCCCTACAATGCTTCCCATTCCCTGGATGCTGCTAACTGAGTCCCAAAGCCGTTTTGTGTCCAGAGTCTCATGGATCCTGAAAAAAAGGAGGCGGCGGAAGCAAGAGGTTGATCCTTTATGGAACCCTTCCCTACATCCCAGGCACTCACCCTGCACCCATTGTCTCCATGTTATCCTTGCAACAGCCCCATGAGGGGCTCTGTCTGACCCATCTTCTAGCTGGGAAACTGAGGCTTGAAAAGCCTAGGCTGCTTGTGGATGCTCATGACAGAGTCCTGTGATGCCAACAGCATCTCACTGCTGGGCTTAGTCCATTTTCTGTTGCTTGCAACAGAATACCTGAAACTGGGTAATTTACACAAAATGAAATTTACTTCTTATAACTCTGGAGACTGAGACATCCCAAGTCAGGGGGCACATCTGGTGAGGGCCTTCTTGCTGGTGGGGACTCTGTGGAGTCCCAAGGCTACACAGGGCATCACATGGCGAGGGGGCTGAGCGTGCCCACCCGCCAGCTCAGGTCTCTCTTCCTCTCCTTATAAAGCTGCCAGCTCTCCTCCTGTGATAACCCATTAATCCATTAATTGTTGAATTGGATTGATGATGAATTGATGAATGGATTAATACATTCAAGAGGGCAATCACCTCTTAAAGACTCCACCTTTCAGTATTGCTGCTCTGGGGATGGCGCATGAACTCTGGGGGATGTATTCAAACTATGGCACTGCCCAGGTCCCTGGACGCATGGTCCATGACTCTGCCTTCACTGCGTTTAACTCTGGACTTCCCCAGGGGCAGCTTGGGCAACAACCAGAAGGTGCTGGGATTAGGAGATTGAGATGCAGGCCCCGGCCTGGCTTTGAAGTTTCTTATCTTCCAGACCCTGGACAAGTTCTGCAGCCTCTCAGACCTTCAGTTTCTTCATCTAGAAAATGGGATGACAGTGCCCACTTCTCAGGTTGTTGGAAAAATAAGCCCACATACATAAGGTACCAGACACAGACATCAGCCCTGGCCCCAGTGTCATTGTTGAGGTTAGTCATTGGTCACTGTCCTCAAAGACTGTGCCTGATGAGAGGCAGGCCCAGTGCCACCCAGCTGAACCTGGCAGTAGGGCCGGAGGTAGCTGCTCTCCTTACGCAGTCACCCACCGAGGCACTATCTGGGGTAGCAGCCAGTGTTGCAGCAGGAAAAAGCCTGCCTGCCACGGTAACTGCAGGGAGTTCAGTGAAGGATCCCTTGGTGTGCACCATCAAGGGAAACCAGCAAGACTCAGCCTGGCAGAGAGAGGGCTGGAGAAACACTCCCACCTCGGTGCATCCTGCCTTCCCTCCTCCCATCAGAGGGCTGAGGGGTCTGTTCAAGCCAGTCCTGGCACAGGGACTGGGACAGAGCCTGCATCTGGGGGTGCAACCGGTGAGGGGGGCACAGAGGCCCAGTGTGTGCAACAGCCTTCCCTCACCCCCTCCTGGCTTTGCGGTCCTCAACTTCCCTGCCACACTGGAGCAGGTGGTGTGCCCAGCTGTCAACACAGTGGGCTTGTTTTTCTCCGCTGCGGCCCACCTCCTTCCCCTAGGCCCCCACTTCCAGTCTGCAATGTTAATTGAAGGCGGCAGATGCCAAATTGCCCTCGGAGCAGAGCGCAGAGGGAGAGGAGGAAGTGTGTCTGGGCCCCACGGCGGGCAGATCGGGCGCACAGGCAGAGCGGTGGTGGGGAGGGCTTCCTGCCCACCACCACCCACAGCAGCTGCAAACATCCTCCAGACCTCTCGCCGTTTCCCCATGAATACACCTGAGGTCGAGTGTGAACATAAGGAAGTTGATTTTTCCCGGTTATATTTTTTAAACCTATGTTTGGACGGCCTGGCTTTCTATTCTGGGCACTTGAGCCTTATTTTCCGGCTGCTTCTGAAAAGTAATCAAAGGACGGCCACCAGACCAGCCAGGCACCTGCCCTCCACACCTGCCTGCAGACCCAGGCTCCTCCGTGCATTTTCTCCCTCACCCTCCTGCTGGGTGGGAATTACTGGCTCCATTTCACTGGTGAGGAGTTGGAGGTTTGGGAAACTGCAGGATCTGTCCATGCAGACGGCAGATGGAAAATCTGGCATTTCATCCTGGACCTGGCCGGACCCAAGTGCTTGCTATTTGACCCTCAAAACCCACCAACCCTTGGCCCTCCTCCCCTCTGTCCAGACCTCCTTCGGGAGCCTGCGGCAGAGCGGGAGGGGGCGTCTGCAGATATGTTCATACTTAGGGATTCATAGCCCAAGCCCCTAACCTGAGCCACACGGCCTTCTTCCAGGACCCCAGGCCTCCCCACAACCCATCAGGGAGAGGTGGGCTCAGACTGTTCTCTATGAGGCCAGCTGGTGACTATTCTAAACACCAGCCTTGTGTTCCCTAGTCTGCAAGAAGCTCTGCAAATTTTTGTGGCCGTTGGTCATCTGCTTTCTTGATCTTTTCTTTTCTTTTTTTAAGAGAGGCAAGTCTTTCTCTGTTACCCAGGCTAGAGTGCAGTGGCACAGTCACAGCCCACTGCAGCTTCAGCCTCCCAGGCTCAAGTGATCCTTTTGTCTCAGCCTCAGCCTCCCAGTAGCTGGGACTACAGGTGCATGACAGCGCACCCACCTAATTTTTCAAATTTTTTTTGGAGATGGAATATTGCTGTGTTACCTAGGCTCGTCTTGAACCCCTGGGATCAAGTGATTCTCCCGCCTCGGCCTCCCAAAGTGTCGGGATTTCAGGCATGAGATTTCTTTAAATTGAAGTAAAATCCACACACTATAAAACTAACAGTTTTAGAGTGAACAATTTCACGGCATTTAGTACATTCTCAGTGCTGTGCAGTCATCACCTCTATCTAGCTCCCGAGCACTTTCATCCCCTGACAGGAACTCCATTCCCATGAGCTGTCACTCCCCACTCCTCCCTTCCTCCGGCCCCAGGCACCCAGCAGTCTGCTTCCTGTCTCTGTTGGTTTACCTATTCTGGATATTTCATATAAGTGGAATTGTATGTGATTTCTTGTGACTGCCATCCTCCCTCTGCATAGTGTTTTCAAGGTCCACTTGTCTTGTACCTTTTTGTGGCTGAATAATATCCCATCGTACAGGTATATCGTACCTCCGTGAGGACCTACAGGGCATCTGACACCTTATGTATGTAGGCTTAGTTTTCCCAACCACCCAAGAACTGGGCACTGTCGTTTGCATTTTTTAGATGAAGAGACTGAGGGTCCGAGAGGCTGCAGAACTTGTCCAGGGTCTGGAAGGTAAGAAGTGTCCAAGCTTGGATCCACATCTGCAGTTGTTACCACTCATCTGTGGATGCACAATTGGGCTGCTTTCACCTTTTGGCTGTTATGAATACTGCTGCTGTAAACACTTATGTATAAGTTTTTGTTCAAATACATGTTTTCTTTTTTTTTTTGAGATGGAGTCTTTCTCTGTTGCCCAGGCTGGAGTGCAGTGGCGCGATCTCGGCTCACTGCAAGCTCCACCTCCTGGGTTCACGCCATTCTCCTGCCTCAGCCTCCTGAGTAGCTGGGACTACAGGCGCCTGCCACCACGCCCAGCTAATTTTTTGTATTTTTAGTAGAGACGGGGTTTCACCGTGTTAGCCAGGATGGTCTCGATCTCCTGACCTCGTGATCTGCCTGCCTCGGCCTCCCAAAGTGCTGGGATTACAGGCGTGAGCCACCATGCCCGGCCACCTGTTTTCAATTCTTTTGTGTAGACACCTCGGAGTGGAATTGCTGGGCCATATGGTGACTCTAGGTTTAACTTGTGAAGAACATTTTTAAACATGTTCCGTGTGGGTGCATATTTTCTCTTTAACTAGAGAGCAGGGCTCTCTTGTTCTTTGGCCCCCTCCATCGTGGCCAGTCCTGGCTCAGCGTGCAGACAAGAGGCCCCCTGAGCTGTGGTGGCACCAGAGGAGTGAGTGTGTGGACCTCACTCCACCCCAAGTGCTGGGATGTTGACTCATGGTCTTGCCAGGCACTCACGTGACTGCTGGTGGGGACCCAGCCTACATATCCTCTGGGCCTTTCTTGGATGCCTCTCCACCTCTTGCTGCCCTCGGGTTCCCTCACTTCCCCCATTCACACTGGAGCTGACCTTGGTCTGATGTGTCTCCACAAGTCCCGCCTCCCCCACGGATGCCCTGTACAGCGGTACAGGCTGTGCACTGCCCAAGGGCATCCTGCCAAAGGCGCAGTGCTCATTGACATTCAGTCCATGCTCCGCTAGCCAAGCCCTGCAACCCTTGGGACTGCAGCCACCATTAGAGGGCGCTTTCTTCCTTCACACAACGCACCACATGGGCTAATGGCAGCCCCCAAGCCCTCGGTGGACCCAGCACTGACGGGATGTGCCCCTTGCTCACTCCCCTGGAAGGGGCAACTCTGCCCACTCTACATTCACTGATGACCTTCCTTCTCCCTGGGGACGTTCATACCCTCAACCTAGGCTCCAGATATTTTCTATGCCCCCTGAGGGGGTGGGTCCATGCCGCCAGTGGGGGTGCCCTGGTGGCCCACTGTAAAGGACTCTCTGCCCCTTACCCCATTCTCACTCCTGAGAGTTCTAGCACCAGATGCCCAGGACGTGCGTGTGTGCCTGCTCACTGGACAGAGGTTCCTGTGTAAACACTGCCATCGGGACCCCAGACACACGCTCCATGTGCACAGACATGCGCTCACGTGGGTGTGTGGGTTAGACATGACATACAGGGATCTGGCCTTCCCTTGCATTGAAACCTAGTTGGCGGGTTGGGAGGGTATGTGGTTAAATCCGAGCAAGAGACACAGACCCCATGAGTGTAATCACATGCCTAAACCAGGCCAGGAGACTCGGGCACACGATGTGGGTTTGTCTGCTATGTGGGCACTGGACTCTGGGAAGCCTGAGCCCCTTGGAGCCCCCGCTGGTGGGACAGGCTGGAGCTAGGAGCTTAGCAACTCGGGTTCCTGGAAGGTAGAGAAACATAAGAGCAAATCAGGAGACAAGAGGAGGCAAGGAAAGCTGGAGGGCAAAGAGGCCCCTGGAAGCCCCTCTAAGCCCAATTTCCCAGTGTTGACAACGAAAACAAAATCAAGCTTTCGAAGAACTAAAGTTCATTTCATTCAGGAGTCTGAGGACTCCAGACCACATCTACTGCCTCAGGGCAGTTCTGTTGAAGCCCACGGCTTACATACAGGTGGTGGAGGTTCAGCAAGTGCAAAATCACATCGGACTTGCTCAGAAGTTACGTTGAAGCAGCAGCCCATCAAGGTGTGGGTGTAAGAGCACCTCTGGTTATAGATGGCAGAGGCATCGTCATTAAGCCTGTCAGAAAGGCAAGGACTAGAGCTCTTCTCTTTTAAGGAATCAAGTGACTCAGGCAAGAGACGTGCGGGGCCGGGCGCTTCATCCTGCTTTGCCTTCAAAGCATCTTTCCAGAGAGCTGCACGTTGTCACAGAGTCAGGGGTTCAAGCAGAAATGAGCCAACGTGGCTTCTTACGCATGCTACTTCGTCTTACAGTGGGAAGAATAAAAATGCTTCATCCTCATCCCTGGGTGCTACAGCCTTTGCAGCCTCCTTGTCGGAGTGGGAATGGTCGTCAGCGGCAGGCACATCTGAGAGCAGGGCACACCCTGAGACAGGGCAGGATCGGAGCAACATAAGGGCACATCTTGAGGCCCTGACTGGGGCCCCAGGCTGGCTGCTTTTCTTCCCACCCTAGAGGGTATTTCTGTACCTCTCTACCACAAGGCGCTCGAGGAAGGCTTACTGAGAATGCTGCAGTGGAACAAAGTCTGAAGGAGGTGAGGGAGCAAGTTCTGTCTGTGTAGTGTGGAAAAGCATTGCAGGAGAGGGTACAGCCAATGCGAAGGCCCTGAGGCAGTACCGTGAGTGGCCAGAATGAAATGAGCAGGCAGCAAGGGGAGCAGGCATGCCACCAGGCCAGAGCACTCACGGGGGCTAGTGGGAGGACTCTGGCCTCATCCTGAGGGAGGTGGGAGCCCTGGAGGGTTTGTGGGGAGGAAGGAGGATGACTTTCAACAGCGTCCCTCTGACTGCTAGAAGGAAAACTAGCAGTGTGTGGGTGGGGGCAGGGGTGGGAGCGGGAGACCAGTGAGCCACCATTCAACTCTATGATCCACGCACAGCTGGGCTGGGCCGGAGCCCACAGGCTTAGGACCCAGCATCAGGCGGGGTAGTGGGCAGCCTGGAAGGGCTGAGAGTAGTGGGCAGGCTGGAAGGGGTGAGTCAGGGCCGCAGCAGGGAGTAGCAGTGAGGGACGTGGGCTCCAGCATTGGGCTTCAAGTCCCACAGAGTCCCAGCCAGCCTTGGGACCTGTGGGCAAGTTTGTGCATCTTCCTGGGTCTCCATTTTCCTATATAAAAAAATAAAAAATAAAAGAATGGCAGATAAAATATGGTGTCAGCCCCTAGGATCGGGTGGGTGGCTGTGTGCAGGTCTGCTTTTAATTTAAGGCAAATGTGTAACAGTGAGGGAAGTGAGGGCCAGACCTGGGTGGGGCCTGGCAGGGCCCAGGGCACAGCCTTTAAGGGCGGGCCTCAGAGCGAGGCTGTGCTTTTCTCTGCTCCAGGTTGCAAGCCTTTGGTCTCTTGAACCTTTCCTCCAGGTCCTCACCTCAAGTGCTCAAGGCATTTTTGTTGTCCTCCTCTCTGGAAACTGTGGGATGTACAAGAAGAAGAGCTTTGCTTATCCCCACACATTCTGTTCCCAATTTGAGCCCTGCCTGCTTGTTTTTCTTAAATAACACTTAGCGAAACCTTCCTTTTTATCTTGCCAACTTGAATTTATCTTGTGGTCCACTGAGACACTTGGATTTGGGGGTTTTGTTTTTCTGCTTCTGATTGCACCACTGGATTTCCAACTTCCTGTGTGCTTTGTGGCTCATGATCCCATTTGGACCGGCTGCTCCCCACTGCAGGGAGGGTGGCGGTGAGCTGGCCTGGCAGCCTCCCCAGGACCACATGGAGGGACAGAGGAGACGTTCTCTGAAGGAAGGGGGTGGTCTGTGGTGCCAACACCAGATCCTGGGCACAGAGGACACCATCCTTTTTTTCACAGTGTCTGAGGGGGACTCATCCCCTCCCCAAAGCCCACTTGACACTCTTCTTGGCAGGGCAGGGGGTTCATTTACCCTCTCTCAACCTCTGTTCCTTCTGGAAAAAGGAAAGAGCAGATTGCTGCCCCTGGCCTCTCTGAAGGGCTTTGTGCTGTCAAGTGTCCAAGTAGTTCGTGGAACAGCAGGACACTAAACACCAACCTGCGGCCTCACAATGATGATGATGATTGCCCCTAAAAGGGGGATAATCGCTGTGACCTACTTAGGGCACAGTTGTCACTAATGGCCTTGGAGAGCTGTGAAAATAGCAAGTGCCAAGGGGGAAGCCGAGGTGAATCTGGGCAGAGTGGTTGCTGCATATCTGTGTTTGCATCTCTGCTCCCTTTTTCCTGTGTCTTGGTCAAAGGCCTGAGCAGCATTTCTCAGGAGGAATGACCCAAAGGCCCCAGGCCCATCCTTGCAAAGACCACTGCTCTGTGCCTGGTCAGGGGGTTAGCAGCAGAAACCCATTCACTCAGGCATAAGCAAACGGGACATTTTTACAATATACAGTGTTTTGTGGTTCTGAACACAAGGGCAAGAATGAGGTCAGGCATCTCTCTGGTGGAAAAGTATCGCTGGGGATGGAACAGCCAATGCAAAGTCATTGAGGCAGGACCATGAGTGGTACCTTTTGGGAAGTGCTCTGGAAGGCCACGGAACCAGCGGCTGAAATGGAATCAGACCTCCAAGTTCCCTTTGTATGTTTCATCCCTCATTTTAAAAAATATTAAATGTGGCCAGGCGTGGTGGCTCACGCCTGTAATCCCAGCACTTTGGGAGGCCGAGGCAGGCAGATCACGAGGTCAAGAGATCGAGACCATCTTGGTCAACATGGTGAAACCCCGTCTCTACTAAAAATACAAAAATTAGCTGGGTGTGGTGGCACATGCCTGTAATCCCAACTATTTGGGTGGCTGAGGCAGGAGAATTTCTTGAACCCGGGAGGTAGAGATTGCAGTGAGCCAAGATTGCACCACTACACTCCAGCCTGGTGACAGAGCAAGAATCCATCTAAAAAAAAAAAATTAAATGCAACAATGAATATGCAACCAGGCATAGAAAATTATATAACACACAGCTTTGCACTCACCAACAAGCTTCATCTTCAGATCTGCTTCAATTCTCCACCAAGGATTCCAATACATGGTGCTCCTGGGTCCCTTTCCCAGCCAGTCTCTCCTCTCTTTGTATCCCCGGAAGTGGCCATTACTCTGATTCTGGCGTTTGCTCATCTCACAAAAGCTTTTGTGCTTTTACCACTACATACATATGTGCCCATAAGCATTAGTGCAAATAATGGAACTATGTGTTTGGAAACTTTTTATTGAGAGTTTCACTGTGGGTATTCTTCTTTTTTCTTGCTTCTTGATTTTTTTCATTTCACATTAGGTGCTAGGGACCTCTCCTAGCTGATTGAGGTAGTTCTTGGTCACTCATGTTCACTGCTGTTTGGGGTCAGTGGAATAACAATACCACAGTTTATCGAGTGTCTTGTGGATAGACGTTATCTTGACCCTAAGTTTTCACTGTGACTGTGTTGGTTTGAATTCCCCTGAAAGCAGAGCTGAGACAAAGGCTTGGGTGCAGGCAGTTGGTCTGGGAGGTGCTCTCAGGAAGCAAGACGGAGGAAGTAGGAGAATAAAAGTCTCACTATTATCTACTACCATGCACCAAATTACCCCATGAGCAGATGGCTTAAAGCAACAGTTATCTTTTATTTATCCCTTGTAGCTTCTGTGGGTCTTGGCTGGGTGGTTCCAGCTCAGCTTTCTTTGTGAGTTTGCTGTCAGTCATTGTCCAGGGCTGCCATCATCTGAAGGTTCGCCTGGGGCTGGAAGGTCTGTCTCCAAGCTCATCTGCATGGCTGTTAGTTGGAGGTTCAGTTCCTCTCAACAGGGTGCTTGAATGTCCTCACAACACGTCGGCTGGCATTCTCCAGGGCGAGAATCCAAAAGATGCAGGAGGGCACTGCAATGCCTTCGGTGACCCGGCCTTGGGAGTCACACACCATCACCTCCACCTTACTCCACTAGGTAAACAGACCACAGGCGTCACAGGGCATGAAGACTGGAGGTAAGGCTCATCAGAGGTCATCTCAGAAGCTGGCCACAACAGGGGAAGAGTCCAGAAACAACGCAGGGTGCCCAGCAAAGGTGTTCACTGCTGTTGGCACTGGCAGCTTGACCCCACCAAGGATTGTATGAAGCACTACGTAGAATGCATAGGATGGAGGTCAGAGACTCATCTACAGACTCACTTTCCCATCGGTTCAAGATTGCCCCTAAGAACATCAGCTCCCTCACAAACCCAGCCTGTACCTGCAGGGGCTGAGCAAGCCCAGAGGCAGAAGAGCAGAGGACAGCACAGGCAGGGTGGAGGCAGTGCCGCAGCACAGCACTGCTGGGCCAGGAGGGCTGGGGGGATGCGCCGTGGTGCACAAAGCCTCTGCCTTGTGGCAATGCTGTGGTGAGCGTTCACGCACAGGGCCCTGCATCCAGGAGCCCACATTTCTCTAGGAGGCATGGGCTAGGGCCCCTCCTGGCATTCACACCCTTGTGCAATCTCTCACCTTGTGTGTAGGCCAAACCTAGGGACTTGATTCAAATGAACTGAATACCACAAAAGCCATGGGATGTCTTCTCTTTTTTTTTTTTTTTTTTTTTGAGACGGTCTCACTCTGTTGCTTAGGCCGGGTGTGCAGTGTGCAATCTCAGCTCACTGCAGCCTCAACCTCCCAGGATCAAGTGATCCTCTTGCCTTAACCTTCTGAGTAGCTGGGACTATAGGCGTGTGCACCCACACCCCCCTAATTTTTTTCATTTTTTTTTTTTTGGTAGAGATGGGGTCTGGCTAAGTTGCCCAGGCTGATCTCAAACTCTTGGCCTTAAGAATCTTCTGGCCTCAGCTTCCAAACGGGCTGGAATTATAGGCTTGAGCCACTGCCCTGGGCTGGGATGTCATTTCTGAGGTTAGTTCACAAGTGATTGTGACTCCCCTCTCAACTGGACTCCCCCCACCCAGCACCGCCTTACTTACTCTGGCAAAGCCACTGCCGTGTTGTAAGCTGCCCTCTGGAGAGACCCACTTGGCAAAGGACTGAGGGAGGCCTCTGGCCCCCTGCCTGGGAGGAGCTGAGTCCTACTGACAACCGCCTGAATGAGCTCAGGAGCAGCTCTGCCCTCAGCTGAGCCATCAGATGAGACGGGCCCAGATTCTTGATCCACAGGAACTGGTATTTTGCTAAACTACTAAGATGCTAAAAGTTGGGGTACTTTTTAAACTAAATAACACAGGAAGGGTGGAAGTGGGAGAAGGTGCACATGACGCAAGATTGCCCGTGGGTTGACAATTGTTGCAACTGGGTGACATGTTATACTATTCTTGCTACTTTGTGTTTATTCAAAATTTCCATGATAAAAAGTAAAAATAAATTTTTTAAATACTGAAGTCTGATTTACAATTCAGTGAAGTTTGGTTTCTGTCAGGGTACATTTTAGTTAGTTCACTTTAGTTCAAACTACCCGGGTGCAGGTCCCAACTCATTCATCCATTAAACACATATTGGGCACCTACTATGTGCCAGGTGATGTTCTGGCCACCGGGGAAATGACAGTGAACAAACCATGCAAAAGTCTCTGCCCTTTCAGAGCCAATGTTTTGCTGGAAAGAGGCAGATATCCAATACATAACCATGTAAGATAGATGGAGAATACGTCAGGGAGTCCTGGCCGCAGGAGGTCAGTGGGTGGGAGGGCTGCGATCTCCAACAGGAAGGCCAGGGAAGGCCGAAAGGAAAAGCTGCCTGTGGGGAGAGACCTGGTGGCTGCAGGGAGGTGGCTGCGGGTCACCTACTTCCATGGGAAGCCAGCTCCAGTCAGATACAGGGATGGCGGCCCCAACGCGGGAGGATCCAGGGCTATCTGAGGAACAAGAATAGGCAGTGTGGTGGGGGGTAGGCTTAGGGGGAATCGGGTGAGGGTGGGGGACTGATTAAGCAGAGCCATGTGAGCCATGGAAAGGATTTCAGCTTCTACCTGGAGTGACGTGGGAGCCACAGGCAGAGTTTGAGCAGAGAAGGGGCTCTGGCCAGCATTCCTACTGGTAAGTGTTCCACCCCCGAAGCCCTGTGAAACTTAGGCAGGTGACTTTGCCTTCTGAGCCTCAGTTTCCTTGTCTGAAAATGGGAATCGCTTCCTCAAAGCATTGTTATGGAGGTTTGCTAAGTGAAACAAAGTTTTGTCCAAAGGTTCAGCGCACCCAGCAACAGGCCTTACTTGGTGTGAGCTGTGATTTTTCTCTTTCCGTCACGCCTACTGCCTGCCCATGGGAGCTCCCGGGCTGCTCCCAAACTTCCCTCGGGAGCTGGGGAGCCTTTTCTGCCGGGGGCTGAGGCCCATCCCTGTGGCCCTTGCCCAACGGGCACAAGGAGCTCGTTTCTGTGTTATTAGCTGTGAAAAGGAGGATACCCCCTACCAAGTGTGGCCCTCTCACGCCAGAAAGAGGGAGGAAAGACAGGTCAGAGTTCTTTCCCCGACGTCAGGTTGAGGGCTTAAAAGACAAGATCTGGGGGCTTCGTTTTCCCTTTGTGGAGGCTGGAGGGGAGGGAGAGTTGGAAGGAGACATGAACTCAGAGAAGAGGAAAATTAGAAAAGTAAGACATTGAACTTCCGCTCCATGAGCTTCAGGTAAGCCCTGCTTACCTACCTCCTTATCACCTGCCTATCCAATCATCCACCTGTCTGAGGACCAGTGATGTTATTCTGTTGGCTTGTCTTTTGTGTGTTTTGTTGTCACTGTTGTTTTCGTTTGTTTTTTGTTTTGAGACGGAGTCTCACTTTATCGCTAGGCGGGAGTCCAATGGCATGATCTCGGCTCACTGCAACCTCCACCTCCTGGGTTCAAGCAATTCTCCTGCCTCAGCCTCCTCAGTAGGTGGGACTACAGGCGCACGTCACCACACCCAGCTAATTTTTGTATTTTTAGCAGAGACACGGTTTCACCCTGTTGGCTGGGCTGGTCTCGATCTCTTGATCTGCCTGCCTCAGCCTCCCAAAGTGCTGGATTACAGGCATGAGCCACTGCGCCCGGCCTGTTGTGTGTTTTTTGAATTTTTTTTTATTTTTTATTTTTTGAATGAGCTACTGTCCTGACTGGGATTCTCCCAAAAACTGATCTTGAGACAGGATGTAAGTGCAAGCACTTGATTCATAAGGTGGTCCAGGAAACACTGGTATGGGAGGAAGGGAGATGGGAGGAGCAACCAAGGAGGGGCAAGTTACTGACATAGACACCTCTGGGGCAGCTGGAGCTCCATCTGCCCAGGAAAGCCAGGGCTCAGATCAGTCCCTCTGTGCTGGAGCGAGGGAGCTGGCACACTTACCCCAACTCACGTCAAAGAATAGCTGGCCCCAGACAGACGATGCCAAAGGCAGGGCCCTGCCTACGCAGGCCATGAAGGGACAAGTTGTCTGTAGATAATTGTTTCATTCTTTTAAAAAATTTTATTTATGCCAGGCTCACACCTGTAATCCCAGCACTTTGGGAGGCCGAGGTGGGTGAATCACCTGAGGTCAGGAGTTCGAGACCAGCCTGGTCAACATGGTGAAAACTTCTCTACTAAAAATACAAAAATTAGCCAGGCGCTTGTAACCCCAGCTACTCAGGAAGCTGGGGCAGGAGAATTGCTTGAACCTGATGGAAGAGGTTGCAGTGAGCCAAGATCATGCCACTGCACTCCAGCCTGGGGGACAGTGTGAAACTCTGCCTCAACAATATATATTTTAAAAGTTGGGGGTCGTCACTCTTGCCTAACATGGAGTGCAATGACATGATCACAGCTCTTCATAGCTTTTAACTCCTGGTCTCAAGCCATTTTCCCACCTCAGCCTCCAAAAAAGCTGGGACACAGGCACACATTACCACATCTGGATTTTTTAATTTTTTGCAGAGACAGGGTCTCACTATGTTGCCCAGACTGGACTCAAACTCCTGGCCTTAAGCAATCCTTCCAACTTGACTTCCCAAAGTGCTCTGAGATTACAGGCCTGAGCCACCACACCCACACTCTGGAGAGAATTCTACAATAATATTGGGTCTGGAATTTGCTCCTTCCAGTGGGTTCTTGGTCTCGCTACCTTCCAGAATGAAGCCACAGACCCTCGCGGTGAGTGTTACAGTTCCTAAAGATGGCATGTCCGGAATTTGTTCCTTCAGATGTTCAGATGTGTTCGGAGTTTCTTCCTTGTGGTGGGTTCGTGGTCTCGCTGACTTCAGGGGTGAAGCCACAAACCTTCGCAGTCAGTGTTCCGGCTCTTAAAGGTAGCGCAACCAAAGTTGCTCATTCCTCCTGGTGGGTTCGTGGTCTCGCTGGTTTCAGAAGTGAAGCTGCAGACCTGCACAGTGAGCGTTATAGCTCTTAAAAATGGCACGTCCAGACCTGTTCGTTCCTCCTGGTGGGTTCGTGGTTTCGTTGGCTTCAGGAGTGAAGCTGCAGAGCTCCGCGATGAGTGTTACAGCTCTATAAAGGTGGCGGGTCTGGAGTTGTTCACTCCTCCTGGTGGACTCACCGTCTCGCTGACTTCATCCAGGTGTGAAGCTGCAGACTTTGCCATGGGTGTCTTACAATCAGGGCAGACCCAAACAGCCAACAGCAACAAGATTGCAAACAGCAAAAAAAAAAAAAAACAAGCATCACACAGAAGCATACTGAACAGGTTACCACTGGCGGCACATGGTGGCCAGCTTTTATTCCCTTATTTGACCCCGCCCACATCCTGCTGATTGGTCCATTTCACAGGGCGCTGATTGGTCCATTTTACACAGTGCTGATTGGTCCATTTTACACAGTGCTAATCGGTGTGTTTACAAACCTTTAGCTAGACACAGAGCGCAGATTGGTGCATTTACAATCCTTTAGCTAGACAGAAAAGTTCTCCAAGTCCCCACTCCACCCAGAAGCCCAACCGGCTTCACCTCTCAATATGACCAACTATAAATCAGTGTTTTTATTATTACCATGCACAGACAATTCTAAACATCATCAGAGATGTTTTCCAGGTTCCTAGATCTTTTGTTCATTCAAGTTCCAGAATATTTCCAGGGTTAACTGTTGAGTTTTAATGATATATGTGAAGCTCCAAGTTCACACTTTTTATTATTCATTCTTTAATAAACTTTATATTGTACATGTAGAAGTTAGTTCTGCAAACTCCCACCCGGTTCAGCCCTGACATGCATATTTAGCTACAAGCGTCTGTTTCGAGAGTGAATTCCTAATGCTCCAGGACCTCTCCAGCTCATTCAGGTGCAGTTTCCGTCTCTAAACCTCTGGGTCTCATGTTCTTAGGTCCCAGCAGGATACTCAGAATAAGCAGCTACAGCCCAGAGGCTGTGAGGGCGAAAAGACAGAGCTTGAGTTACTTTCATCAGCACTTAGAGTTTTCGTTTTCACTTGGAGTTTCCATTTTCACTCAATATTTCTCTACGGTGAAGGCAATCAAAAACTGCTAGAACTGATCCCAGAGAAATAAAGACCTCGACAATGTTGCCCATTCTGGAATGTACTGTGAAATGGGATTTTTAAAAATCTCTGAGAGGCCGGGTGCAGTGGCTCATGCCTGTAATCCCAGCACTTTGGGAGGCGGAGGCTGGCTGATCATGAGGTCAAGAGTTCAAGACCAGCCTGAGCAACATGGAGAAACCTAGTCTCTACTAAAAATACAAAATTAGCCAGGCGTGGTGGCACATGCTTGTAATCCCAGCTACTCGGGAGGCTGAGGCAGGAGAATCGCTTGAACCCGGGAGGCAGAGGTTGCGGTGAGCCAAGACTGCACCACTGTACCCCAGCCTGGGCAACAAGAGCGAAACTCCGTCTCGAAAAAAGAAAGAACTCTACCAAAGTTATACTTACGTTGAAGACGTTTTCTAACATTTTGTACCCATTGCTTCATCAAAAAGAAACTTTACAAAATTGAAGTTAATAAACAATGCTCATCCATTCCCTAGGAGAGAATATGAGCTGACTATTCAGCCCACTGTGTTGAAGCCTGGCTATTCAACACAAGTCCATGAGGAAGACCAATGTTGACAAAATCACTTGACACAACTGCAGAAAAGAAAGCTGAAAATAGAAACCATAATGTCATTATCCATTATCGTGACTGATCAACATGAAGGAAAGTTTTTATCACTTTTCTGATGCCATTTTTCCTCATCATGATTTCATACAGAAAGGTCATTGCAAGCAAATTCTCATCTGCATTTCCTTTTTTTTTTTTTGGAGACAGAGTTTTGCTCTTGTTGCCCAGGCTGCAATGCAGTGGCACACTCTCAGCCTACTGCAACCTCTGCCTCCTGCGTTCAAGCAATTCTCCTGCCTCAGCCTCCCAAGTAGCTGGGATTACAGGCGCCCGCCACCACACTCAGCTAATTTTTGTAATTTTAGTAGACACGGGGTTTCACCATGTTGTCCAGGCTGGTCTCGAACTCCTCACCTCAAGTGATCCACCTGCCTTGGCCTCCCAAAGTGCTTGGATTACAGGCGTGAGCCACTGCACCTGGTCTTGCATTCCTTTTTTAGCTATTAATATTATTCCTTTTGTTTCATGATTAGTATTGAATGTAATTTTGTCATGTAGAGAAGGGAAGTGTTAAAAAATGATCTGTCCCTGTGTGGAATACGCCAGGCATGTCACTGTTTCAGGAGAGTATTCCCCAGCCCTTCCTGGCTGTGGGTGCCAGTGGTCAGAGCAGGTCTGTGGGCCAAAAAGTGCAGATATGGTTGGAGCTGAGCTTGCATGCTCAGAAATGGGAAGAGTCACAGGTAGCGTTGCCAGAGATAAAGAGAGAAAATAAACACACACACACACACACACGCATAGGCACACAGGGCCTTCATAAATTAATAATTTATTAATTTTATTATTAAATTTCAATATTGAATAAACAATAAATAAAATTTTCAGATAAGCGTGTCCCATGCAATATTTAGTATGTATTTATACTAAAAAAAAATCCAAATTTAGGCTGGGTGCCGTGGCTCACACCTGTAATCCCAGGGCTTTGGGGGATCAGTGCAAGAGGATCTCATGAGCCCAAGAGCACGAGGTTACAGTGACCTATGAAAGTAAATTAATAAATATCCCTAATCAGAGTTCACTGGCAACCTGTACAATCTGTATTTTTTAGTTGGGGTCTTGCTGTGTTGCCCAGGCTGGAGTGCAGTGGTGGGATCATGGCTCACTTGATCTGCATTTCATCTGGCAATCCTCGTGGTGGGGACACGGGCAGGGCAGTGACTGCCAACGCTGCACTACCTCCACTTAACATTCAGGAGTTTTCACAGGAGAAGTCCGAATCTCCATGGTCACCCGAGAGAGCAGTTTGTGGTATGGCAAGCCACATTCCTGCAGCTCTTGGCTGGAGCTGAGACAAGGCTGCGGCTCAGGAGGGCCTGAGCCTCTGCAGACCACAGCTGCTTCCCCAGCGCCTGCCATCAGGGGAGGACGGGGTGACCACAGCAACGTCAGGAGGAGTGGAACTCACCTGACCACTTACCACGTGCCAGGCACCACGGGACATGCCTGACACGGGAAGGCATCCTTAACCACTCATCTCTGTGGTTCAAATGTGCTATTCTCCTACCCATTCTACAGATGAGGAAACTGAGGTTCTGAGAGGTTAAGTGACTTCCCTGAGAGCACACAGTGAGTGGTGGGGCTGGGAGTCAAGCCCGCAGCTGTCAGACCCTGGAGCGAGGCCAGAGGAGGAAGGAGAGGGATGGGAGAGACCGGGCAGGGGGTGGGCTGCAAGGCTCCAGGACCCCCGTTAGAATCCAGGAAGCACAGGAAGCCATTGTCTCCCCTAAGGCTGTGATTTTTTCCAGCCCTTCCATACCCCTGTGGGTCTCATGGCCCCCACTCCGTTGGCCATCTCCCCTAAATCCCCGAGGCCTTAGGGTCTTGATGTCAGTTCCAAGGGGCTGGTGTGAAAGGCCTTGAGGTACAGCCAGGTCTCAGAGGATTCCAGAAGCCCCCAAACCTTCCAGTCCAAAGGAGGTGCTCTGAAAGCGCAGGGGGGCAGCCCGAGGCCACATGTCCCGAGGCCACACACACTGCTGGGCTCCCCTGACAGCCTCTGCCCCGCCAGTCTGAGGTGTGGAGGATGTCTGGATAAGGCACCAAGGCCATTGGGCAGAAGTCACCATGCCAATCCCCACAGACGTCAGCCAGCCACTAGGGGCTCACCCTTCAGGTGAACACCTGCGGGTGCCAGGCCTGTGCGCAGCCAGGAGGGAGCCCACAGGTGGGAAGAGGTAGTGCAGGCTCCTAGCAAGACAGGAAAGCTGCGGAGTCTGAATGACAGCTGCGAAGGAGGCCGAGAGCCAGAGGCCTCAAGCCTGCTCCTGGAGCTGCTCTCTGCTCACACACAGCAGCTAAGGCCAAGCAGGAGCTCAAGGGGCCTGGTCCCTCTCCCACCAGAATCCCCCAGAGAGCAGGGCAGTCTGGCTTTCCAGCGGGGCTTGGGCAACAACTTCCTCCCAGGGAACTCACATTCTCACACGGCAGTCCCTTCTGGAGCCCAGAGCCAGCCGGTCCAAGCATGCACAGTCCAGCTCTCCCTCAGCTGGCCCTTTGACCTTGAGACCCATGAACCCTGTTCGCCCTGCTGCACTGCCTTCCAGAGGTAGAATTCTTGGATTCCAGCTTACCCACACACTGTTCAACCCAGCCCCTGATGTCACAGACGAAGAACTGGAAACTCAGAGAGGTTAGGGGGTTTCCCAAACCCACACAGTGGACCAGGGTCCAGACTGGGCTTCCCGCCAACCAAGGACCATTTGGTTTGTAGCAAAATGCTAGTGACACGTAAGTCCTGGATGGAATTCTGTCTCCCTGACAGGGGGCTTCCTAGCAGTGCCACTCTCCTCTCCTCTCCATCTTGCCACCCGACCAGTCACGCTGAGCTCAGGACTTGGGGATGACTCATACCCACTGTCTTGCAACACCTTTACCTGAAACATCCCCACTCCCACCTTGCCTTAGCTCCAGCCCAGCCATAAAACACAAGAGGCCCCTTTCATGAGAGGGTCACCTGCCTACTGTCCCTTGCAGACCGGGGAGCTCCCTGATCAGTGTTTCCTGTATCCTCAGTGGCATCCTCTCATTCAGTATGCAGTAGGAGCATAATAGCATTGAGTGAATGAATGAAATAGGATCTAAAGTCACTTTTGGTGGGAGTGGTCAGAGAAGGCGCTGGGGAGGGTGTGGCCTTGGAGCCAGGTGTGAATCATAGGTAGGATTTTAATAGCCGAGAGCAGAGAGGAGGGCATGTCAGGTGACGCACAGGTGAGCAAAGCCCCAGCGCGGGAGAGCATAGGTGTTGCCAGGGAAATGGCACCCAGGGGAGGGCTTACTCGATTAGATGATGTCTATCAGGCTTCTCCAGTGCAAAGGTACTATTTTCCCCTTTGTCATGAATAAGTATTTTTGAGATTATGCCATTATTCCATTGCTCAGCACATGTTCAATTGATTCATTCATTTGCTTATATCTGCAAGGACTTATGCTTTCCTATTCCTTCTTTGGGTTACAGTCTGTTATTACGATTGTTTATGTTGATGCTCACAGCATCCCAATTTTGCCAATTCAGGGTGGCTTCTGGATATCTGTGACACGTCCCAACCCTTCTTTGAGGCCACCTGATTTCATGGTGCAACACAGGATTCCAGACGCTTCCTCCAAGGAGCCTGATGGAGGACAGCATGACAGGCCAAGATCTGGGCGGGCACTGTGCTCATGGCTGCTGGGGGGACGCTGCTTGTGGCCCTCTCAGCGAGCAGAGCCACCTACCCACACATGTGTTTTTGTATCCACCTATGTGTGTGAGTTCAACCCAGGCCTCCCACACCAAGTGAGCACCTGAGAATTCATCTGGTTTATCCTTTTCTGACTTGGCGACGCCACCCACAATGAGTGCTCTCATTCCTGGCACCCTCACTAATAATACTTTACCTGTTATTGGGCCCTGAATGGCACCATCTTGGGCTCAGCTGCTGCCCCTCCCTGCACAGACCCCCAGGCCTGGCTGTCCTGCCGCATCCCTGGGCCTGTCCACCCAAGGCACTTGGCCGGGTCCCTGGAGGAGCAAGCTGTGTTCCGTTTCTGCAGCTGCCATGGAATGCTGGGAACAAAACGTCCCCAGGGGAGTTCCGCTTTGGGTGGTGAGTTTGGTCTTCCAGGCAGATCAACAGAGGACGGCGATGCTCCCATCCTGTGACCAAACAAGGGTATTAATTGCGGAGAAGACTCTCTTATTAACTCCTGCCATCCATGGGATACGCAAGCTGTGCAGACGAATCTCTCTTCTCTCTTCTCTCTCTCTCTCTCTCAAAAAGCAAACACCCCTCAGGGGTGGTAATTCTTTAAATGAGGAGAGGAAATGAAGGAGGTGCCAGGCTCCTCCCTTGGCTGTGGGTGGAGAGTCAGCTCTACCCTGGGCCTTCCCCAGGGGGTGCTGAGATAGAGACTGGGGGCTGACTGCTGGAGGGGGGCTGGAGCCCCCCAGACTCTTCGCCTACTTGCCCAGCTCTGCTACTGCCTCCTGGCGAGGACTTAGGCATTGCCACCATTTGGCCTCTCCGCATCTGAACATGAGGGTGTTGAGCCCCTCAGAGCTCCCCTGTGACTGCTCATATTATTTTGGACACAAAGATGAGTCCCGCTCTTTCCCTGACACGGCCGGCTCGACTCCGCCACGCCAGAGTCTTTGAGGTCCTTGAGGTCAGAGGGCTTGGGGACTGCCAGCTGCTGTCTGAATGGCTTCTCTGAGAGCAGTTGTCCCCTCTGTGAGATGTGCCAGCTGTTAGGCTGTTGTGCGGATGAGCTGAGATAATGCGGATAGAAGCGCCCAGCATATGCTGACACAGGGATTATCAGCGTTCAACAAATGGAAGCCAGGATCATTTGAAACCCAGCCAGATGCTATAGGAGTCCATTTGGATGCAATGTCCAGAATAGACAAATCCGTGGGGACAAAAAGCAGATTGACGGTTGCCAGGGGCTGCAGAGGGGGGATGGTTAAAACGATACATTTCATGTGGCGTGTATTTTACCTCAATTCAAAAAAGAAAAATCCAGCCAGAGACAGAACGGCATGGTCCCCAGGAATCAATCTTTGTGGACTGAGAGGATGCTGAGGTCAGAGTGTCAATTCTCTAAATGGTTTTCAGCCATGTGTGAGGCTAACTGTCAGGGGCTCCTCTCGGCCTAGGGTGGGGACACACATCATCCTCTCTTCCTTACCTTGCTGGCAGGGCCAGGCCTTGCAGTGTCTTCCCAACACACGTCCACACCTGAGTTCATTCAGACCTCCACTCCTGCACAGCCTGCACCCTCTCCAAAGCAGGGAGGGTGAGGAGGGGGTGCAGTGCAACGCTCAGGCTCCGATGCAGGTTGCGGGTGCTGGTCGCTGCCCTGCCTGAGCCCTGAGCAGGCTGAGAGCCCCTCTCTCCGCACTGGTGTTTCCAGTGCTAAAGTGGGAAATGGACGGATGTTTTCCAAAGTCACTTCTTGCACCTGAGTTCACCCAGGGCCCATGGGTGGCTCAGGCCTAATGACCCACTCCCCATGTACAGGGCATTAGTGCTGTTCTAGAATGTGCCCACCCACAGCTTCGTGGGCTGGGACCTGTGCAGGGAGAAGGGCCCCTGCTATCCCTACCTTCAAAATCTTTTACATTTTTGAACAAGAGGCCCTACAGTGTCATTCTGCACCAGGCCCTGGAAATTATGTAGCTGGGCCTTGGGGACCTTCTCAATGAGGACAAGTACTGTGTCCCCAGCCTGTGAACAGTACCTTGCCCACAGCACAGGTTGGGTGTGTGTGGACTGGATAATAAACTTTCAGGTTCACTGCGAGGGGTGCCTCCCCACTGGTGCTCCCAGGGCCTGGCCTTCCTGGTGACCCCATGGACCATGGGAGGGAGGTGAGGTGAGGTATGGATGCTGCCCGGGCTCCTGATGCCCTTAGCATGGGAGGTAAGGCAGGGTCCCGAGAACTGGGCATCGAGGTGTTCCCCTGCCACTTGCAAAGCCCTCTAGCCTGGCTGCATGTGGGATTCAGCCAGGAGGAGTGCTGGAACCCGGTCCCCAGAAGGGACCGTGCAGGGTCAACCTCAGAGGACTGCCCTGCTGGAGGAAGGTGCCCCAGGAGGTCCGGGATGAAGGAGAAGGAAGCTCAGTAAAGAGCCCAGGTAGCCCCAAGAAGATGACCAGGTGTGGGAGGGAGGCTTGGCTTGGCAGGGGAGCGACTGTGAAAGTTTAGTGACGCTGGTTTTATCTTGCTCTAGTTTCTCTAAGACACCCACGGGCGTTGCAAAACCATCTTCCACTCAATCATCCATGTCTTCAGCTACAACCCCAAGAGTGCTCGAAAGCAACCCACGGTGTGGCAGTTCCTCAAGAGGTTACAGGCCTTTCCGCTCGGCTGTTTTCCTGCTCAGGAGCCGCAGGGCCGTAGGCAGCCATGACGCCCAGCCGGAATGGCATGGTCTTGAAGCCCCACTTCCACAAGGACTGGCAGCGGCGCGTGGCCACGTGGTTCAACCAGCCGGCCCGGAAGATCCGCAGACGTAAGGCCCGGCAAGCCAAGGCGCGCCGCATCGCCCCGCGCCCCGCGTCGGGGCCCATCCGGCCCATCGTGTGCTGCCCCACGGTTCGGTACCACACGAAGGTGCGCGCCGGCCGCGGCTTCAATCTGGAGGAGCTCAGGGTGGCCGGCATTCACAAGAAGGTGGCCCGGACCATCGGCATTTCTGTGGATCCGAGGAGGCGGAACAAGTCCACGGAGTCCCTGCAGGCGAACGTGCAGCGGCTGAAGGAGTACCGCTCCAAACTCATCCTCTTCCCCAGGAAGCCCTCGGCCCCCAAGAAGGGAGACAGTTCTGCTGAAGAACTGAAACTGGCCACCCAGCTGACCGGACCGGTCATGCCCATCCGGAATGTCTATAAGAAGGAGAAAGCTCGAGTGATCACTGAGGAAGAGAAGAATTTCAAAGCCTTCGCTAGTCTCCGTATGGCCCGTGCCAACGCCCGGCTCTTCGGCATACGGGCAAAAAGAGCCAAGGAAGCCGCAGAACAGGATGTTGAAAAGAAAAAATAAAGCCCTCCTGGGGACTTGGAATAAAAAAAAAAAAAAAAAAAAAAAAAAAAGGAGGTTACATACAGCTTTCCATCTGGCCCAACAACCCTACTTCTGGGTACATGCCCAGAAGAATTAAAGACAGGTATTCAAACCAAAACTTGCACACAGATGTCCATAGCAGCATTAATCACATTCACTAAAAGGTGGAAATAACCCAATGTCCATCAAAAGACGAAGGGATAAACACAATGGTGTGTATCTAGGCAACGGAACATTAATCAAAAAAAGGAAGTTCTGGTACATGCTACAACATGGGCACCATATGGATGGATCTGGGAAACACAATGCATGGTGAAAAAAGTCGGTAGATTCCATTGATAGAAAATGTCCAGGAAAAGGGGCCGGGCACGGTGGCTCACACGTGTAATCCCAGCACTTTGGGAGGCTGAGGCGGGTGGATCACTTGAGGTCAGGAGTTTGAGACCAGCCTGACCTGTAACATGGTGAAACCCTGTCTCTACTAAAAATACAAAAATTAGCGAGGCATGATGGTGTGTGCCTGTAATCCCAGCTACCTGGGAGGCTGAGGCATGAGAATTGCTTGAACCTTGGAGGCAGATGCTGCAGTGAGCCAAGATCGAGCTGCTGCACTCCAGCCTGGGCAACAGAGCAAGACTCTGTCTCAAAAAAAGAAAAAAAAAAAAAGTCCAGGAAAGGCAAATCCACAGAGATCAGCCATACCAAGCTTCATCACTTAACTTGCTGTGTGACTTTAGGCAAATCATTGAATCTCTCTGTGCCTACAAAATAGATATGCTGATAATAAAGCTATTTTGGGGGCTTGTTGAAAGAATTAAATGAGCTAATACTTGCAGAGCACTCAGAGACATGCCGGTTCATGGAAAGTCTCCTGTGAGTGTTGGCACTTTTCATTTTTAACTAGATTTTCAGGAAAAGCTTCACTGAGACGACATCAGACCTTGGACCTTGCAAGACAAATAGGTAGGGAGAGGGGCTCATGTTAGCCATGATCCACTGCAGACCAAGTTCTGGCCAGGGCTTCTACAGCCTTCCTCTTGGGGAATTCCCCCTAACAACTGTAAACTGGCTGATCTCATTGTTCTCAGTTTACAGAGGAAGAACTAAAGCTCAGAGAGGTTAAGAAACTTCCCTAGGGTCACACAGTTTACAAGTGGCAAAGCAAGATTTGCACTAAGTCTGTCTCAATGCCAAGCCTTCCTCCATAGCCTGTCGAGAACTCCTGGGGTGGCAGTTTCTTTGGAGCGATGATGGTTATTGTTCAAAGTTTCTGCAATCTAGTTACCTATGCTTTTTGCTTTTCCTTTACTTTCTTCTTCTCTCTTTTCTTTCCGTCTCTGTGTCTCTCTTTCATTCTTTCTTTTTCTTTTTTAATCCCATAAAAGGAGGAAGCCCAGTAATTCTACTTCTAGGCATTTATGCAAGAGAAATGCAAACATGTCCACACAAAGACTCACACACAAATGTTCACAACAGTTTTATTCATAACAGCCTCAAACTGGGAACAACTCAAAGGGTCAACAGATCCACGGGTAAATGAGCAGGCTCTATTCATGCAGTGGCTTACTACTTTGCAATAAAAAGGAATGGACTACCAATACCCAAGAAAACATGGATGAATCTCAAAATAAACATGCTTAGCAAAAGAAACCACGCCCCCTCCCCCGCCAAAAACAAAAACAAAAAAACATACTGTATGGCTCTATTTACATGAATGTCTAGAACAGGCAAAGCCAAGCGATGTTGGAAAAAAAAAAGACAGCAGCTGTTTCTAGGGACTGGAAGGAGCAAGGGTGAACTTTCCAGGCAACGGTGACACCCTCTGTCTTGAAGAGCTTGAGCCTCACATGTGTGTGCATTTGTCAAGATGCATTGATTGCTACCCTTAAAATTTGTCCATTTCATTATGTATAAATTTCACCCTAAAAAAAAAACAGTTAACAAATACTGAACTCCAGTGAGTGACGTGCATGCTAGCCTGTCTCGGGGTGCGGTGTCCATCTGCAACTTATTTTGCAATACATCAAAAATTTGATGGACAGATGAAGGGGCAGAGGGGCAGGGGGCAGACGGTACAGTTGTAGGTGGTGGCTGCAAAGGTGTTCTCTGTATTATCCTTTCAGCTTTTCTCATGTCTGCAAATGTTCATGATATAGCGCTGGGAATAGGGAAGGGAGGGGAAGAAAGGTGGGAAGGACAGGTTGTCCCATGCCTGGTCTCCTCCCTAGGGACCCAAAGCCTTTTCTCACACGCATAGGGGACCCCTGCATGTGCTCTAGAGACTCAGACCCTTAGAGCTCCCCAAGAGACTAATGGCACCTCCTTTGAGCTTGGCAAAGGCCCTGAGGAAGGGACCCCACAGGCTTTCCCCACGGGAGAAAAACACTCCTGGCAGCCTCAGGAGGCCGGTGGAGGCAGAGCAGCCCACTGTGGGGAAGCCTTCTTTCAACCTCTCTCCCCACTGCCTCCCCCTGTCCTGCCTGACGCCCAGGGTTTCTGCCACACAACCCTCAGGACAGAAGCAGAGACCGTGAAGGCTGGAAGCGCACTCAGGGGTCTCCTCTTCTTACCCAACCTCCACATTTTGCAGATGGGGAAATGGAGGCGCAGGCTGGGGCCTCATCTCTCTTCACCTCCTGACGAATGGGGTCCCAGAGCATCTCCCTCAGTATCGCTGGGAGGATGACCAGGGCCCACAGTGCCGAGGGCGGCTGATGGAGCATGTGCTGTTGTTGCTGCCCATTTTGCAGTTGAGGCTCAGAGCCTTGCCCAAGGGTGCACACCAGGCAGCAGAAGCAGGGTCTGAACACTGAGCAGAGGTGAACAGGAGGGGGCTGATGGTGGAGGGTGAGCTGTGGGGAGTGCAGTACCTTACACTCGGGTTCTAGCCCAGAGGAGGGGGAAGGGCTGGGCCTGAGGACAGTGGGGAGCTTGTGCCCCCATCCTGGGGCTCTTGACGAGCCATCAGCGCTGACATTTATAACTGTGCCTAATGTGCCGGCTGAACCCGAGGGAGCCTTTCCCTCTCTAATCTGCTGGCATTACCCAGCCTTGAAATTATAGCAATTACCCCCAGAGCTGGGTAAATGGCTGTGGGAGGAGGGGAAAGCTTCAGCCCTCTACTCACGGAGGTCGGGAGTCGGGTGGGGCAGGCACTCAGGTTCGCTCTCCCTCCCTCTTTCTCTCCCCGCCTTCCTCCTCCTGATCACCTCTCTCAGGCCCCTCTGGCTTTCTTCATTCTCATTCTGTCCTCAATACACAGCCCTTAATAGACTCATCATTTGTCTACTGGAGAAACTGAGGCTGAGGCTTACGTGTGCTGCCCAAGGTCCCCCAGGAAGGAATGGAGCCAAGATGCACATCCAGGAGCTCTGACTGTAAGTCCCAGAAACAACCCCATGGAAACAAGTGCAGCCCCCTCCACCTCACCTGCTGCGGCCCTGGGCCTCTGAGGTGGGCAGTGGGAGGCAGAGGCACATGGGACTGTGAGGCAGACAGCCGGCTGCAGCGTGCCCTGGTTAGGGACCTAGCCCAGGTGGCTGCCTCCGCCTCCACGTCCTCATGTGTAAACAAATGTTCATAGCAGCACTGTTCTCAATATCCAAAAAATGGAAACAACCCAAGTAGCCATCAACAGATGAATGAATAAACAAAGCGTGGTCTCTCCAGACAATGGACTATTATTCAGCCATCAAAAGGAATGCGGTTCTGACGGGTGCCACAAGGGCAGACCTTGAGAACATGTTGCTGAGTGAAAGAAGCCAGACACAAAAGCCCACATGGTGTGTGATTCCATTTGTATGAAATGTCCAGAACTAGCAAATACAGAAACAGAAAGCGGATGGTGGTTTCCTGGAGCTGGGGGGATGGGGAGTGGAGAGAGGGCTGGCTGAGGGGAGAGGTTTCTGTTTGGGATGATGAAAATGCTAAAATGGATCATGGCAATGGTTGCACAAGTCTGTGGATATACCAGAACCCATGGAATTGTATGCTTTATTTATTTATGTATTTATTTATTTACTTTTCTTTTTTTTTTTTCGAGACGGAGTCTCTCTCTGTCACCCAGGCTGGAGTGCAGTGGTATGATCTCAGCTCACTGCAACCTCCGCCTTCCAGGTTCAAGCAATTCTCCAGCCTCAGCCTCCTGAATAGCTGGGATAATAGGTGTCCGCCACCACGCTGAGCTAATTTTTGTATTTTTCATAGAGACGGGGTTTTGCCATGTTGGTCAGGCTGGTCTCAAACTCCTGACCTCTCACCTAAGGGTGATCCCCCCACCTTGGCCTCCCAAAGTGCTGGGATCACAGGCATGAGCCACTGCGAAGCTGAAGCGAGATGAAGTCAGATGATTTAGGGAAGATGAAAGGAGAGGGCCCAAGCTTGGGCTTAGTCCGGTGTCCAGCCTGCAGAAGGCACTTGATGACTCCACCTGTGACCTCGCTGCTCGGAGTGTGGGCCTGGGACCTGCAGCAGCACCTGGGACCTTGTTAGAAATGCAGAACTGTGGCCCCAGCTCAGACTGCAGCCGAATCTACTTTTTTTTTTTTTTTTTGAGATGGAGTCTTGCTCTGTCGCCCAGGCTGGAGTGCAGTGGCACGATCTCGGCTCATTACAATTTCCACCTCCCAGGTTTAAGCGATGCTCCTGCCTCAGCCTCCCTGGTAGCTGGGGCTACAGGCACACACCAGCATGCCCAGCTTTTTGTATTTTTAGTAGAGACAGGGTTTCACCGTGTTAGCCAGGATGGTCTCGATCTCCTGACCTCGTTCGCCCGCCTTGGCCTCCCAAAGTGCTGGGATTATAGGCATGAGTCACCGCGCCCAGCCCCAGAATCTACATTTTAATACAATGCCCAGATGAGTTCTGTCCATGTTAAAGTTTCAAAAGCACTGAACTGCGGTGATAATTCTGTCACTATTCTAGCACAGTGATTCTCAAATTTGAGGGCTGGTTAAAACTTAGATGGCTGGACCCCACCTGCGGGATTCTAGTTCATAGGTCTGGGGCTGAGCCTGAGACTCTGCATTTCACCAATGCTGCCAGTCTGGGAACCCGCTTGAGGGCTCCTGCTCCAGGGTCTAAGAGGCTACCCAGGTGTCTCATTCAAGCATGGGATCTAATAAGGTACACCTGCCTAATTCCCTGTAGGGCCTGGCTAACCAGCAGAGAGGGCATGAACGGGACAGGCCCTGGGGACCAGTGGGGCTCAGCCCTGGGTGCACATGAGCCAGTGGGTGAGCTTTTACGGTCCCCATGCTGGGACCCCACTCCAGACCAACCGATTGGAATCTCAGGATCTTGCCTGGGCATCAGCATTTGGAAAGCTCACCTAGTGGCTCCCGCAGGCAGCCAGGGGTGAGACCCTAAGGTGCTGCCCAGAGGGTAGGTGATGTCAGCCATACTCTCGCCTCACCAGGGAGGGAGAGAGTAAAGGGAAGGGAACTCAAGGCACAGGGCCAAGGCCAGTGTCACAGACACATGCAGGCCTGGAGCCTGAACACCTGCTTCCAGTCCCCAGAACATACCAGATCTGACCACCCTGGGCGGAGGTGGAGACGCAGGTTACACCACAGCGGTGGTGCCCTTCTGGGCTCCAAATATGGAAGAGATTTGGGGATAGGCGGAAGCCCTGGAACAGAGCTAACCAGAACAGGTTGGACTGAAACGCAACCGCCTCTGCCTCCACCTGCCCCTGCAGAGCACCTCAATAGTGCTCGGCTGCCTCCAGCCCACTTATAAGCTCCCACTAAGAACCGCTCTCTTCACCTGCGTCACCAGGCTGTTTTTCCCCATTAAGGCCCTACTTACATTATGGAGACTCTCAACAGAGCTCTTTAAGACAGGATTTGGTTAAAGCCGTCCTGCGTCTAATGGGCTCCGGGCTGGGTAGGGGCACTCTGGTGCTAATTGCCTATTAGTCCATTTTGAGTCCACTTTGCAGCCAGGGACATTATTTTTGCGGCCGGACACAACTGGTTTCTCTGGAGCTCACTGCTCACTCGCCTTTGTCTGCCCCTATTTATCTGGAAGATCAGTGGCTCCGATGTTCAGGCTGCTGGGGAACTTCTCAGAGATCCTGTCCCTGCTGGTTTCTGCAGGCCTCTCTCAAGCCAAGGCACTTCCGTGGAAAGCTGCTGGCTTACTGGAAGGCAGAGAGCAACTCATAAAAAAGAGGTGCCCGGCGCCCCGGGCGGTAGAGCACAGGCAGGAGGACAGAGTCTCCTGTATAAATGAATAGAAACTGGGTTTAGGCATCACAAACTTTCTGTCGGGGAGTGGAGACCCAAGGAACCACTAGTTCATGCAGCCCCTTTGAACAAATTAGGAGACTCCTCTTTCTTGGGAGCACAGCTTGGTGGGAAGAACCCAGGCTAATCTCAGCTACCCTTGCTCCTCAAGGCAGGCAACTTTTGCAGTGCACAACCTAGACAACTGCACAGGGGGTGTTGTGGCCATTCCTGCCTCTTGTACTCCTGACACCACAATGGCACTGCAAACAGGCAGGTGGGACCATTAACATTGCTTGTCGACCAAGCATGCTCTTGTCAACCAAGCACTCCTCAATAAGTACTAATAATATAGCAGAGAAAGGTCTCCGCATTGCGGATCTGGTCTGTTGGCAGAAACAGATGAGAAAATTATCAGTTGTGAAGCAGACTGATGGGTGCAGTGCTTCAGGAAAAGCACTAACAGCTAAAACGTGCTGCACCAGGCTCTGTGCTAGGGCGCCAGCAAAAGTGCTCTTACTGAATCCTCTTGACAGCCCTGGAATGTAACACAGAACTTCCCCAGATGGCTCAGAGAAGACATATTTACAAAGTGACTACAGTCACACTTCAGAGATATTGCAAGTTTGGTTCTAGACTGACGCAATAAAACAAATACACAATAAAGCAAGTCACACCAATTGTTGGTTTCCCAGTGCACAAAAGTTATATTTACACTATACTGTAGTCTACTAAGTGTGCAATAGCATTGTGTCTAAAAAACAAAGTACATACCTTAATTTAAAAATACTTATTGCTAAAAATGCTAGTGATCATCTGGGCCTTCAGCGAGTCATCGTCTTTTTGCTGGTGGAGGGTCTTGCCTTGATGTTGAAGGCTGCCAACCGATCAGGGTGGTGATTGCTGAAGGACGGGGTGGCTGTGGCGACTTCTTACAATAAGACAACAATGAGGTTTGCTACATAGATCCACTCTGCCTTTCACAAAAGATTTCTCTGTAGCATGTGATGCTGTTTTACAGCATTTGACCCAAAGAACTTCTTTCACAATTGGAGTCAACCCTCTCAAATCCTGCTGCTGCTAATGTTATGTAATATTCTAAACCCCTTGTTTTCACTTCAACAATGCTCATAGCATCTTTACAAGGAGTAGATTCCATCTCAAGGAATCACTTTCTTGACTCATCCATAAGAAGCAACTCGGCTGGGTGCAGTAGCGAGCACCTGTAATCCCAGCACTTTGGGAGGCCAGAGCGGGCGGATTGCTAGAGCTCAGGAGTTCAAGACCAGCCTGGGCAATGGGCAAAACCCTGTCTCTACAAAAAAAACACAAAAATTAGCCAGGCATGGTGGCAAGCGCCTGTAGTCCCAGCTACTCAGGAGGCTGAGGTGGGAGGATTGCTTGAGCCTGGGAGGCAAAGATTGTAGTGAGCCAAGATCGCACCACGGCACGCCAGCCTGTGCAGAGAGAGACCCTGTTTCAAAAAAAAGGAAGCAACTCTTCATCTGTTCAAGTTGAACAGGTGAAGCAACTGATCATGAGATTGCAGCAATGCAGTCACATCTTCGGGCTCCACTTCTAATTCTCTTGCAATTTCCACGACATCTACAGTGACTTTCTTCACTGAAATTTTGAGCCCCTCAGTCATCCATGAGAGTCGAAATCAGCTTCTTCCAAACTCCTGTTAATGTTGATATTTTTTACCTCCTGCCATGAATTACAAATGTCCTTAATGGCGTCTAGAATGGCAAATCCTTTCCAAAGGTTTTCAGTTTACTTTGCCCAGACCAACCAAAACAATTGCTGTATATGGCAGCTATACCTGTTATGAAATATATGTGTTATGTAATAGGACTTGGAAGTCAAAATTACTCCTTGATCCATGGGCTGCAGAATGGATGTCGTGTTAGCAGGCATGAAAACAACATTCATCTCTTTATACGTCTCCATCAGTGCATTGTCAATGAGCAGGAATCTTCTCTTTCTGAGCAGGAGGTCTCAACAGTAGACTTATAATAGTCAGCAAGCCACACTGGAAACAGATGTGCTGTCATCCAGCCTTTGGTTTTCCATTTCTAGAGCACAGGCAGAGTAGATCTAGCATCATTCTTAAGGGCCCTAGGATTTGGGGATGGTAAATGACAGTTGCATTAGCCCCTAACAAGAGTTATACTATCCTTTTGAAGCTTTGAAGCCAGGCATTGACTTTCTGTACTCTAGCTATGAAAGTCCTAGATGGCACCTTCTTCCAATAGAGTGCTCTTTCATCCTCACTGAGAATCTGCTGTTTAGTGCAGCCACCTTCATCGGTGATCTCCACTAGATCTTCTGGAGAACTTGCTGTAGTTTTCTCCATCAGCACTTGCTGCTTCACCTTGCACTTTTATGTTATGGAGTGGGTTTCATTCCTTAATATGGAGTGGTTTCATTCCTCATGAACCAACCCGTGCTAGCTTCCAACTTTTCTTCTGCAGCTTCCTCACCTCTCTCAGCCTTTATAGAATTAAAGAGAGTTAGGGCCTTGCGTTGGATTAGGCTTTGGCTTAAGAGATATTGTGGCTGGTTTGATCTCTCCAGACCGCTCAAACTTTCTCCATACCAGGAATAAGACTGTTTCACTTTCTTATCATTTGTGTGTTCACTGGAGTAGCATTTTAATTTCCTTCAAGAACTTTTCCTTCGCCTTCACAACTTGGCTAAGTGTTTGGCACAAGAGGCCTAGCTTTCAGCCTATCTTGGCTTTCAACAGGCCTTCCTCACTAAGCTTAATCATTTCTAGCTTTTGATTTAAAGTGACAGACATCAGGTATGGTGGCTCATGCCTGTAATCCCCACACTTTGGGAGGGTGAGGCAGGAGAATCGCTTGAGCCCAGGAGTTCGAGGCTGCAGTGAGCTATGATCGCACCACTGCACTCCAGTCTGGGCAACAGACCGAGACCCTGTCTCAAAAATAAATACATAAAGTGAGAGACCCAAAACTATTCCTTTCACTTGAACACTTAGAGACCATTGTAGACTTATTAGTTGGCCTAATTTCGATATTGTTGTGTCTCAGATAATAGGGAGGCCCGAGGAGAAAAAGACAGAGAACAGCCAGTTGGTGGACTAGTTGGAACATATGCAACACATTAGTTCACTTTCTTATTGGTTTATGGTGCCCCCAAACAATTACAATAGTAAGATCCAAGAGGACTGGCCACAGATCACCATAACAGACACAATAATAATGACAAAGTTTGAAATATTGTGAGAATTACCAAAATGTGACACAGAGACACAAAGTGAACCCACGCTGCTGGAAAAAATGGCACCGATAGACTTGCTGGATGCTGGGCCACCGCCAACCTCCAATCTGTTCTTGTTTTTTTGTTTTTTTTGTTTTTTTTGTTTTTTTTTTGGGACGGAGTCTCACTCTGTCACCCATGCTAGAGTGCAGTGGCACGATCTCAGCACTCTGCAATCTCTGCCTCCCGGGTTCAAGCGATTCTCCTGCCTCAGCCTCCCAAGTAGCTGGGATTACAGGTGCCCGCCACCACGCTCGGCTAATTTTTGTATTTTTAGTAGAGATGGGTTTTCATCATGTTGGCTAGGCTGGTCTCAAACTCCTGGCCTCAGGTGATCCACCTGCCTCAGCCTCCCAAAGTGGTGGGATTACAGGCCTGAGCCACCATGCCCAGCCAAACCTCCAATCTTGTAAAAACAATGCAGTATCTGCAAACAGCAATGAAGCGAAGTGTAATAAGCAGGCCTGCCGGCATTTGCACTGCCCTAGGCAGAGGTAAGGGAACAGCCAAGAGGCGTGGAGGCCCCCAAAGGGCAGCAGCAGTGGGCAGCTACTACCCCCAGGGCTGCCCCATTGTGACCCTGTGAGAGGCCGGTCCCAAGCAGATACATCCCCCTCCCTCCCATCCCCAGTCTGTGCTGGGAAGCCAGAGACAGGGAAATGCAGGCTGAAGGGGCAGCATCCAGAACAGCCTGGAGAAGGGTGGAGGCTGCACATGTGGTGAACCTGTGAACCAAAAACTATCTGAGACAGGTCTCAGTCGATTTGGGAAGTTTATTTTGCTAAGGTTAAGGAGCTAAGATGGTGCTATGATCACGCATCCGTGACACAGCCTCAGGAGGTTCTGACAACAAGGTGGTCAGGGCACTCTTGGTTTCATACATTTCAGGGAGAGAGAAGACGTCAGTCAGTATGTGTAAGATGTACATTGGTTCGGTCCTGAAAGCAGGGACAACTCGAGGCCGGGGAGGGACTTCCAGATCATAGGTAGATAAGAGACAAACAGTTGCATTCTTTGGGGTCTCTGATTAGCCTTTCACTGAATACACAATTTACCTGTGAGAGGAGGGTAGAGGAATAGTCACTGATACCTTAGTCTGGCTCAGTGAAACAACAGGGCAAAGGAGGCGATCAGAGGTGCATTTGTCTCCGGTGGGCAGAAGGATGGCTTTGAGCTCTGTCCGTCCCTCATCCAAGGAATTTCCTTGTGGGCAAGTTGTGAGGGAGGTATGTAGCTTTTTTTTCTTCAACTTTTATTTTAAGTTCTGGGGTACATGTGCAGGATGTGCAGGTTTGTTACATAGGTAAACGTGTGCCATGGTGGTTTGCTGCAGAGATCAACCCATCACTCAGGTATTAAGACCAGCATCTATTAGCTATTCATTAGGATAAAGAAAGTGGGCTGGGCCCAGTGGCTCATGCCTGTAATCCCAGCACTTTGGGAGGCCAAGGTGGGCAGATCACAAGGTCAGGAGATTGAGACCATCTTGGCCAACATGGTGAAACCCTGTCTCTACTAAAAATACAAAAATTAGCTGGGCGTGGTGGCGGGCGCCTGTAGTCCCAGCTACTCGGGAGGCTGAGGCAGGAGAATCACTTGAACTGGAGGCGGAGGTTGCAGTGAGCCGAGATCGCGCCTCTACACTCCAGCCTGGGCGACAGAGCGGGACTCCGTCTCAAAAAAAGAAAGAAAGAAAATGTGGCATGTAGGCTTTTTTTTTTTCAATCTTTGTAGCCATCTTATTTAGGAATAGAATGGAGGCAGGTTTGCCTGACACAGTTCCCAGCTTGACTTTTCCCTTTGGCTTAGTGATTTGGGGATCCTGAGATTTATTCTCCTTTCACAAACCTTATTTTATAAATGAAGACATAAAGATGGCCCAGAGAGATTCAGTAACTTGCCCAGGGCTGCAGAGCTCCTAAGTGTTAAAGAAAGTGTCAAAGAATGAGCAGGCAGCCACCATGCCTAACAGCCCCCAGAAACACAGAGGGCTGTGGAGAGATGACTACTCTGAGGGGAGGTTTGGAAATGACTTTTCCCAGAAGCTGAGAGCCAAGGCCAAGTAGGGGTGGAAGGAGGGAGAGAGTGGAGTAAAACTCCAGGTAGAAGCATCAGCTTGTGCAGGAGCCTGAAGGCAGACAGAATGATTGCCACGTGGGGAGCCAGGCGAGTGTGCAAGGCTCCCAAACATTGAATGACCAGAGGTCACTCTTGTCGCCATTTTGGTTTTGGTGGGTTTTGGCCGGCTCCTTTACTGCAACCTGTTTTATCAGCAAGGTATTTATGACCTATATTTCATGCTGACCTCCTATCTTATCCTGTGATGATAAGCTGGTGACTGTCCTCCCCACCAGCTCCCATGTGCACATCTAGATGCAAGGGGCCCTGGGAAGTACGTTTCTGGCCCAGTATGAGGGAGATTCCTCAGACACACAAAGGGTGACTTAGAATGCCTGAACTGTCTGGGAATGCAGCACGGTAGGTTTCAGCCTCATTTTACCCAGCTCCTATTCAAGATGGAGTTGCTTTGGTTCAAACGTCTCTGACACTTCCAGAGCTGTAGAGGTAGGAAGCAGAGTTGTCAGTAAGACTGGGGGATTGGAACTGGGGAGGGAGAGAGGAGACAGGGTGACTGCTGGGCTTCACACTTGGGCAAGGGGAGGGATGTTTCCGATGGAAACAGAGGAGGAGTAAGCTTGGGGAGGAGGCAGGTATCAGTCAAGGTTCCTCCTTGCAACCCATGCCAGGCAGTTTAGGCATGTGAAGGATTAATGAAGGATAGAGTCAGCTCACAGGGTCTTCAAATGGCCCGGAGGGCAGGCCTGCAGCCAGAGGTCCATGCAAATCCCAGCCCAGAAGAGCATACCACCAGCACTGGGGCCAGATGCTGTGGTTGCCACTGGACCCTTGGCGTCTCAGCAGCCACCTGGCCAGGGCGGCTCACATGGTGTCTACAGATCCTCATGCAGGGCCAGTGACTGTCCTGCCTACCAGCTCCCGTGTGCACGTCTAGGTGCAAGGGGCCCTGGGAAGCACATTTCTGGCCCAGCATGAGGGAGATTCCCCAGACATACAAAGGGGTTCAAAAATGCCAGCCAGCCAAAAATCATGACTGGTGTTGACCAGACGAAAGAAGAGGCAAGTTCCACGTTGGCCCCATAGAGATGGAGGGGCCTGCAAGACCTCCAGGTGGAACGATTCAGTATTTCTAGGTGCATATACAGGAGAAGTCTGAGCCATGCCATCTAAGCCATTTTTCCTGGGAGATTTTAAGCAAAGCTTAAAATTACATGATGTTCTAACCCTCACTCAGGCCCTGGTTAAAAAGTATTGTGAGGCTCGGGTTTTGTGGATTTAGGAAATTGTGTATTCAGTTGTGGTCTGATTGATCTATTTTCTTTACTTTAAAAAAAAAAAAAAAGGGGCCAGGCACAGTGGCTCATGCCTGTAATCCCAGCACTTTGGGAGGCCGAGGTGGGTGGATCACTTGAGGTCAGGTATTCAAGGCCAGCCTGGCCAACATGGTGAAACCCCATCTCTACTAAAAATACAAAAATTAGCTGGGTGTGGTGGCACACACACCTGTCATCCCAGCTACTTGGGTGGCTGAGGCACGAAAATTGCTTGAACCCGGGAGGTGGAGGTTGCAGTGAGCCAGCCACTGCACTCCAGCTTGGGCGACAGAGTGACACTCTGTCTCAAAAAAAAAAAAGTTAGTCATGATTCACTGGCGTTTGGGTTTCAGTTGAGCTTCAGAAATTCAAATATTGATTCTTGGAGTCACAGAATTTCTCATGTGGGAAGAATCTTAGAGGGCCCCATTCATAACACAGAATTCACCACACGAAGGCCAGGGACCAGGGTGGAAGGGGGCTGGCACGGCGTGGCCCTCAGAGAGCCTGGACATGCAGACTTGGCTCTGCCTCTGAGTTTGTCTCCTTGTGTGTAAAATGTGGGTGAGAGTCCTCCCTCTGTGAGCTGGTCAGGATCTAATAAAACAATTAAAAGAGAGAGAGAGAGACAGAGAGAGAGACAGGGTATTGCTCTGTTGTCCAGGCTGGAATGCAGTGGCACAATCATAGCTCACTGCAGCCTCTAACCCCTGGGCTCAGGCAATCCTCCCACCTCAAGATCCCAAAAAGCTGGGACTACAGGCACTTACCACCATACCCAGATATTTTTTTTCTAAACTTTTTGTAGAGATGAGGTCTCACTATATTGACAAGGCTGGTCTCAAATTCCTGGGCTCAAGCAATCCTCCTGCCTCAGCCTCCCAAAGTGCTAGGATTACAGGTGTGAGTAGTTCTTTAAATCTCTGGCAGAATTCATCAGTGAAACCATCAATCCAGGACTTCTCTTTGTTGGGAGGTTTCTGATTACTGAGCCAATTTCCTTCCTAGTGAGGGGTCTATTTGGAGTTTCTATTTCTTTGTGATTTAGTTTTGATAGTTTGTGTATTTCTAAGAATTTCTCCATTTCATCTAGGTTATCCAATTTGTTGGCATACAAGTGTTCATAGCGTTTTCTTATAATCCTTTTTATTCCTGTAAAATCAGTAGTAATGTCCCTACTTTAATTTCTGATTTTGATAATTTAAGTTTTTTCTCTTTTTTTTCTTAGTCATTCTTGTTAGTTTTGTCAATTTTTGTTGGTCTTTTAAAAGAATCAACTTTTGTTTCATTGATTTTCTCTATTGTTTTTCTATTCTCTATATTATTTATCTCTGCTCTAATCTTAATTATTTCCTCTCTTCTGCTATTTGGGCTTATTCTGTTTTGTTTTTGTTTTTGTTTTCTAGTTCCTTAAGTTGTAAAGTTAGGTTGTTGATTTGAGATCTTTCTTGTTTTTCACCATAAGCATTTTTTTTTTTTTTTGAGACGGAGTCCCGCTCTGTCGCCCAGGCTGGAGTGCAGTGGCGTGATCTCGGCTCACTGCAAGCTCCACCTCCCGGGTTCATGCCATTCTCCTGCCTCAGCCTCCGGAGTAGCTGGGACTACAGGCACCCGCCACCATGCCCAGCTAATTTTTTTGTATTTTTTTAGTAGAGACAGGGTTTCACCATGTTAGCCAGGATGGTCTCTATCTCCTGACCTCGTGATCCACCCACCTCGGCCTCCCAAAGTGCTGGGATTACAGGCTTGAGCCACCGCGCCGGGCCTTCCCATAAGCATTTAACAGGTCGAAAATTCCCTTTTAGCACTGCTTTTGCTGCATTCCCCAAGCTTCAGTGTGTTGTTTTTGTTTTTATTCATACCTCTTTATTTTTTAAAAGTCATTTTATTTTATTTTATTTTATTTTATTTTATTTTATTTTATTTTGAGATGGGGTCTCACTCTGTCGCCCAGGCTGGAGTACAATGGCGCAATCTCAGCTCACTACAGCCTCCACCTCCCGGGTTCAAGCAATTCTCCCACCTCAGCCTCCCAAGTAGCTGGGATTACAGGGGCACACCACCATGCCCGGCTAATTTTTAGTAGAGACAGAGTTTTATCATGTTGACCAAGCTGGTCTTGAACTCCTGACCTCAGGTGATCCACCAACCTCAGCCTCCCAGAGTGCTGGGATGACAGGCGTGAGCCACAGTGCCCTGCCTGAAGTTATTTTAAATCCCATTTGAGCAGTCACTCACCCAGTCAGTGGTGTGGGATCTCCTGCCCTCTCAGACCCACAGAATGAATGAGAGCTTGGCCGTCCAGCACCACGTGGGTGAGTCCTGACCCTCCAGAGAGGAAGTCCAGCTGACATCACCCCAGTGTCTCTTGGCATTCAGCAGCATCAATCCCACAGTCTCCAAGGCCCCCAGAGCCCTGCCTGGCTCAGTCTTGGAGACACCAGAGCCCTATTCCTGCCTTCGCCATCATCTCGGTCAGAGGCCTCTCTGGGATGTCTCCAAGTACCTTTTCTTTTCCATCCCTAAAATCCAAAAACCTGATCGGGAGGGTGTAGATTCTCATCCCAGGGCAGGCAAAGTCCCTCCCTTGGGGGCTTCAAGCATAGGAGCAACTTCTCGGCAAGACTCTGTGCTCCGTCAATCAAAATGCATTTCTGAGCCCTGAGTTATGTGTTTCTATGCTTTTCATCCTAATTCAATTATACGTCTCTTTGAAGCCTCACTTGACTCCTCCTCCTGCAGGGCCTTAGAAGGTACTAAATAAATGTGTCCAAATGGCGGGTGATTAATGCATGGATGCCAGGGGGTCAATAGCAAACAGGGACTGGGGAGAGGAAACACCTCCAGGGACGGAGGACAGACGAGAGTGTGCCCCAGACCCCAGCCCCTCCGGCCTCCCTTCCCTCGCTGAGCCTTGGCAGCTTTGCCTGTCAGCCGTGCCGACTGCCCTACAGATTAGAACGCTGCGCTGATCCCAGCTCTGTGCTCAGTGGCTCCAGTACCTCGCATTCTACCCAGCATGTCATCTGCTCTGTGCACAAATTCTGGGCAAAGCAGGGTCACATATTACAACCAGGGCCCAGAGAGGTCCCAGACTCACACAGCAAGGAAGAGAGCCCCACATCAAACCCTTGGGCTGCTGTCCAGCTGGCAGCCCACGAGGGTCCCTGAGAGCCCGCCTGGGTCTTGGGTTGCTCCCCTGCGGGACATTTCCACAGATGCAGAGCTGCTGGTCACAGCAAAAGAGACGCAGTCCCTTCCCACCAGGAGCTGAGACTCAGGACAGGAGGTCCCGTCCTGGTGTTCTATGCTTTTCCCACCAAGAGGCTCAGCGATCCAAAACGTAAGCCCGGAAGTCGGAAGGGCCAGGGGTCATGCTAAGGCTGTGGCACAGATGACTCCCAAGAGCTCTCTTCCTCATCTGTAAAGTAGGATGCCTCCCCCGCACTCCCAGAGCAGGCAAAGTCTGTTCTCACCAACAGCTCCTCCCTGCAAAGCCAGGGCCTCTGCCCGAAGACTTCCCCTGGCCAAAGAACATGCTGCTGTGTGCCCAGGGCAAGCCCGAGGGCCTGCCTGACAGCTGACACCCCAGGAGCAGCCCTCAACTAACAATTGATGGAAGCAGATGGGTAAATCCCCAGCTCCCGTACCTCTGGGCTGGGATCACCTGAAGCATGCTGTGCACAGTCTCCCAGAGATCCCCAGAAGGACCAAACCCCAGTTACCCACAGCAGTAAGCTTCTCATCCCTGCACCCAGTAATCAAATTCCTTTTCCTTCACCATCTCACTTCTCCACCTCACCATCAGTGCTTCCAGGAATCAGCTTCCAAACAAACTTCTTGCATTCAACTCCACATCTCAGGGTCTCCATTTAGACACAGGAATTGGAATTATAATAAGAGCTAATGCTTAACTGAATGTTCTCGATATCCCAGTCTCTCAACAATAAAATGGGAAACATTTCACTCTTATTATTTGTTTGTATCATGTATCAGTCAGGAGAGGTCACTTTAAGCTACAGTAACAAACAACCCCCAAATCTCAAGGGCTTAATACCACTAAGGTTTGGCTTGATGGGAGTGGTTTCTCTCTTTGCAGATCTTCAGGGACCCACTCAAACTAACATGTTTCACCATCTTAAGACACCCCCATCTCAAAGGGAGGCTTCAAAGTTTGCCAAAGCAGGCAAGAGAGTAGCACACAGGCTTTTCCACCAGGAGTGGCATCGGTCACTTCTGTGCTCATTTCATTGGCCAAGCTACTCCACTCCAAAATCTCAACCCCAACTCTGGACCACAGCCAAGACTTCTGAGAGAAGACCCATCCTTGGGTCTGCACCAACCATCTCTGAGTCAGTTACTACTTCTGTGTAACAAAGCATGCAAAACTTAGCAGCAGAGACAACACTATTGTTTCTCATAATTTTTGTGCCTAAGGAATTACAGGAGGGCTCAGCCAAACAGTCTGTCGTGCGTTTGCGGTTCTGAGCCCCTGGCGGGGCATCTCTTCCTCCTGATGTTTATCTGTGTGGGCTTGTTGGACTTCCTCACAGCATGGCAGCTCGAGCAGCTGGCCTGCTTACGTGGCATTTCAGCAAACCAAGCAGAAGCTGCATTGTTTCTCACATTCTATTGCTCCTCAGCAAGTTACACATCCTCCCAGAATCAAGGGGAGAGACAGAGCCATGTGCAGAGGACATATGGGCTAGACAGATTACTGCGGCCACCACACCCTGCCAAGGAGGAACCCTGTGGGGGTGAACCCTGTGCCACATCCTCGAGGTGCCCCCTCTGCCCCGTGATGGAGAACTGAGAGGCACCAGCGGCCTGCATGACAAACTGCTGTCCCTTGCTGGGACTAGCTCAGAAGTCATGTTGCCTACGTAGTTGGCCCCACCCTACATGTCAATAATGGGTTTTTTTTGGTACTGGTACGTGTTCAGTTAGTATCTGGATTAGAGTACTTGAAAATTGGTGGCACTGAAGGAACTCCAAGTGTCATCAACCACATACATTTACCATGACATTAGATTCCTGCTACAGCTGTGTGAGGTGAGCCAGGAGGGCACTGCCACTCCCCCTTTTAAAAGATGTTAAGGCCAGGCGCGGTGGCTCACGCCTGTAATCCCAGCACTTTGGGAGGCCGAGGCGGGCAGATCACCTGAGGTCAGGAGTTCGAGACCAGCCTCAACATGGAGAAACCCCGTCTCTACTAAAAATACAAAATTAGCCAGGCGTGGTGGTGCATGACTGTAATCCTAGCTACTCAGGAGGCTGAGGCAGGAGAATTGCTTGAACCTGGGAGGTGGAGGTCGCAGTGAGCCAAGATCGCACCATTGCACTCCAGCCTGGGCAACAAGAGCGAAACTCCATCTCAAAAAACAATAAATAAAATAAAATAAAATATGTTAAAACTGATGCCTGGCACAGGTGACCCTGAATGTGAGCTGCAGATTAAAGACAAGGGCTGCCAACTTCTGTTCCCAAGACCTCCCCAACACCTTGCGAAGGGCTTGCAGGAGACCCTTCCTCCTAGTTAGAAAGTGGAGCTTTCCAGGGGAATTAGCCAGATGAAATGAGAAGGAGCAGGTGGGGAACAGAGGAGGGAGCCTGCCCCCACCACACCCATTCCCTGCAGAAAAACGGCTCTTGAATCACCCAAAGTCTAATGAGGGGAATCCAACTCATCCCAACTTCTCTTTTCACATAGTGGAAACGGAGGCACAGGAGGAGAAGGAGGCTGGCAAAGTTCACACAGAGGTAAGTGGCAAAGCTGGGGCCTGACTTGGGTTTCCTGGGACCCTGACCTTGCTGCAAAACGCTGCACCCTCCCGGGGATGGGGACAAAACGCATGTCATCCTGCTTTCCGAACAAAACAGAGGCACCAGGCTTTTACATGTTAAACATTTGGTTTCTTTTTAAACGTTTTCGTCAGCTGTCCTCTGGGCTTTAAAAATAGAGCCAGTCAGACGCAGGCAGGAGCTAAGTCAGGGAGCCAGCCTGAATATTCAGCTCCAGGGTACAAGAGCACCACGAAAGGGCAAAGCCTGATTAATTAACCCATGTCCCCAAGCAGACACAGAGCCGGCGCCTCGTTCCACTTCCTGTGGCTTCCTCCAGGCCTGGGAATCTGGGGAAGGGAGGCCCTGCCTGAAGAGAAGCAGGGTACAGTGTCCAGGCCCAGCAGGACCTAGGCCGAGTCTCTGGGATCTGGAAGAAATGGGTCAGAATTTCCCCAGTGAGGTGAGATGGGCCAGCTACCTTGGGTTTGCCTCTTCCAGGAAGCCCTCCAAGTTTTCAAAGTGCTTCACTTCCCAGGAGAGCCATAGAGAACTACTTTCTCTTTCTTCCTGCTGCTTGGCTCCTTCAAATACACACTTTGCCCCAACCAAGCGGCTGCCCTACCCCTCCCTGGAGTTCAAGGCTACAAAAGGGCTACAGGGTCCTTGACCTTGCCTAACCCTGGGTTTCCCCTCGTTGTGAGATTGGCTGGTTGGTTCTCACAGCTGTTTATTTACCCATCCTGCAGGTGCTCACTCTGTAGGGTGCAGACGAGGCTGAGAAGGGCGGGCTGTCACCTTGAGGGTGTTTATAATCACCCAGGAACAGGGGAACAGGGTGTGTGCATCACTGTGGCAGGAGGCTGATGACCCAAGATGCCATAACAAGATGAAGCCACAGGGGAGGGCCAGGCGGAGACAGGCGAGGCCAACAGAGCCCCTGCCACCTTGCCTGCTCTCTCACCTGCCCCGCCCCTGGCTGCTTGCACAGCCTCATGGACCTGCTCACTCCCTCCAAGGCCACCTCCCTCCTGCCCTGGGTTGTCACGCCCAACCCCCCTCTTCCCCATCACCACCACCTCCCCGGGCTAGCTGATTCCTACTGCTCCTTCATGTCCCATTTAAATCTTCCTCCCTTCCTTAGGAGGTGGCAACGAGTGAGTCAACAAGGAAGGGCTCAGGAGAGGACAGTCCAAGTTTAAGCAGAAGAGGCTCTTTGAGAGACCTGAGACTTAGAGATGCCATGAGAGGGCTGAGCTTGCACACAGGGTCAGGAGGAAGAGTGTCTGGGAGAGGAAAGAACAGGCACAGGAGCTTGGAGGGGAGCAGGGAGGCCCAAGAGGCGGTGCCAATGGACAAACGATGAGGACCATGGTGAGGACTTGGGCTTCTGCCCTAGTAAAGTGTGAGCCATGAGAGGGTTTTGAGCAGAGGAGGGAGGACAGTTGCCTTAGGCTGGAGGAGAACAGACCCTAGGGGGCAAGGGTGGGAGCAGGAGCCAGCTAGGAGCTGACCCAGGGCCACAGTGATGGCGGGTAGATCACTTGAGGTCAGGCATTCAAGCCCAGCCTGGCCGGTGAAACCCCGTCTCTACTAAAAATACAAAAAATTAGCTGGGCGTGGTGGCAGGTGCCTATAATCCCACCTACTTGGGAGGCTGAGGCAGAAGAATTGCTTGAACCCGGTAGGCGGGGGTTGCAGTGAGCCGAGATCGCGCCACTGCACTCCAGCCTGGGCGACAGAGTGAGACTCCGTGTCAAAAAAAAAAGAAAAGAAAAGAAATCTTATTCAGCCACTAAAAGGAAAGGCCAGGCACATACTACCAGGTGAATGAACCTCGACTCCATGATCCTAAGTGGCAGAAGCCAGCCGCGCAAGCCCACAGAGCACCTGATTCCATTTATACGCAATGTCCAGAATAGGTAAACCTATGAATAAGCAGGGTGGCGCAGGGCCTGGGGGAGGGGACAGGGAGTGAGCGCTGGTGGGTCTGAGTGGTGAAGTTCTGGAACAAGACAGTGGTGCTGCTCACACCACATTATGAATGACCACAATGCTACTGAATTGCACATTTTAAAATGGTTCAAATAGTAAATATGTATTTTGCCACAATTAAAAAAAAAATCAGCCCAAGGCACACCACCTGGCCATAGGCTGCATGAAGCCGTCCGGCCGTGCTGGTGCTTTGCAGGCTTCTAGGTGGAAGGGTGCTGGCTCTTCCTTCCTGGGAGTCACGCTGTGGGGAGGAGAAAGGGGGTTTTCTCAGCCATGAGGGGCTGGGGGAGGGCCAGCTGGGCTGCCACAGCCAGGCAGCATGGGGTAGGACCATGGCAGGGGTGTCCGGCCTCTCCCTGGCCCAGCCCCTCAGCCACCCCCAGCTGCAGGACCCTGGGTGAGTGGCCCCCTCTCTGGGCTCCAGATGCCTGTCTCAAAAACAGTGTGGGGCCAGAGAGGGCAGCTCCAGGGGTCTCTCTCTTCTTGTCCGAGAGCCTGGAACCAGATGTCCTCTGCTGACTCATGGGAATGTTGGAACTGCCAGCACAGGCTATCCCAGGACCGTCCCCCGGGCCACAGCAGCCAGCGTCCTCCCCACGCCAGGCCCTCAGACCCCATGTTCCCAATGCTGGGATATATCCCAATGTGTGAGGCAGTGCTTCTTAATATTTCCTGGATCACATGCTTCTTTGAGAATTAGAAAAACCAACCACACTCTTCCCAGAAGAGCACCCTGAGCAGAGTGAAGAGCCCATTTATGACGTGGAGATTAAGAGCAGCTGTGCAGCGTCAGAGGGCCCAAAGCCCAAATCCCGGCCGTGCTGGGACTCACCATGCCTGCGCATCTCAGGTTCTTCCATCTGTGAAGTGGGTGTGTTAATAGCAGCCACCTCAGGGATTAGATGAGATCATTCATGCACATCACTTAGGAGATGCTTGGCACTCAATGAATGTTGGCAAGCCCACACTCTGCAATCTTCCCAAAGAATGCCCCCTCCCAGCCTTCACCTCCCTCTCCCTGCCTCTCTTCTCCCCCTCCCTGCCTCTGTCCTCCCCCTCCCTACCTCTGTCCTCCCCCTCCCTGCCTCTGTCCTCCCCTCCGCGCCTGTCCTCCCCCTCCCTGCCTGTCCTCCCTTTCCCTGCCTCTGTCCTCCCTCTCCCTGCCCTGTTGCCCTGCCTTCCAAATGCCATCTCTCATATCCATCCTCATCCCCATTTCCACTGCCAGGGAAGCAATGGTGTTTGCACCTTGTTCTTCTAATCCAACAAGCTTGCCAAGCTTGCCAAACTCTTCATTTGTCCTTTTTTTTTCTTTTCTAATGAGATAATCATACTGTCTACAAAACAACTAACTTTATCTCCTCTTTTTCAATATTTCAATATTGTAACCAGTCCATGTATATCTGAAAATAACTCTTTTTTGAACTGTTCAAGTCTATCTATCTATCTATCTATCTATCTATCTTGTTAGAGAGTGGATATAGATTCTGATTAATTCTAGATGTTGGTAGAATAAGGTTAAGTAGGTGTGTGAAAATATTGAGGGAGGCCAGGCACGGTGGCTCACGCCTGTAATCCCAGTACTTTGGGAGGCTGAGGCGGGCAAATCACTTGAGGTCAGGAGTTCAAGACCAGCCTGGCCAACATGGTGAAACCCCATCTCTACTAAAAATACAAAAAATTAGCTAGGCATTGTGGTGCGTGCCTGTAGTTCCAGCTACTCAGGAGGCTGAGGCAGGAGAATCACTTGAACCCGGGAGGCAGAGGTTGCAGTGAGCCAAGACTGCGCCACTGTACCCCAGCCTGGGAGACAAGAGCAAAACTCCATCTCAAAAAAAAAAAAAAGCAAAAAAGAAAAGAAAAGAATAGAAAGAAAGAAAGAAAATGTTAAGAGAAATCTCCAGAAAAATGAAAATAGAACGTATAACTTGTAAACTATTAGAGGGAAAACTGAAATGGGAAAAATGAAATCAACCCAACAAATATCAGGAAAGGGAAGAAAAACAAAACATGGGAGATAGAAAACAAAAACTTATATAAAAGGAATAAGTTCAAACATTTCAATAATCACATGTAATAAATGTGAATGGGTTAAATTCACCTATTCAGGAGTCTCCCTAGACAAAAAACCTATAGGACCTATATAGATTTGAACAGTTTGAAAAAGAAATTGTATTACATCTGTCAATTTCTGAGAAAAATATATTAAGGTCTCTCGCTCTAATTGTAAAATTGTCCATTTCTCTTTATAGTTCTATCAGTTTTTGTGTTAAATATTTTGAAACTATGTTAAGAGCATAAGATTTCATCATTTTTATTTTGCTGGTAGATTGTCTCTTAGCAACATGAATTCAGATTTCCTTTTTTAATCAAGTTTTTGCCTTGAGCTCTGTTTTGTCTGATACTGATGTATGCTTACCAATAGCTTTTTGTTAGGACTTTATAAATTATATCTTTTTCTACTCTCCTATTTAGAACCTTCCTGGGTCATTAGGATTTATATGTGTTTTTTGAAGGCAGGATTTCTTTTCTTTTTTTTTTTTTTTTTTTTTTTTTGGTCTAGGGAGACTCCTGAATAGGTGAATTTAACCCATTCACATTTATTGTATGTGATTATTGAAATGTTTGATCTTATTCCTTTTATATAAGTTTTTATTTTCTATCTCCCATGGTTTGTTTTTCATCTCTTTCCTGATATTTGTTGGATTGACTTCATTTTTCCCATTTCAGTTTTTCCCTCTAATAGTTTATAAGTTATACATACTACTTCTACTTTTCTGGAGATTTCCCTTTACATTTTCACATACATACTTAACCTTATTCTACGAATATCTACAGTTAATTAGAATCTATATCCACTCTCTATCAAGACAAGAGCTTCAGCACACATTTACTCTCTACTGCTCCACAAACTCCTCAACACTTAAATTGATAATATCTAATATTTTAGTTGCAGATTGTTATTAATTTTCAAGCAATCAACACTTACTTAGATTTAATAAGTTTTGTTGGTTTCTTTGCTCATCATTGTTTCTTGTATTCCACTTCTTTTTTAAGACAGGGTCTTCCTCTGTCACCCAGGCTGGAGTGCAGTGGAGCAATCACAGCTCACTGCAAGCTCAAACTCCTAGGCTCAAGTGATCCTCCCACCTAAACCTCCCAAGTTGCTGGGACTACATGCAAGCACCACCACGCCCAGCCAATTTTGCTACTTTTTGTAGACATGGGGTTTCACTATGTTTCCCAGGCTAGTTTCAAACTCCTGGCCTCAAGCAATCCTCCTGCCTTGGCCTCTCAACGTGCTGGGATTACAGGTGTGAGCTACTGCACTCAGCCTCTGTTTCTTGGATTACTTTTTCTTCTTGCTAGGGCATATCATTTAACAATTCTTTCAAAAAGGAATTTTATCAATGCTAAACGTCTTAGACATTATTTTCCTTCAGGTTTTAAAGATAATTTCTTCTTTTTTTCTGGCTTCCTGTATTCCATTATTTTGCAAGTCGTCTGTTTTCAGTCTGAAATATTTAGAGTCTTTTTTATCCCCAGTGTTCTGAAATTTCAACATGTCTGTCCAGCAAAGGCTCCCTCTTCATTTATCCTGATAGGCACTGGCAGAGTTCTGGGACATTGCCAGTCTCAGCTCTGGAAAATTTCTTCCCCTGCATTCTTTTGGTTATGTCTTCTGGGACCAGAAAATGAAACTTTGACTCTGTCCTCCATGTATCCTAACTTTTATTCTGTGCTTTCCATCTCTTTGTCCTTTCATGCTGCCTTCTAGAAGTCCTTAACTCAATCCTCTTACTCATTTCTTTGCTCGTCAGCTGTGTCCATTCTGCTATTCATCCCATTTATGGAGTTTTTTCAATGACCAGATTTTAACTTTCTAGATTCTCTAGTTGATTTTTTTGGGGATCCAATAGCCTATCCCATCTCTCCAGGGATACTGAGTACACCTTTCTAAGTCCTCATCCTGGTGCCTTAACTCCCTTTCCTTGGGTGTCAATTCTCTCATTGAGGAGTTTGCTGCCTGTCATTCACAGGCTCATCTCTGTGTCTGAAGTTCATGGTTAGCCAATCTGCAAGCATCACAGCTCTCTCCCACAGCCTGCCCCACTCGTGGGGTAGCAGAATGCACCACCAGCCACTACCTAATGTTCTGTGCATGGGGGCCTCCATTCTCCCTAAACACACCAGCCTTCCAGGACAGTGCCTGCCCCTTCAAGCCTTGCACTCACATTACTTCTGATGACCACTCCCTCAAAACACAGATACCTGTGTTATCTGCTTGGTCTGGGTGTGTGTGTGTGTGTGTGTGTGTGTGTGTGGTGGTGGTGGTCAGGAAGAGGGTTGAATTCACCTGTGGCTCCTACTGAGTACCTTGAACAATCATCCCATCAGGGCCCAGGGGCCTACAGTGGCCCCAACTTTTCGCAGCAGCCAGCCCCCTCCCACCATTGGCCCCAGCCTCTTCTGCCTTTAAGGCCTTCAGCATAGTGTCTGGTCAACCAAGCGCACCAGTCTTGTTTTCAATGTGGTTGTGAATTTTAAAAACATATTTTTTGTCCCCTTAGAGGATTTGGGATGATGGGGGAGGCTTCAGTGTGAGTCACCTGCTACCCCATCCCTTTCTATTTCTTGCATGCCTCTGGGCATCTTAATCTCTGCAGCCTGAGGTGCTGGGCATCAGCCCTGGAGTCAAGCTGAGCCTGGACTGCACCTTCTCAGCATGACTTTTCACAGAATTGAAAGAGTCTAGGCCAGGCACGGTGGCTCACACCTCTAATCCCAGCACTTTGGAAGGCCAAGGCGGGTGGATCACCTGAGGTCAGGAGTTCGAGACAAGCCTGGCTAACACAGTGAAACCTCGTCTCTACTGAAAATACAAAAAATTAGCCGGGCCTGGTGGCGGGCACCTGTAGTCCCAGCTACTCAGGAGGCTGAGGCAGGAGAATGGTGTGAACCTGGGAGGCGGAGCTTGCAGTGAGCCAAGATCGTGCCACTGCACTCCAGCCTTTGCGACAGAGCGAGACTGTCTCAGAAAAGAAAGAAAGAAAGAAAGAAAGAGTCTATGTGGGCTGGGCGCTGTGGCTCATGCCTGTAATCCCAGCACTTTGGGAGGCCGAGTCAGGTGGATCACCTGAGGTCAGGAGTTCAAGAACAGCCTGGCCAACATGGTGAAACCCTGTCTCTATTAAAAATACAAAAATTAGCCAGGCGTGGTGGCTCACACCTGTAGTCCCAGCTACTTGGGAGGCTGAGGCAGGAGAATCGCTTGAACTTGGGAGGGGCTGAGGTTGTGGTGAGCAGAGATGGCACCATTGCACTCCAGCCTGGGCGATAGAGTGAGACTCCATCTCAAAAACAAAGAAAACGTCTATGTGGACCTTATTTCATCCTCACCAGGATTCATGACGTGATGAAGTGTCTGGCATCTGCTCAATATATGTAGGATCCTCTCCCCATTTCTCCCTTGCCACCGCCGTAGAAAGTCAACTCCTTCCCTGGTGTCTGTTTGCAGTTAGCAGTCTAGGCAGTGAGTCCTGTAGGGGACAGAAGAGATAGACTACCCGGGGGGCTGGAGTCGTCGGGGACCTTTTGGCGGAAGGGACAGGCGGGCAGGGCCTTCAAGGAAGAACAGGCTTGAAATAAGTGGTGAGGGAAGGAAGAGATTCAGGCTGGAGGTGGGGGCAGGCGGGAAAGACAGACCAAGGTGAGGTGTGGGAATGTCAGGGAAAACCATCGTCTGCTTTGTTTAGGCAGAGGTCAGGGTCTCAAATGCCATAGGGGGCCAGGAGGTGACAAACCTGGGACCAGGGCTGGGTCTGAGGGCGGGGGGACTGAATCCTGGGGCAGGATGCTTAGTCAGGTTACTGCCCAACCAGCCCAGCCGTCTGTGCCCACCTTCTGAGGACTTGCGGTGGAGGATATAAAAGTACCCTGAAAAAATACAGTGAGCCGCCAAAGTGCTTCTGAGGGCTGCCAGCTTGCAACCTCTGGCGTGTGTGGGCGCTCAGTGCTGGGACCATGGGAGGGGCCTGCAGCAAATGGAACCTACCATGAGAACAGGGACCCATGGATGTCTTTGGGCACCTGCCTTCCTCCTAGCCAGGCCTGCGCAAAACCCCAGCCACCCCCCAGTCTGTCTCTGAGGCCTCAAATGCCCACAGCACTTTGCTCTTTTAGGTGAAGTCACAGCTCTGGTGATTCATCTTGCCCCCCGGCCAACCAAGTGGTTGAGGCCCCCAGGGCCTGCCCACAGGAGCTTCCAGAACGTGCCTGGGGTCAGAAAGAGATGCTGATCATTAGGAACATCCTTATGGGACCAGAACATGGGGCAGGTCTGGTCTGGGTGGTGACTGCAGGCCCCAAGAGAGGTCCCTCCAGGGAGGCAGTGAGGACTTAAGCATCCAGAGCCGGTCCTCTGGCATCATCCAGTGGCCATTTGTGTGAATTGCAGCCCCACACCACTGCCTGATCATTCTCCAAGGAGCCAAAACTACCAGGAGTAGCAGAAAACCAGGGTGAGAATACAAGATTTCTGCCCACAGCCTGTTTGCATCTCCTCAGCCCTGCTTCTTTCTAAATTTTAAGGAGACTGATTATTGCTGGGTTCCTTTAGGCCCCGACCTGTGAGTACAAGCCAGCCTTGCCAAATCTAATCAAGGACTTTTTTTTTTTTTTTGTAATTTTATCCAAATTGCCAACTGGGCAGAGACGATTCCTGAACAGGCAATTTGGCTACTATTTGTACATATTTCTACCCTTAAGAGTCATCTTGTTACAGCCCTGGCATAAACTGGCTTAGGGCCTGTAAGAGCCCAGAGGAAAAGAGTCTTTTTTGGACTGTAGCGCGTGAAGACCCAGCCTCTCCCTCTCCAAAGCCGCAGGGCACCCTCAGCCTAGCCCCCCAGGCCTGGGCAGCTCTGGATAAAGGTAACACTGCAAAAGCTGCTGCTGACACAGCCCACACTGCCTCCCTGCTGCAGGGAAGTCAGAGCCAGGGCTTGTGCAGAAAGCGCCGGTAAAGACAGGTGAGCGGCAGGTGCAAAGCCGCAGGAGAGAGGCATGCGAAGAGCCCCAGGAGCCCCGAGCGCCGGGGAGATGGGGAGGGCCAGGTCCTGAAGGGTCTTCTTCCAGTGCTAAGCTAAGGAGATCCCACTTCATCCCCAACGTGACAGGGAGCTGTGGGTGGGCTAGAGGTGCAGCCCGAGGCCCAGCTGAAACCTGCACAAAGCCCTGGCTTGGAAGCAGAGCGACTTTCCTCTTCAGGCCTCCTTAAGGTCTTGCTGGTAGTGCATGCTTGAGGTTTGTGGCTGGGGACAAGAAGGTTTCTGCTGGTCAAGGGTGAGCCCCCTACCCTGGTAGGCTGCTCACGGGTCCTCAGTCTGGCTGGCGCCCTGGGCCCATCAGACATTTGTCCACAGCAGCCCGGGGCGTAAGGGGAAGAAGAGCTGGCCCAGGAGGGCAAGAAGAGCAGGTAGGGAATGGGGCCCTTCCCCCTTCTTTCCCCACAGCTGCCTGTACCCATGCACGCCCCATCATAAGCACGCGCGAGCAGTCATTTGAAGGGGGCTGTGCTGCCACCTGGTGGCCACACCAGGACAATGTCCCTGGAAGGACTCCAAGTTCCTGTGGAAGGCCCCTCTTCCCCATTTAGGACTCCCTCCCCTGAGCCCACCGCCTTGCTTTACAGATGAAGTCAGTTCCCTCAATCAAGCAGCAACATTCTGGAATAAATGTCCCTATTTCCTTCAACCCTTTCTCATGGATGCTGACCCACTCTCATTTGTCAGCAGAGGAAGTCGGCTCAGAGAACAGTCACACAGCAAGTCGATGGCAGCGCCAGGCCCTGTCCTGCAGACTCCTTGTCCCTCTCTCCTCTGAAGCAAACTCTGGGGGCTGAGCTCCCACCCCAGCCTTGCTTGCTGTGTGGCTTGGGGCTTGCCAATGAGCCTCTCTGAGTCCTGGTTTCCTGGGGTTGACACCATGATGCAGGGTATAGGAAGGGTTAAATGAGGCGCAGGTGTAACAGAATCGGGTGCACATGCAAAAACTCAGATGTGCAAATAACTGTTCCCTATTAACTACAACTAATCACTTTTTTTAATTGCCAATTAAAATGAACTCAGTCTTTCCATTAAAGCGGTCTTTGGTTGAACTCAGGCTCTTTCGGGGAAGCATTGAGTCGTTCAAAGTTTCCATGCCCTGGAGGGGCTGATGATCCCTCTGTGCTTGAGAGGGTCTCCCTCATTTCCTTCCCTGCCACGGGCACATCTGGATCCAGGAGCTGGCTTCTGCTTCAGGGCCTGGCCGTGCTGCCTTGTTTCGCCGGGTGGGCCTCCGCCCTGCCTGCTGAAGCTCCTGAAGCTCGGCGAGGGGCCTGCTCCTGAGGCCCAGCCTGGGCCCCAGGGGTGCTCTGAGCCCCTCAGGTCTGGCTGCAGCTCCCATCTGACCCCAGACCGCATGGTCCCCCGCAGCCCTCAGCCCCAGCTCACTTCGCCAAGCAGGCAGTTGCCCACCAAAGTTCTTGACCGTGGTTCCTCCACAAGCACACAGAATCCCCTGGATTTTTCCTTTCCAGGCTGAGGAAGAGCAGGGGGCCTTGGGGCTCTACCTGGGGCTCACCTGCTCAACCTCTCTCATGCCATGCAGAACCAGCCCCTCACCAGCTGGGGTTTCTGTGGGATTCCTGTTCTCTTGCTCATACCCCCCAACACATACAACTACTATTGAACCAAGACAAATGGGGGTCACTTCCCAGGGCCCTGGCTCATCCTCCAACAGCGTGGCCCCTCCGAGGCTCTCCTCCCACCTAGGACCAGGGGCAGATTACAGTCTAGTGGGACCTTTCCCCAGGTCATCTCCTTCCTCCCTACCCCATGGACTTCCTGTCCTGGATGACACCTGCCCTACCTTCCCATGGGGTGGTGGGGGTCATCACTTGGCCTGATTGGCAGGAGTGCAGGGAAGAAAACTGAGGCAACAGGAGTTGTCTACAAAGTGCTGTCTCCATTGCATATGTAAGCGCCAGGCCAGTCACACGGTGGAAGATCAATTCGCTCATATCCCCTTCTCCTCACCCTCCTTGGCCCCAAGACTGACAACTGAGGCCACCTCAGTGGCTGGGCCTGCCCCTCTGGCCTCTAAGAATTGGCCTGCTCTGGCCTGACCCTTTCTGCCTGTCCTGTGGTTTTGCTGCAAGCTGAGCATCTGGCACCCACCTCGGATGGAAGCCCAGCTCCTGACCCCAGGCCCTGCTTTACCCAGGAACACCTGGGCCCCAAGAGAATGCCAGGCCAGACGACAGTGCCAGGAGGCCACAAGCGCAGCCCCAGCATGGCCACCGCCTAGGGCAGCCCCAGCAGGCCTGGCCACACAGAGATGGTTCGTGCCATCCCTAACCAGGAACAGCTCCAGAGGGTGGTTCTGTGGCTGTGAAATGTGCTGATCACAGTGGCGGGACACAGTAAGCACTAAGGAAACAGCTATTGTCAGATTGATGCTTGATGTGGTCCCAACAAATGGGGAATCCTGACCCAGAAAACTAAAGAAACCCCATGGTCTTTCTGCCTTCAAGCCCGAGGCCAGCCTGGAGGGCTCCAGTCCGCACCACTTCGGGTGTGTGTGTATGGTGCACACACATGTGCCCCCTTCATCTCTGCTTCGTCATCCTCATCCCGGCTGCCATCCATTGAGCCGCATCTATATGCCGGACACTCAGAGAGAGATGCCCTTAAAATGTCCATTTTGCAATTTAAAAAAACACCCCCACTAAAGCTCAGGCATAGAAGCAGAGCATAGAGGTCTGCAGGGGGGTTGGGAAGGGAGTTGGGGGGACAGCCACCCTTCCTCTGCCCTGGGCTGCGGCTCCTGCCGCCGAGCTTCCCTGCCTGGCTGGGCTGCCCCAGGCCTCCCTCCCTCCCCAGCATTTGGGCCCCTCGTGAATGAGGACACATTTTACAGAGTCATGTGACCCCCCGCCCCGTGACCACCCAGCAGCCCATGTAAGAAGACCACGTGATGGAACCCGAGGGCTGAAAAGTGCCATTAGTGCCACCCCAGGGTGCACGGGACGCAGAGCAGGCCCTGCCGCAGTACTCGCCACACAGCAGCCTCTGTCGCCTGCGGCAAACAGGCCACATCCCCAGCCCATCTGTTCATTGGAGGGTTTAGACCCAAATGCTGGAAGTAAACTTAATCTGGTGAGACTGCTCCCACGCCTGTCCTCCACGGCACTGGCCATAGCCCCTCCAACATGAGTCATCGCCAGCCTGGGGCCGGCTGTTATTGACCCGGATGTCCTGGTGCGAAGCCTGTTCTGCTTATGGTGACTTCAGACCAGGCCACCCACCCCCTGAGCCCGCTGTGAGGCGTCACTGCACTTGTCACAGGCTCTGCTGCCAGGTTTGCCGCCACCACCACCCCTCGCTATTTCTGGGCCCTTTCTACGACATCATCTGCAACCACTGTGGGCCAGAGCTCAGCTGCTCGCTCAGAGCATGGGCATGGTGTGCCAGCTGCTCTGCCCTCCAGGGAGCGTCCACAGGCTGGGAAGCAGAAGCGGACAGTGCAGTGAGAGAGCAGGAAGGACGCGAAAGCCTGGTCAGACTGTGTGACCCCCTGGGGGTGAGCGTGCCCTGGGCCTCCCAGGCCAACGAGCTTTGCGCACGTGCACATGGGTGGGTTTGAGCTGCGTTTCTGACACACGCAAGTGGAAGTCTGGAACCTGGAAGGGGGCCAAGGTGGCGGGGGGCGGGGTGGGCAGTGAGGACCCCACCCAAGCTGGGTAGGGGCTGCAGTGGGGAAGCAGCCAGGGACTTGGGCCAATTGCCCACTGAGGCTAAAGCTGAAGGGACCCAGCACAAGAACGTCTCGTGCTGGGACACGCTGGCCCACATGCCACCTGCTAAGGCTCATTAAGGGGTTGCCCTCCGCCGGGGCGGGCTGCCCAAGTGCAGCAGAGACCGGCTCCCCACAGCACAGGTGCAAATGGACTGATGAGGGATCCCCAGCGACACATGTGCCCTGGGAAGTGTGTGGTCTGAAGTCCTCACATCCCTCGGAGCCTGGAAGGGGGTGAGTGACAGGACAGAGGCTCAGCAACGCTGGCCAAGGAATCTGTCCTTCCTAGGCATGGGACACCCCGCTCAGTGTGGGGGTCCCCATCAGCAGCTTGCGCAGTCCCTGGGCCCTCTGGGGTGGAGACGGGTAGAGGGCCCAGCCAGAAGGGCTCTGCCACATCGTCCTTCACAAAAACGTCTGAGGAAAAGGCCACGTGGACAAAAGGAGGGCCTCCTGAGAAACACTGAGCAAGGCTGACCCAGGTCGAACGCCGCATGGCCTCGGGAACGTAACTGCACCTCCCGAGCCTGCCTCCTCCCCCCCACAGGTGGGAATGGCACTGCCGTGGACTGGAGAAGGATCAGAAGCTTTCCTCACATGCATGGCCTCATCTGGCCTGACGACCCCACGGGGTGAGGACTCACAGCCTACATGTGTCAAGAAGAGCTGGCCTAGGGTGGGGAACCTGGGCCAGTGAGCCCTGGACAGGCCCAGGCTGCTCTCCCCCTGGGCTCAGGCACTCGAGGAGTCCATGCAGGAGATACCAGGGGTCCCTCAGAAGGTGACCTGTGGTCAGCCCACCCCTGGTCAGAACCCCAGGCTCGGGGAACCACAAACCCCAGAGAGGTCTGAGGGCCAGGAGCAGTGTTCCCATCCTCAGCAGGGTCCCCAGGGTGGGGGCGAGGCCAGGCAGCAGTGGCCCCTCACCGAGGACAGATGGACACCCTGCACAGACAGGGATGAAGGGCCAAGGGGGAGCAGCATGGGGACAATGACAAGGCCCCTCTGCTAGAGGCCCCCCTGCTGGAGGCCCCGCTGCTGAAGAGCAGGTAGGGGAGTCAGATTCCTCCACCCTCTGGCAGGACAGAGAAACAGGGGCACATTCCCCACATACCTGAGCGTGCGGCCACGATTCCTACATGCTCCACAAACCTGCTTTCCCAGCGCCCTCTCCACCTGGGGGATGTCACCCCTTCCAGGGGCTCTGGTCCTAGAGCTCTGAATCTTTCCAATATTTTCAAATGAATCACAACTTTCACCGAGAGCTGAGTCACTGAGAGGCCAGCCTGGTGGATAAGGGAGGGATAGAGCTGATGTGCCATGGGGCAGAACCAGGCCTAGCTCTCCTAACGGGGGTGGATCTTCTTTTCTGGGGTTCAAAAACTGGTTCTGAGGCAAAACACAAGCTTCCCAAGCTTTCAAGAAAGTGACCTTCATTTCAATCAGAATTTTTTTGTTGTTGAGATGGAATTTTCTCTGCCACCCAAGCTAGAGTGCAGTGGCGCGATCTTGGCTCACTGCAACCTCTGCCTCCCGGGTTCAAGCGATTCTCCTGCCTCAGCCTCTCGAGTAGCTGGGATTACAGGCGCCCGCCACCACGCCCAGCTAATTTTTGTATTTTTAGTAGAGACAGGGTTTCACCATGTTGGCCAGGCTGCTCTCGAACTCCTGGCCTCAACTGATTCATCTGCCTCAGCCTCCTAAAGTTTTGGGATTACAGGCGTGAGCCACTGCGCCTGGCCTCAATCAGGAGACTGTTGACACGATCATGAATTTGGGGTCTCAGCCAAGGTCAGTGCAATGGGGACGGCAGCAGCCGGCTGAGCATCCAGGTGCAGACGGCACCTCACTCATCAACGCCTGCTTCCCATTTCCACCTCAGCAAGCTCCCCCCAGCCCTGGGTCTCTGCAGGGCGTCTCAGCCAGGGGCTGGCCCCTTCTTCCACATAGGAGACCGTGCTGGGACCTGAGGCCCCCGGGGCCTCCTCCTGCTGCTCCACAGTGCCTCGGCAGCCCCAGGCACCCCTCGAAGTGCTTGTTAACGTCACAGCAAGTTGCTTTGAGACCGTCGGGTGGGGTCATGTTCTGAAACATTTTTGCCCCTGCAATTATTTTTTTTTCTTTAAATAAATTATGTGGCTGAAGCAGCTGCCCACCTCGGGGTGAGTGATGATAACAGCAGAGAACAAATGTGGCAATTTGGAGCATGGAGTTCCTAAACTGACCTTTAAAACTGATGGCAATTATCAGTCTAAAAGGTTTCGCAACAGTCCGTCTCCTGAAGGATTCAGAGCATGTTACTCTTGCGGATGCTTGGTTAGGAGCTGACGGAGACTGCCCAGCCCTGCCCTGCCCTAGACTCAACAAAGATTCCCTGGCTGGTGTAAGAGGCAGGAGGGAATGTCCCCCAGTGGTACCCCACCAGGCCCTGCTCCCCTCTTTGTGGACAGAAGGCCTCAGGGCCCCTCCACAGCTCCCTCGGGGTCCGTGAACACTGCTCTCAGCAACCCGACCCACACCCCTGCACCAAGTCAGCCCCCAGGCCCGGGGCTCTCCCTGGGCAGGAGGAGGGAGGGAGAAACCAGGATGTGGCTGAGAAAATCTGGACAGGATTGAGTTTCTGTCATCAGAAGGACCCCCAGGATGGAAACAAGCCAAGTTGTTTTCTGCACCCCAAGCTATAGTCACAATGTTTTCAGGGTGTGGCTGGCCCCAGGAGAGTCCCTGTGACTCGAGTCTTCTGATGGGGCAGTCCCTCTCAGGACAGGGCGTGGAGCAGGTGGACAGGCCCTGCTGGGGACAAGAAAGGAGTTGCACATCACACATTCTCCTGGCCCTTCATGAGGAGGGACTTTCAGGGCCCCACAGGTGAGACCTCAGACAGCAGGAAGAGGCAGAGGGACTCAGGAGCAGCTGGGCAGCCAGCACCCCAGGGTCAGACTTCCCTCCAGAGCCATGTGGCAAGACAGCCAGGACTCTTCCAACCACCACCCTGCCTGGACCAGATGGTTTCAGATCATGTGATGCAACCCCAAATATATTCCTGGTTCAGCCTCTCCCCTTCACCCCAAAGAAAAATGTCAGTTCAGCGGGTAAGGGGGTGGGGGTGCCGTGGAGATCTGCCTTTGGCCAAGCCTAGAGTTCTTCCTCCCTAAGCTGGGGTGATGGAGCCTGGAGGAGTCCTCCCTCCCTAAGGTGGGTGACGGAGCCTGGAGGGATCCTCCCTCCCTAAGCTGGGGTGATGGAGCCTGGAAGGGTCCTTCCTCCCTAAGCTGGGGTTATGGGGCCTGGAGGGGTCCTTCCTCCCTTAGCTGGGGTGATGGAGCCTGGAGGGGTCCTCCCTCCCTAAGCTGGGGTGATGGAGCCTGGAGGGGTCCTCCCTCCCTAAGGTGGGTGATGGAGCCCAAGCTCCTGAGACTATAAGAACAGGAACATCAAAAAGCTCAGCCAACCTTGGGCCATGGGTGCCTTCCCCTTGTCTTCTCTCCTATCTGACCCTGCCTCCAGGGCAGCCCAAAGCATCTCTGTCATATAAGGCAGAGAGGCCTGCCAGGAGGGCCCCAGAGCTGGGGTGAATTAGGGGCATGGGCAACCCATGTTCCCTTCAAGGGCCATGATGGGAGAGCGGCCAGAGCAGTAACGGGAAGGGCATAAGGACAAGAAAGTGGTCCCAAAACCTCTCCAAAGGTTAGTGGGGAGGTGGCTGGTTCAAGCTGTCACTTCCCAGCGGGTCAAAAGGAACAGAAGCTGAGACTCTAACACCAGCCTTCCCCACAGGGCTCCTGCGATCCCACAGAAACTTGGCCTTGGGAGAAGAGCGGAGGAGAGGGGGACGGGGGACCCTGCTCTGAAGCACTGGGGCAGGTGCGGGAAGGAGGCACTTGAGAGAGCAACCGAGTGTCTGGAGCCCATCTCCTAAACCTCACCAATGAGAGTGGGTGGGTGGCCCGAGGAGACCACCACTAAGACCCACCTCCTAAGTCTCACCAACGAGAGTGGGTGGGTGGCCCGAGGAGACCACCACTAGGACCCACCCTGCGAGGCATGGGCTGAAGTCATGCCTTCCTCCGCCTGTCTTCAATGCAGTGGAACTGCCCAGACACTTACAAGACCTGAAGCTGGGTCCCCAGTGGGGGCAGACGCTAGAGGATCTTAGGGCAGGCCACAGCCTTGAGCTACACACATGAACAGCATTTATTTTTCATGCACTCAACACATGTTCAAGCCTACGGACTCTCTGCTGGGCCCTGAGCGGGGCCCTGGGAACAGAGGTGTGAGAAACCTCTAAGCTGGTCGAGGCCAGGGCCAGTATCGTCCCCCAGCACAGAGCCTGGTGGCCGCTGTCACCTAGTGAGTGTTTGCTGAATACACAGAAGGTCATGTGGGGTGAGCAGGTTGGGCAGGGCAGCTGGAATAAGGGGTGCTGTGGCTGAGACCAAGAGGGGCTTGTCCCCACCTGGAAGCACCTCAGTCGCCGGGTTCCTGGTCCTCCTTGCTGATGGCTGCAGACTCTGGGAACAGGGAACCCCCTTCTGCCTCAGAGAACTTGCCTAGGGAGTGGAGACGGCCACCAGCCCCCTGAACAGTGGCCTCAACTCCTCCCTGTCCTGAGCCCCTGGGCTTCTGGCAGCTTGGTGCCTGCTGCCTGAGGTCAGGCTGAACGGCCTGGGACCACGTGTCTATGTCCAAGCGCCCAGAGGGCCCAGCCCTGCCCCGTGATCAGGTTAAGGCCTGGCAGGGCTGGGGAAGGGAAGGGACATGCAGCAGGAGGTCATGGGGCCCAGGAGTCTAGGAGGGACTCCCAGACCAGCATACTGGCCCCACAGGCCCCGAGCTGGGAGCCCTGAGGTCAGAGCCCCACAGAGGAGCCCGAAGCACAGTCCAGCTCAGCAGGGCCGCTTGCTGTCCAGAATGGCCTTCCAGTCGTCCGCCCACGAGTGCAGCCTGCGGCGGGGGGGCTGCAGCTGCAGGTGCTGGTTGTGGCAGGCGGTGAAGAGGACATGCTCCCAGCTGGGGGTTGGCTCGGCCCCTGTGGGTGGGAAAGCGGCATTCAGCTCAGCAGTGGAGACCTGGAGCGCAGCCGCCTAGGGTGGAAACCTGGGTATCCAGGCAGGCATCTGGCCTTGCCAAAACTTGTTTCCTCTGTAAAGGGGTGACTGCACGCACACCCGCCTTCGCAGCGGGTGTGAGGATGGCACGAGATGCGGCAAGGAGGCCGTCAGCACGCGCAGCCAGTGCTCAGTCAACAGGGACTGACTGCGGGTCACTGTCACCACCAGCACTGGCAAGGGACATGTGCCCCGCCTCCTGATGGCTTACACCACATGGTGTTCCCCCGACTTCCCTCTCCGTGCCCTGCCATCCTGATGGCTTACACCACACGGTGTTCCCCCAACTTCCCTCTCTGTGCCCCACCATCCTGATGGCCTGGTGTGGGAAGGCCAGGTGGCACCAGCTCTGCAGCTCACCAGCCGCTGATCACAGGCCCCTGCAGCCTCTCCAGGCCTCATTCCCTCGTGTCCACACTGGTGCTGCTGGTGATGCCACCCCTTTGGGTTATACACCCGCCCCCAACAACCTGTGGCTGGAGATGGAGGCCAAGCCAGCCTTTGGGCCCTCAAGGTCACGGGACCCCACAGACCACTGTCTGCCCTGACTCTGGCGGGAACCCACGAGGCTGGGGAGGGTGGGGTGGGGTGGGTACACTCGTGGAGTCCACCCTCTGGACGCAGTGATGGAGGTGGGCATGTTTCCCAAGCCAGTTCTAAAACAATCAGGGAAAAAAATAGAATGTATATTCCCACTGGGGTGTCCAAAAGACTCGACCTGAAACTACTGACGGCTACCAGGAGGAGGATGTCAAAAACCAGGCCAGGGCAGAGCCAAGAGGCAAAGAAACAACACTCACGGGCAGTTTCAACGCCTAGATTTGGCCGGCCAAAGCCCTCCTCACCCCTTTCCAGTTAGGTAAACCAAAAAACTTCCCCTCTCCTGTGCTGTGTTGTATTTTGTTTTGTTTTCTGGAGACAGGGTCTTACTCTGTCACCCAGACTGGAATGCAGTGGTGCAATCACAGCTCGCTGCAGCCTCCACCTCCCCAGCTCAGGTGATTTTCCCACCTCAGCCTCCAGAGTAGCAGGGACCACAGGCATGCGCCATGATGATCAGCTAATTTTTTTGTGTTTTTTTTTTTTTTTTTGTAGAGACAGGGAGTCTCACCATGTTGCCCAGGCTGGTCTCCAACTCCTAGGCTCAAACAATCCTTCCACTTCAGCCCCTGAAGTAGCTGGGACTACAGGCATGCACCACCATGCCCAGATAATTTTTGTATTTTTTGTAGAGAGAGTCTCGCTATGTTGGCCAGGCTGGTTTCACACTCCTGGGCTCAAGCCATCCACCCACATCAGCCTCCCAAATTACAGGCGTGAGTCACCACGCCCATCTCCCTCTCCTTTCTACGGCAGTTCAAGGTTGACTGGCTTGTTTGGTTTTGGGGAGGGGGGTCTTCTGTCCCAACCCACCTTCCCTGCAGGAGCTCTGCTCTGCCCTCCTGTCATTCATTGCATCAGTCCACATTGCTTTTGGGGGAAAAAATGGGTTTTGTTGCTAAAAACAAACATTTGGAAACCAGAGTTGAGTCCCCATGTTACATGAGGAAGACAAGGCTTTGAAGCTGAAGGGACTTCCCCAAGGCCACCCCTCAAGCTAACCCTAGAGCTGGCACCCACTCCTCCCAGCTCCCAGGAGCACCAGGCCACAGCCCATACAGAGGGGGCCTTGTCTTCCCGAAGGGGAGGGGCTCAGTGCCTGGCAAACAGCTGGTGACTAAGTGGGGCAGGAAGCAACTGAGTGCTCACTGCCCAGGAGAAGGGGGCCAAGGCTGGGGCCCTCCCCACGTGCTCCTCACCTGTCGCAGGCCACTTGCCTGTGATGTCCGGCCGGTCGTCTATGAGAAGGTCAGCAGAGACCACGGTCTTGTCTCTGGTCAGCACAATCTGCTCCAGAAAGTCAGGGCCAAAGTACTTCTCCACCCAGGCATACTGGACGCAAACAGGCAAGGGCAGGTGGTGAGAAGAAAGTGACATCAGACCTGGGAGCCAACCAAGAGCCGAGGGCAGGGGTCAGCCTAGACCTCAGCTAACAGGCAGGGAGGGATGGAGGCCTGACACCAAGGCCCAGCGCCAGGCAGTCAGTGCTGGGAGGGAGTCCAGCCCAGGACGCCAGCACTCAGGGAGCGCACATGGCTGGTCCACACTCCAGTAGCTAGAAAGCAGCAGAGTCACGACAAACCCAGCCCTGTCCCCTCTTCACACCCAGCGAACACTGCACAGCATAACCCAAACACAGGGAGCAGAGGGCGGCCATGTGTGCCACCCCTGCCACCTGCTGGGCCACTGCCACCTCCTGCCCCACATGCATGTGGGCAGTGCGTACTGTTAGGCACTGAAGAAAGAAAACCAAGACAAAAAGCAGTTCCTACCCTCAGGGAGCTTACAGCTGAGGAGACAGCGGTCAAGGCCCTCTTAAACAATGGTTACATAACACCTGGGACAGGCCTACAAAGAAGCCACAGGCTGCCCAAGGAAGGCTTTCTTCAGGACAGGCAAGCTGACCACAGGGGCACCCCTAGCACACAGCGCATTCCAGGTGCTAACGGACATGGGGCAGGGTGTGTCTGGGCCGATGGATAGCAAACTGGGGTGCTGGTGCTCCCCGGGGGGCAGGGAGCAGACCGGGGCCTGGCAAGCCACCGGCATCCTCTCGCCACTGGTGGGCTCTCGGCATCCTTTCCCTTTGCCTCGATTCCCTGGGGAAATTGACTTTTTCCTATAGGGTAGCAGGTCCTGGCTGCTCTCACCACCCCAGTGCAGCCAGGGGTGGGCGCAGCCTAAGCACGGCACCTGCTCTGGCCCATGGGCCCCAGGCACCCTAACTGAGCCCTGCCCAGCTCCAGGCTGTCTCTACAGCCATCCAGATTCCAACACCCTTGTTGATTTCTGACACTGGCAACCAACCCTTAAGTCACAGACCCTGTTACAGCTACAGAGGTTAACCAGCAGCAGATTTTAAGCAGAGGAGGGGCAGGACTGGATGCACTTTTTCCCTAAGCTCCTCTGGTTCCTGCATAAACAAACAGAAACACTGAGTGGCCCAGGCTGCACAGGGAGCTCAGGGCTCTGCCACCCTGGGGCAGAGCCGGGCAGGTCCTTGCCCTCCCAGGGACTCCGTTTTTCCCTGTGTATGACAAGGAAATGGGACATGGGTGCCTTAGGGTGGCTTTCTTCCAGTTGGAGGTCGCTTCAGGAGTCCCACTTCACAAAGGCAGACACCACATGACCCTCTGCAACCGGCCAGCACACGGGACGTGGGAAAAGGGCCGGATCTGCAGAGCAGACCAGCCCTACCGCTGTCCCAGCGCCACCTTTCCCTGTGGCCACCTCGCTTGCCACGCCCACCCACGACAACCTCCTCTCACTGCTTGACTGTATTATGCTTTTTCCTGCTCAGAGCCTCACATGTGCCATTTCCTCTGACTGGAACATTCCTTCATGGACACGTGTGTGCACACACACATGCACACACACACACATATGCACAGGGCCCTTCTCCTAGCCCAGTGAGCACCTATCCTTCTAAAGCTGCCACCTCCTAAGCCTTCCCTGAACTCTCCCAGTCTAATTGTCCTCCCTAGCAATGTCACAGTCGGAGCTACACATCTCTATAACTTACTTCGCATCTTCCCCACAGGACTGTAAATCGCTGGTGCAGGCTGGATGGGGGGCAAGAGCCTGGGGCTAATGTTTTCAGCAGACCCACTCCACAGGCATGCAGTGTCCGTCATCGTATCTAAGCCTCACGGCAACATTCCAAGTAGCCAAACTTTCCTGACTTGTGTAGTAATTTAGCCAATATTGCATGAGGTACAGTTCCAGGAACCAGAGAGACGATGGTCAACAGGAGACCCATGGAGTGCACATAGCAGGAGGAGGCACACAGGCCACAGACAACGATAGCCAGGGGGCAAGGGCTCTGCAGTCAGCACAGAGCTCCAACCTCACACAGAGGCCTCACTGCAAAGGCGGCATCTTCTCTGGACCCGACTGACAAGGCGGCTGGCTCTCCACAGGTCGGCAAGAACATTCCAGGCAGAGGGAAAAACAAACACTGATGTTCCAAGGCAGGCCGGTGCTCAGGTGTTTGAGGAATGGGGAAAACCCTGGAGTGTGGCTGGAACATGGAACATCTGGGAGTGTGGGAAGAGAAGGGTCAGGTTTTGTTTTTTTAATTTCCACTGCATTGTGACCAATGCTTTTGTAAGATATGAAATCAAATCATGTGCCTGAACACTGCATCAGACAAACTGCCATGAACATTTCCAATCACACACACCCAGTTTCCGTGTTTCATCTCGGACCGGCGCCACTCTGCAGACAAAATACGGAGCTGCTCTGCAGAAAGGGTTTGCGTGGGAAAATGATGTGCCACGATAGTGGTGACGAGATCCCGTACAGATGAAGAAATGGAGGCTCAGAGAGGGTCTGTGACTTATCAGGGGTCACATAAACGGCAAAACAAAGTGGGCTGTTTGTATTGAGTTGTGAGAGTAGTTAATGTATTCTAGAAACCAGTCCTTTATCAGACAATGCATTTTGCAAATATTTTTTCATGATCTGTGATTTGTCTTTTCATTTTCTGAACAGTGCCTTTTGAAGAGCAGAAGTTTTATACTTTTAGCTTTTATATGTATATATGTATTTATATGTATTTAACCCATTTGGGGTTAATTTTTTTTTTTCTTTTTTTTGAGACAGAGTCTTGCTGTCGCCCAGGCTGGAGTGCAATGGCACGATCTCGGCTCACTGCAACCTCCACCTCCCAGGTTCAAGTGATTCTCCTGCCCCAGCTTCCCAAGTAGCTGGGATCACAGGCGCCTGCCACCATGCCTGGCTAAGTTCTTTGTATTTTTAGTAGAAACGGGGTTTCACCACGTTGGCCAGGCTGGTCTCAAACTCCTGACCTTGTGATCCGCCCACCGTGGCCTCCCAAAGTGCTGGGATTACAGGCATGACCCACTGCACCCAGCCAGGGTTAAATTTTATATATGGTAAGAGGTAAAAATAGAAGAGGGCATGGGGTTCCCCCTGAGCCTCCTGGAGCCCAGCCATGAGCACTTATGTGGCCACTGCGCATAGATACCACCAGCTTCTCACGTGAGTATCTCTATCCCTCAGCAGGTTGTCTGGTCCCTGTGTGGTGACACAGGGATAAGGACAGCATCTACCTCGTGAGTGCCTTCGGGGATTTAGTGGAAAATTATGCATCAGAGTCTCAGTACTGCACCTGGCACACAGAAAGTCTTCAGAAAAAGGATTCTACCTTTTTGTCTTACCCTCAAAATTAGGCCCTAAGTCTGGTTCTGATACATACGAGCTGGGGACCTTGGGCAAGCCAGTGACTTCCACTGTGAGGTCAGTTTCCTCACAGTGTTGCTGGTATGATCAAATAAAAAACTGTGAGGACACCTGAGTAATGCCTGATACAGACGTACTAAATAAATGTAATTATTATAACTAGACTTTCATAGCCCCAAATCATCTACATAAAGCAACTAGAACTGTTAATTTGGCAAACTAACAGGATACAAGGTCAATATAAAAAAATCACATGTATTTTTGGAATAAAACTAGAAATCAATAATGAGGAATTCTGGAAACTATACAAACACAGAGACATTAAACAACATGCTCCTGAATGAAGTGGGTCAATGAAGAAATGAAGGAAATTGAAAAATTTATTGAAACACATGATAATGGAAGTACAACATACCAAAACCTATGGGATGCAGCAAAAGCAGTACTAAGAGGGAAGTTTATAGCTATAAGTGCCACATCAAAAAAGAAGAAAATGCTTCTGTGGGGGCCTGAATTTAAAAAAAATAAAAAAAGAAGAAGAAAAACTTCAAGTAAACAACTTAATGATGCATCCTAAAGAAACAGAAAAACAAGAGCAGGCCGGGCGCGGTGGCTCACACTGTAATCCCAGCACTTTGAGAGGCCAAGGCGGGCAGATCACAAGGTCAGGAGATCAAGACCAGCCTGGCCAACATGGTGAAACCCCATCTCTACTAAAAAAACAAAAATAAGCTGGGCATGGTGGCACCTACCTGTAGTCCCAGCTACTCGAGAGGCTAAGGCAGGAGAATCGCTTGAACCCAGGAGGCAGAGGTTGCAGTGAGCCGAGATTGTGCCACTGCACTCCAGCCTGGGCGACAGAGCAAGGCTCCATCTCAAAATTAAAAAAAAAAGAAAAGAAAGGAAAGAAAAGAAATAACAAAAATCAGAGCAGAAATAAATGAATATGAAATAAAAAAAATACAAAAGATTGGTTTTGTGAAAAGAAACAAAAAGTTGGTTTTTTGGAAAGGTAAACAAAATGACAAACCTTTAGCCAGACTAAGAAAAAAAGAGAGAAGACCCAAATAAATAAAATCAGAGATGACAAAGGAAACACTACAACTGATATTACAGAAATTTAAACAATCATCGGTGGCTACTATGGGCAACTACATGCCAATACATTAGAAAATCTAGAGGAAATGGACAAATTCCTAGATACATGCAATCTACCAAGATTGAACCATGAAGAAATTCAAAACAAACAGACCAATAACAAGTAACAACAACTGAAGCCATAATAAAAAGTCTCCCAGCAAAGAAAAGGCCGGGACCCAATAGCTTCACTGCTGAATTCTACCAAACACTTAAATAACTAATACCAATCCTACTTAAACTATTCAGAAATATACAGAAGGAAGGAATACTTCCAAACTCATTCTATGAAGCCAGTATCACCGTGATACCAAAACCAGACAAAAACACATTGAAAAAAAGAAAAGAAAACTATAGGCCAATATCATTGATAAATATTGATTCCTAAAATCCTCAACAAAAGATTAGCAAATTGAATTCAACAACACATTAAAAAGATCATCCAGCATGACCAAGTGGGACTTATCCCAGGGATTCCAGGATAGTTCAGCAAATGCAAATCAATTAATGTGATATATCATATCAACAGAATGAAGGACAAAAAACATATGATTATTTCAATTGGTGCTGAAAAGGTATTTGATAAAATTCAATATCCTTTCATGATAAAAACCCTCAAAAAACTGGGTATGGAAGGAACATACCTCAACATAATAAAAGCCATATATGACAGACCTATATATGGCTAGTATCATACTGAATGGGGAAAAACTGAAAGCCTTTCCTCTAAGACCGGGAACATGACAAGAATGCCTACTTTCACCACTGTGATTCAACATAGTACTGGAAGTCCTCGCTAGAGCAATCAGACAAGAGAAAGAAAGAAAGAGCATCCAAATTAGAAAGGATTAGAAGTCAAATTATCCTTGTTTGCAGATGACATGATCTTATATTTGGAAAAACCTAAAGATTCCACCAAAAAACTACTAGAACTGATAAAGTCAGCAAAGTTGCAGGATACAAAATCTGAAAAAAACAGGAACAATCCTGAAAAAAACAGGAACAATCTGAAAAAAAATTAAGAAAGGAATCCCATTTAAAATAGCTACAAATAAAATAAAATACCTAAGAATTAACCCAAGTGAAAGAGCTCTACACTGTAAACTATAAAACACTGATAGAATAAATTGAAGACACAAAAAGTGGAAAGATACTCATTCCATGTCCATGGATTAGAAGAATAAATATAGTTAAAATGTTCATACTACCCAAAGCAATTTACAGATTTAATGCAATCCCTATTAAAATACCAATGACAGGCCAGGTGCGGTGGCTCACGCCTGTAATCCTAGCACTTCGGGAGGCCGAGGCAGGCAGATCACGAGGTCAGGAAATCGAGACCATCCTGGCTAACACAGTGAAACCCCGTCTCTACTAAAAAATACAAAAAATTAGCTGGGCGTGGTGGCGGGCGCCTGTAGTCCCAGCTACTTGGGAGGCTGAGGCAGGAGAACGGTGTGAACCTGGGAGGTGGAGCTTGCAGTGAGCCGAGATCGCGCCACTGCACTCCAGCTTGGGTGACAGAGTAAGACTCCATCTCAAAAAAAAAAAAAAAAAATACCAATGACATTCTTCACAGAAATACAAAAAAAAAAAAAAAAAAAAAACCCTTAACATTTACATAGAACCACAAAAATTCCAGAATAGCCAGAGCTATCCTAAGCAAAAGGAACAAAACTGGAAAAATCACATTATCTGACTTTAAATGATACTACAAAGCTACAGTAGTCCAAATGGCATGTTACTGGCATAAAAACAGACACACAGATCAGTGGATAAGAATACAGAACCAGGCCAGGCGCAGTGGCTCATGCCTGAAATCCCAGCACTTTGGGAGGCCGAGGCGGGCGGATAGCGTGAGGTCAGGAGTTCAAGACCAGCCTGGCTAACGTGGTGAAACCCCATCTCTACTAAAAATACAAAAATTAGCTGGGCATGGTGGCACATGCCTGTAGTCCCAGCTACTCCAGAGGCTGAGGCAGGAGAATCACTTGAACCCGGGAGACGGACATTGCAGTGAGCCGAGATGGTGCCATTGTACTCCCGCCTGGGCGACAGAGTAAGACTCCGTCTCAAAAAAAAAAAAAAAGATCACAGAACCCACAGATAAATCCATATATCTACCTTGAACTCATTTTTGACAAAGGTGCCAAGAACATATATTGGGGAAACGACAGTCTCTTCAATAAATGGCACTGGAAAACTGGATATCCATATGCAAAAGAATGAAACTAGACCCCTATCTCTTGCCATATACAAGAACTACTAAAAGAAAACATTGGGGAAACTCTCCAGGACATTGGTCTGGACAAAGATTTCTTGAATAGTACCCCAAAAGCACAGGCAACCAAAGCAAACACGGACAAATGGGATCACATCCAGTTAAAAAGCTTCTGCACAGCAAAGGATACAGTCAACAAAGTGAAGAGACAATCCACAGAATGGAAGAAAGTATTTGCAAACTATCCATCTGACAAGGGATTAATAACCAGAATACATAAGGAGTCAAACAACTCTATAGAAAAAAATCTAATAATCTGATTTTAAAATGGGCAAAAGATCTAAATAGACATTTCTCAAAAGAAGACATATGGTGGCTGCGTGTGATGGCTCACACCTATAATCCCAGCACTTTGGGAGGCTGAGGTGGGCAGGAGTTCAAGACCAGCCTGGGCTACATAGTAAGACCCCGTCTCTACAAGAAATACAAAAATTAGCCAGGCATGGTGGCACACGCTTGTAGTCTCAGCTACTTGGGAGGCTAAGGTGGGAGGATTGATTGAGCCTGGGAAGTCAAGGCTGCAGTGAGCCATGATTAAACCACTTGTACACCAGTCTGAGAAACAGGGCAAAACCCAGTCTAAAGAAAAAAAAAAAAAATTAGGCTTGGTGGCACACACCCATAGTCCCAGCTACTCAGGAGGCTGAGGTGGAAAGATAGCTTCAGTCCAGGAGGTTGAGGCTACAGTGAGCTATTTTCACACCACTGCACTCCAGCCTGAGCTACAGAGCGAGATCCTGTCTCAACAACACAAAACAAAAGACATACAAATGACAAACAGGTATATAAAAAGGTGCTCAATATCGCTGATCATCAGAGAAATACAAATCAAACTACAAGGAAATATCATCTCACCCCAGTCAAAATGGCTTTTATCCAAAAGTCAGGCAATAACAAATGCTGGAGAGGACAAGAAGAAAATAAAACCCTTGTACACTATTGGTAGGAATATAATGGCAGTTCCTCTGAAAATCCAGCAGTCCCACTCCTAGGTATATACCCCTAAAAAAAAGGAAATCAGTATATGGAAAAGATACTCGCACTCCCATGTTTATTGCAGCACTATTCACAATAGCCAAAATTTGGAAGCAACCTCAGTGTACATCAACTGATGACTGGATTTAAAAAATGTGGTAAATATACACAATCAAGTACTATTCAGCCATAAAAAAGAATGAGAGCAACCCAGCACTTTGGAAGGCCGAGGAGGGTGGATCAAGAGGTCAGGAGTTCAAAACCAGCCTTACCAACATGATGAAACCCCACCTCTACTAAAAATACAAAAATTAGCCAGGTGTGGTGGTGCATGCCTGTAGTCCCAGCTACTCAGGTGGCTGAGGCAGGAGAATCACTTGAACCCGGGAGGCGGAGGTTGCAGTGAGTAGAGATCACGCCACTGCACTCAAGCCTGGGTGACAGAGTAAGACTCCGTCAAAAAAAAAAAAAAAAGAAAAGAAAAAAGAATGAGAGCCTGTCATTGTCAACAACATGGATGGCACTGGAGGTCATTATGTTAAGTGATATAAGCCAGGCACAGAAAGGGCTATACATGTTCTCACTTACCTATGGGAGCTAAAAATTAAAACAATTGAACTCATGGAGATAGTAGGAGGATGGTTAGTAGAGGCTGGGAAGGGGGAGTGGAGGAGTATCTAGAAGGAAAGTGAAGAGAGTTAATGGGCACAAAAAAATAGAATGAATAGGCTGGGCGCGGTGGCTCATGCCTGTAATCCCAGCACTTTGGGAGGCCAAGGCAGGCGGATCACGAGGTCAGGAGATCAAGACCATCCTGGCTAACACGGTGAAACCCTGTCTCTACTAAAAATACAAAAAATTAGCTGGGCGTGGTGGCGGGCACCTGCAGTCCCAGCCACTCAGGAGGCTGAGGCAGGAGAATGGTGTGAACCCAGGAGGCAGAGTTTGCAGTGAGCTAAGATCGCGCCACTGCACTCCAGCCTGGGTGACAGAGCGAGACTCCATCTCAAAAAAAAAAAAAAAAAAAAGAATGAATAAGACCTAGTATTTGCTAGCACAACAGGGTGACTATAATCAAAAATAATTTAATTGTTCATGGCCAGGCGTGGTGGCTCATGCCTGTAATCCCAGCACCTTGGGAGGCCAAGGCAGGTGGATTACTTGAGGTCAGGAGTTAGAGACCAGCTGGCCAACATGGCAAAACCCCGTCTCTACTAAAAATACAAAAATTAGCCGGACATGGTGGCACGTGCCTGTAGTTCCAGCTACTTGGGAGGCTGAGGCAAGAGAACTGCTTGAACCCAGGAGGCAGAGGTTGTAGTGAGCAGAGATCGCGCCACTGCACTCCAGCCTGAGTGACAGAGCAAGACTCCATCTCAAAAAAAAAAATTGTTCATTTTAAAACAACTAAGAATATAATTGGATTGTCTATAACACAAAGGATTGAATGTTTAAGGTGATAATGGATACCCCATCTGCCCTGATGTGTTTGTTACACATTGCATGCCTGTATCAAAACATCTAATGTACCTCATAAATACACACCTACTATGTACCCACAAAAATTAAAAATTAAAATTAAAAAACCACTTGTATTCCAAAAATTAGCTGGGCATGGTGGCGGGCGCCTATAGTCCCAGCTACTTGGGAGGTGGAGGCAGGAGAATGGCATGAACCCAGGAGGCGGAGCTTGCAGTGAGCCGAGATCATACCACTGCATTCCAGCCTGGGCAACAGAGCAAGACTCCATCTCAAAAAAAAAAATCACTTGTATTCTATATATTTGGAAATTTCAATTAAACAAAGTTTATAATAGCATTAAAAACGAAATAAGCTGAACTGTACACTTGATAAATTTTATCATGTGTATTTACCATTATAAAATATTTAAAAATATATTTATAAAGATAGTCTCTATGCCAAAAAAAAAAACATGAAATAGAGACAAATTTAACACAATATGTGCAAGAGTGGTACACTGAAAGCTACAAAACATTGCTGAGAGAAGGTAGAGGTGGCCTACATAAATGAGGATGTGTATGTGCTTGTGGATCAGAAGACCCAATATTGTTAAGCTTTATAGCTACAATGCACTTGCAATCAAATTCTCACCAGGTTCTTTGTAGAAACTGACCAGCTTGTTCTAAACATTCTATAGAAATATAAAGGACCCAGAATAGCCAAAACAATTTTTAAAATGAAGAATAATTTTGGAAAACTCACACTGCTTTCAAAAGTTACTATAAAACTACAGTGGCCAGGCACAGTGGCTCACGCCTGTAATCCCAGCACTTTGGGAGGCCAAAGTGGGCGGATCACAAGGTCAGGAGATCAAGACCATCCTGGCCAACATGGTGAAACCCCGTCTCAACTAAAAATACAAAAATTAGCTGGGTGTGGTGGCGCGTGCCTGTAATCCCAGCTACTCGGGAGGCTGAGGCACGAGAATCACTTGAACCCAGTAGGAGGTTGCAGTGAGCCGAGATCACACCACTGCACTCCAGCCTGGCGACAGAGCAAGACTCCATCTCAAAAAAAAAAAAAAAAAAACTACAGTAACTGAGACAGTGTGGTATTTACATTAGGTGGGACACTTAGATCAGAGAAGCAGGATACATTCCAGAAATGGACCCCAGGCTACCATGACACTTCAGTGAGAAAGGGTGGCCTTTCCAACAGAGGCACAACTGGATCCACATGCAAAAAAAAAAAAAACCTCTCCATTTTTACCTCCTACAATATATGATAATTAACTCAAAACGAGCCAGGCATGGTGGCTCACGCTTGTAATCCCAATACTTTGGGAGGCCAAGACAGGTGGATCACTTGACGTCAGGAGTTTGACACCAGCCTGGCCAACATGGTGAAACCCCATCTCTACTAAAATACAAAAACATACCAGGCACGGTGTCTCACACCTGTAATCCCAGCACTTTGGGAGGCCGAGGCGGGCGGATCATGAGGTCAGGAGATTGAGACCATCCTGGCTAACACGATGAAACCCCGTCTCTACTAAAAATACAAAAAATTAGCCAGGTGTGGTGGTGGGTGCCTGTAGTCCCAGCTACTCGGGAGGCTGAGGCAGGAGAATGGCATGAACCCGGGAGGTGGAGTTTGCAATGAGCCGAGATTGTGCCACTGCACTCCAGACTGGGTGACAGAGTGAGACTCCATCTCAAAAAAAAAAAAAAAAATACAAAAACATTAGCTGGGCATGGTGGTAGGTGCCTGTAATCCCAGCTACTAGGGAGGATGAGGCAGGTAGAATCGCTTGAACCTGGGAGGCGGAGGTTGCAGTGAGCCGAGATCACGCTGTTGTACTACAGCCAGGGAGACAAAGCAAAACTCCGTCTCAAAAAAACAAATGGATCATAACCTAAATAAAAAATCTAAAAGTATAAAACTTCTGCTCTTCTAAAGACTCTGTTGAGAAAACTCACCTGTAACCTCAGCACTTTGGGAGGCCAAGGCAGGAGGATTGCTTGAGTCCAGGGGTTCAAGACCAGCTTGGGCAACATAGCAAGACCCCATCTCTACAAAAAAAAAGTGTTTTAAAAATTAGCTTGGCATGGCGGCACACACCTATAGTCCCAACTACTCAGGAGGCTAAGGTGGGAGGATCACTTCAGCCCAGGGGGTCACAGCTGCAGTGAGGCGGGATCATGCCACTGTACTTCAGCTGGAGTGACAGCAAAACTCTGTCTCTCAAAAAAGAAAAAAAAGAAAAAGAAAATTAAAATACAAATCACAGACTGGGATAAAATATTTGTAAAACACATTATCTGATAAAGAACTTGTTTCTAGCATATCTAAAGAACTCTCACAACTCACAAACAACTCAATGAGAAACGAGGCAAAAGACTTGAACATTTCGTTACAGAAAATATACAAAGGGTTACTTGCTTAAAAACATGTCCAATGTCATTAATCAAGGAAATGCAAATCAAAACAACAATGAGACACCACTCCCTGCCTATGAGAACAGCCAAAATCCAGAGCCCTGACAATACCAAATGCTGACAAGGATAGGGAGCAAGAGGGACTCTCATTCACTGTGGATTTTTTTTAAGAGACTTTATTTTTTAGAGCAGGTTTAGGTTTACAGCAAAATTGAGCAGAGGTACAGAGTTCCCATATACCCTCCACTCCCACACAACGCACAGCCTCCCCGATTACCAATACCACAGAACGCAGGATACCGGGAGTGAACCCTGATGTAAACTATGGGCTCTGAGTGACCATGGTGCACTGACGTAGGTTCAACAGCTATAATAATGTGCACACTGGTGGGGGCATTGTGCCTTTAGCTCAGATTTGCCTGACAAGGGTCTGTTAGGTTTATCAGCAGCTGTTTGGAAGGAGAAGGGCTGCTCATCACCTGATTACCATTTTGGTTCCTGAAAGCTCTGGGGAGAAAATAGTTCAGCCCAGATGAATGTAAAGGTATCCAAGCATAAAGCGGTGCTGTCGTTCTAAACCAGAATCAGGAAAAATGCCTGCCATGGAACCTAAAACTACATGTAGCTAAAGAATTGCTGGCAGGACTCCCAGGGGAGGCGCTCTCTCCAAGACCTAGGAGTGCAGGCAGGAAGTCCATGAACCACCTCGAGAGCAAAGAGTTCAGTGATTACCAAGAAGACACAGAAGTAAAGGGGGATGCTGGCAGAGGACAGTGCTGGAAAAGATCAGAGGGGCAGATGGCTGGCAGCTCTCGACCCCACCTCCCTGCCCTTCCTGCTCCGCGTGGCTCACAGGCCCATGACCAAATGGACACATCAGAAATAAGAGATCTATGAGCTAGACACAGTCCCTAGCAGGCAAAATGTTGGAAGGGACAGAGTCCTGCTCCACTCAGATGAGCAGATCCCAAGACAGGTCTTAAATCAAGGAGGGTGGGGTATGCAGGTGTGGAGTTGGGTGAATGACACTGCTAGAAAAATAATACCATAGGCCGGATGCGGTGGCTCACACCTGTAATCCTAGCACTTTGGGAGGCCGAGGCGGGTGGATCATGAGGTCGGGAAATCAAGACCATCCTGGCCAACACACTGAAACCCTGCCTCTACTAAAAATACAAAAAATTAGCCAGGCATGGTGGTGGGCGCCTGTAGTCCCAGCTACTTGGGAGGCCAAGGCAGGAGAATGGTGTGAACCCAGGAGGCGGAGCTTGCAGTGAGCAGAGATCGCGCAACTGCACTCCAGCTTAGGTGACACAGCGAGACTCCATCTCAAAAAAAAAAAGAAAAGAAAAAGAAAAAGAATACCATAAAACTGGAGGTTTTCAAAATGAATGGCTTGATCTAGGACACTTTAAAGGTATTATGACCAGGCACGATGGTCTGGGAGTTAGAGGCTGCAGTGAGCTATGATCGTTCCACTAGAATCCACCTGGGCAACAGAACGAGACTCTGTCTTTAAAAAAAAAATTACATAAATAAATAAAGGGATCATGCACTTTTGTCTACAATCCCTATTACAATGATGAAATGGCCAGATCTAACTAGAAGGAGTGAGTTAGCTTTGGAATTATTAGCCATCTGAACAGCCAATTTTATTTTATTTTTTGGAAATGTAATTCACATATCATAAAATTTACCAATTTAAAGTGTACAATTCAATGGTCTTTAGTGTATCAACAATGTTATGCAACCACTACCACTATCTAAATTCCAGAATGTTTCCATCACCCCTAAAAGAAACCCCATGCCAATTAGCATGAACAATTTTTAAAATAAACACGGTATGGGCCAGAAACACGCCAAGAAAGACACCATGAGCCCCACTGAGATGGCAGGGGTGACACTGGGGTTCAGGAGCTCCAGGGGAAGCTCCTGAATGCTGGCAGTGTGGCCGTGCCATCCCCAAAAGAACCTAGGGTTTCTTTACATGCCAAGAGAAAGTGCCAAGTCTTTTAGCCTAAGTCCTACAGGGAGTAACTGGAAAACGTACTGGAGCAACTGGAAATTTAATGTAAAATATGCAAAGAAGGCCGGGTCCAGTGGCTCACGCCTGTAATCCTAGCACTTTGGGAGGCTGAGGCAGGCGATTGCCTGAGCTCAGGAGTTCAAGACTAGCCTGGGCAACACGATGAAACCCCATCTCTACTAAAATACAAAAAATTAGACAGGTGTGGTAGCATGTGCCTGTAGTCCCAGCTACTCGGGAGGCTGAGGCAGGAGAATGGCGTGAACCCGGGAGGCTGAGCTTTCAGTGAGCTGAGATCACACCACTGCATTCCAGCCTGGGTGACAAAGTGAGACTCCGTCTCAAAAAAAAAAAAAAAAAAGAAAGAAAGAAAGAAAGCAAAGAAATGTAATTCATTATCTTAAGTTAAAAAAAAAATGGTCTATGTTGGCCAGGCGCGGTGGCTCACACCTGTAATCCCAGCACTTTGCGGGGCTGAGGCAGATGGATCACCTGAGGTCAGGAGTTCGAGACCAGCCTGGCCAATGTGGTGAAACCTTGTCTCTACAAAAAATACAAAAATTAGCCGGGCATGGTGGCAGATGCCTGTAATCCCAGCTAGTCAGGAGGTTGAGGCAGGGGAATCACTTAAACCCAGGAGGCAGACGTTGCAGTGAGCTGAGATCACGCCATTGCATTCCAGCCTGGGCAACAACAGCAAAACTCTGTCAAAAAAAAAAAAAAAGTCTACGTTTTTACGTTTTTATTTCAGGTTAGAGGAAGAGGCTCAATTAAGGAGTGGGTTTTTTTTTTGTTTTTTTTTTTTTGAGACGGAGTCTGACTGTCACTCAGGCTGGAGTGCAGTGGCACCATCTCGGCTCACTGCAACCTCTGTCTCACGGGTTCACGCCATTCTCCTGCCTCAGCCTCCCAAGTAGCTGGGACTACAGGCGCCCGCCACAACGCTCGGCTAATTTTTTGTATTTTTAGTAGAGACGGGGTTTCACCGTGTTAGCCAAGATGGTCTCAATCTCCTGACCTCATGATCTGCCCACCTCGGCCTCCCAAAGTGCTGGGATTACAGGCGTGAGCCACCACGCCCAGCCAGGAGTAGGTTTTTGTTTTGTTTTGTTTTGTTTGTTTTTGTTTTTTTGAGACAGGGAATTACTCTGTCACTAAGGCTGTAATGCAGTGGCATGATCATAGCTCACTGCAGCCTTGACCTCCCAGGCTCAAGCAATCCTCCCACCTCAGCTTCCCAAGATGCTGCAACTACAGGCACACATCAGCACGCCTGGCTAATTTTTTTTTAGTACAGATGGGGTCTCATCATGTTGCCCAGGCAGGTCTCAAACTCCTGGGTTCAAGTGATCCTCCTGCCTCAGCCTCCCAAAGTGGTGGGATTACAAGCATGAGCCACTGTACCCGGCCTGAAGTGGGAATTTTTGACATTTATTCTAAAAATCAACGTCGAATCAGGCAGACATGTCATCTGGAAACCAGACTTCAAATCAGAAGAGCACATTCCCCTTCGCACCCAAGCCCCTCCCTTAATTTGGCTTGTGATTACTCCCCTTGTTGAACTGGAAAATCTCAGAGTAAAATGCCATGCCTGTGCATGAAGAACCTGACACGGATTTTCAAATCTCTCTAGGGGGTGAAAAGGTACAGGTCATGCTGCTTAAGTTTCAAGTCAAGGAGTCCGAGAAGAGGCAGTGAGGCCGAGGAGCAGAGCATGGGCTCTGAAGTCTGACTCCCCACTTTCTGGCCGCTAACCCTCAGCTTCAACTGTCTGTGCCTCAGTCTGCCCATCTGTAGAACAGGGATAATAAAGATACCTATTTTAAGGCCAGGCGCTGCGGCTCACGCCTGTAATCCCAGCACCTTGGGAGGCCGAGGCGGGCAGATCACGAGGTCAGGAGATCGAGACCATCCTGGCTAACACAGTGAAACCCCGTCTCTACTAAAAATACAAAAAAATTAGCTCGGCGTGGTAGCAGGCACCTGTAGTCCCAGCTACTCGGGAGGCTGAGGCAGGAGAATGGCATGAACCCGGGATGGGGAGCTTGCAGTGAGCCAAGATCACGCCACTGCACTCCAGCCTGGGAGACAGAGCGAGACTCCGTCTAAAAAATAAAAATAAAAAATAGAAATACCTATTTTGTAGGGCTACTATGAAGGCTAAATGGATCACTACAGGGAAAGCCCTTGGAGACGTATACTACCAGCTTGGCTATTGTTAACTATTACCGAGCAATCTGGGTTTAGAATGTTGGGAAACCTTCTTTCCAGCCAGAAAGAAGGTTCTGGCAACCTGAATGTAACCCAATTCCACTCCCTCCATGTGGTGATAAAGTGAGAGACCTCACAGCAGTCAGGTTCCCATCCTCTGACTGGGTCTTGAAAGAAAATCAACCAAGGAGAAAAGTTTCCACTTCTAGCAACAAAGGCTGAACCTACTCAGTGGACAGGAGCTGGGGAAGGAACTGTGAGTGCTCTGGGGCTTAAGCCTAGACCGGGGCTACCGTGGGAGACCTCTGTCCTGTGCAGATGTGCCCCGAGACCCATCTCCAGCCCTTCCTTGCCTCCCCCAGGCATGGAACACAGGAACCATTAATACCAGCCCGCCCTCAGCCAGGGAAGAAGTACCAGTCCATAGGGTTGGGAGGGGCACAAACGGTGGGTGAGGGGGTGCTTGGAAGCAACCTTCGCCTTACTCACTTCTCACCCGCACTTCTCCCCTTGTCTTAGTTCTAGGGTTAAAGGTGGTGGTGTGGCTAAACCATGAGGACAGCTGGGAGATTTGGATAAACTAATCCATTTCACCTGGCCCAACCCCGCTCCCAATCAGCCCCTGTAGCCACTGGCCAACAAAATTCACCCTGAATTCCTCAAATCTGCTGTGCACTTTCCTGTCTTCATGTGTTTGTTCAATGGCCTGCTTCCTCTATTGACTGACCCTATGTGGTCCAGCCTAGCCCCTGGCAGGAGGAAAGTACCCTGCCCACGGCTGGTACAGTGGAAATGAATACAAATTTCTGTGTGATATATACCCGAACCCTACCTTTCCTCGCGTGACCCAGGAATTGTATTTCTTGGAATTCACCCTAAGAACATGACCATACAAAGGCTTACTCACTAGACGTCTTCAGCTATTAACAATCATGTTTCTGGCTGGGCATGGTGGCTCACACCTGTAATCCCAGCACTTCGGGAGACCGAGATGGGCAGACTACTTTGAGGCTAGGAGTTTGAGACCAGCCTGGCCAACATGGTGAAACCCCATCTCTATTAAAAATACAAAAAAATTGGCCGGGCGTGGTGGCTCACGCCTGTAATCCCAGCATTTGGGAGACCGAGGCAGGTGGATCACAAGGTCAGGAGTTTGAGACCAGCCTGACCAACATAGCGAAACCCCGTCTCTACTAAAAATACAAAAATTAGCTGGTCATGGTGGCACGCACCTGTAATCCCAGCTACTTAGGAGGCTGGGGCAGGATAATCACTTGAACCCAGGAGGTGGAGGTTGAAGTGAGCTGAGATTGCACCACTGCACTCCAGCTTGGGTGACAGAGCAGGACTCTGTCTCAAACAAAACAGAACAAAAATATAAAAAATTAGCCAGGCATGGTGACACACACTTGTCCCAGCTGCTTGGGAGGCTGAGGCATGAGAATCACTTAAACTCAGGAGGCAGAGGTTGCAGTGAGCCAAGATCGTGTCACTGCACTTCAGTCTGGGCCACAGAGCTGGACCCTGTCTCACAAAAAAAAAAAAAAATCATGTTTCTGAAGTGTTTGATGACAGAAAAAAGGCTAAAAATATATTAATAAGCAGAAAAGGATAACTATGTTGGATGAAAGCTTTGTTAAAATACATGTATTATATTTAATACGCATCAAAGAAAAACGAGGGCTGGGTGTGGTGGCTCACCTGTAATCCTAGCACTCTGGGAGGACAAGATGGGTGGATCACGAGGTCAGGAGCTAGAGACCAGCCTGGCCAACATGATGAAACCCTGTTTCTACTAAAAATACAAAAAAAAATTAGCCGGGTGTGGTGGCGCACACCTGTAATCCCAACTACTAAGGAGGCTGAGGCAGGAGAATCACTTGAACTTGGGAGGCGGATGTTGCAGTAAGCCGAGATCGCACCACTGCACTCCAGCCTGGGTGACATAGTGAGACCCTGTCTCCCCTACTCCCCCACAAAAAAACTAGAAAGAACCAGATCAAAGTGCTAACAGCATCTCTCTCCAGGTGGTGGGATTGTAGATGTGGATTCTTGTTGCCTTTGCTCTTTCGTTTAGTTTGATCAGGACATCCACTATGAGTGTGACCCTTCTTCTGGCAACAGCATCTCAACTCCTCTGGGAAGCCACGCCTCTGCCACCAACTGCAGCCTTTTAGGACAGTCCATCAGGGCACCCAGGGCTGGGTGTGGGACCCAAGCTCAGCTGATGGGCCTCCCTCTCCTGGGGACTAGGAATCTTGGGCAATGAAACCCAAGGATGGAGAAAGGGCGCTTCAGCGTCTTGGGCTGTTTGCTGGAGAGACGGTCTGCGGGCTCTGCCCCTACGGCCTCAGGCCTGCTTCCTCGGGCTTCCCTTTGATTCCCTGAGCAAGGCAATATCCTTCTAATCAGTCCTGCCTTTGTTCAAGTGAGCCAGAGCCTGTTGATGTTACTGTGACTGGGGTCCTGACATCCCTTTCCTCTTAAATATGCGCGGTTTCCAAATCCTCTCCAGTGAATGCAGGCTACCTCCAGGGGAACACACTGGCGGTGGGCACAGGCTCTTGACAGGCAGACCCGGAGCAGGCCTCACTGGCTGGCCAAGCGTCAGACCTGGTAAATGAGCTGCCTCATCCCTCTGAGCCTCAGTTTCTTCATCTGTCAAATCAGAAGAGTTTTCTTGTTTCACAGGCAGCTGTTGTAAACCTCAAAAGTGAGAATAAAGGGACATTGCCTGGCGTATCAAAGGTGTCAAATGAATGGCAAGCACTGTACTCGCCGGTGTTTAATAACTCTCTGTTGGACAAATGAATCTACTCATTTAACAACAAACGCTGAGTCCTCCCAGTGTGCCACCCTGCGCTGGGTGCTGGGCTTGACAGTGGGCAGGAGGGTGAGAGCCCAGCCTGCACAGGTCCCAGCCCAGTCAGGAGATGGACCAAGAACAAGCCACAGACGAAAACACAAACCCATTTCAAGTGGTGGGAAGTGTCATCCAAAAAACAAGATGGAGAAAGAATACACTTCAATATGATGGTCACGAAATGTGGGGAGACTTCTGGGCCGAGGCCTCGTGGACAAGAAGGCACCAGACCTAGGGGTGGGAGGAGAACATTCCAAGCCAAAAGCTGCTGGAGAAGCACACAGAGAGGGGGGCACAGTGGGTGGAGAGGCAGGCAGGCCCTGCAGGTCATGCTCAGGAGGGTGTATGTGGTTTTTAAAGGGAAACTATTCAGAGGTTTCAAGTCAGGAGCTGCCATGATCTGCTCTGTGAGGGCCTTGTCAGCCTGCATGGAACTGAAAGGAGCAGGCAGTTTAGGAGGCCCTGTCAGCTGTACTGGCAGTAAATGCCAAGATGCTGGCAATGAGAAGAGACAGAAGCAGACAGGTGCCAGGCACGTTTTCGAAATCGGTCCCATGGGACATGGGACTCACCAACAGGCTGGAAGTGAGGGCTTAGAGGAAGACATCAGCACGGCCCCTGATTTCCGACCTGAGGCCACCAGACAGCACTGCCATGCACAAGGAAACCAGCACCCCAGGGACAGATACATCGGGTCTGAGTGTCTGGAGCTCAGAGGGCAGTCCCGGGCCGAGGCAACGCAGGTGGGACAGCTGGCACAAAGACAGTATCTAAATCCCCAGGAACGGATGAATGAGGCCATGTCGTTCATCTCACTCCCACAACTGCTGGTCAACCACCATGGCCACCCAGTGAAACTCCAGCTGAAATAGTGACTCCAGTCCCGCAATCCTTAAACTTGAGGGTGTATGAGAATCACCTGGCGGGCTCGTCAGACCCACATTGCTACTCCCAGAGTGTCTGATTCAGAAGGTGTAGGGTGGGGCTGAAAAATGTCCACTCCTAAGGAGTCTCCAAGGGATGCTGACTCTGGTCTCAGGACTCACTTTGGGATCACTGCTCGACCTGAAACAGTGGGCCTGGCCCACACTCTGAATCCACATTTACTGGCTGCAGGTAAGATACTCCTCTCTCCTAAGTATAAGTGAACTCGTGCTCCTAGCGTGTTAAAAGGGGGTCAGCGAAGGCCGGCCATGGTGGTGCGTGGTGCGCAGCTGTGTTCCCAGCTACTCAAGAGGCTGAGGTGGGAGGATCACTTGAGCCCAGGAGTTCGAGGCTGCAGTGAGCTGGGATGGCACCTGTGAGTGGCCACTGCACTCCAGCCTGGGTGACAGAACAAGACCCACTCTCTAAAATCATGAGGGATGTCAGGGTAACTAGGGAACAAGGTGTCATGAGGACATGATGAAACAGTGGGCACCAAGCACCCACATAATGCCAGAGCAACTGTTCAGCAAGTGTGATTCCCACTGAGCACACAGAGGGCACGCTATGTTGGCTGAATGTGTGAATTTCTTTTTTTTTTTTTAAATTAAGTTTTTTTGTGGGGGGACAGTCTCGCTCTGTCACCCAGGCTGGAGTGCAGTGGCACGATCTTGGCTCACTGCAACCTCCACCTCCCAGGTTCAAGCAATTCTCATGCCTCAGCCTCCCAAGTAGCTGGGACTACAGGCATGAACCACTACACCCAGCTGATTTTCGTATTTTTAATAGAGATGGGGTTTCACCATGATGGCCAGGCTGGTCTTGAACTCCCAGCCTCAGGTGACCCACCTGCATCGGCCTCCCAGAGTTCTGGGATTACAGGCGTGAGCCACCGCGCCTGACCATGAATTTCATTTAAATATGGAATCCAGGCCAGGCACGGTGGCTCACGCCTATAATCCCAGCACGTTGGGAGGCCGAGGCAGGCACATCACCTGAGCTCAGGAGTTCGAGACCAGCCTGGCCAACATGGCAAAACCCCGTCTCTACTAAAAATACAAAAAAAATTACCTGGATGTGGTGGTAGGCACTTGTAATCCCAGCTACTCAGGAGGCTGAGACAGGAGAATTGCTTGAACCCAGTGATCTTGGCAGTGAGCCAGGATCGTGCCATTGCACTCCAGCCTGTGCAACAACAAGAGCAAAACTCTGTCTCAAAAAAAATGGGAATCCAGAGCGGAAAGGTCATGTGAAGAACATGAAAGAACTCATGCCTGAAGGTTTGACGCCCCCAGAGCAGGAGGGGCTCTGGACTGAAGATCTTGCCTTCCTCAGCTCGGGAAGAGCTGCTCCAACGTCCCCAGGGAGGGCCGGCCCTGACCCCTCCGGCATGAGTGCTCTCCTCCAGGGCCACAGACCTTTCCTCTGGGTTTGGCAACTGCAAGTTCCCAATTTCCAGAAAGGTCTCAATTTCATGCAACTCTAATTCTTTTCAATAAAGATAATAAAGTGAGTATACAGCAAAATGAACTTTACCCACCTCACCTTTTTAAGACTTTTCATGTTAATGCATCCACGTGCCTTCAGGCCCTCCCCAGGCATGGTTCTCACCCTTCAAAGGCCTACTCTGGGCCAGGCTAACCTGACACAGTGACAGGCACCCTTCCTGGAGAACCTGCATCATAAGAGGCCCCATCTAGAGCCTCAGGCTGGAGAGGTCCTTGGGGAGCAGAAAGCCGCTGTCACAGAGGTGGGGGAGTGCTGTGAGGGTCCATCCCCTTTCCACAGGCAGGCTGAGCCCCGTACCCCTCACCTGTGATGCATGGGGTAAGGGCTCAGCTGAGCAGACGCACGCCTTACCTTCTCATAGGGACAGTACTTGAACATCTTGATGGGGCTTGTGCAGATGAAGACGTCAGTGCTGTCAACAAGAGAAAGGAGGTTGAGCCTGCAGCCCCATGACTTCACCACCCCGAGGCCTTCACCACCTGCCCTGCCTTCACAGGGCTGGACCCTCTGAGTCTGAACCCTTCCCCTGCTGTGGGAGACCCACTCCCCTGTACTATATCCACACCAGAGGTGTCGGCCTATCCCATGGCCCTGGGCAGCCACATGACCCTACCCAGCCACAGGCAGCCAGCTCTGGGCTGGACATCTGACTGGAGGGCCTCCTGCAATGCAGAGTGGTAAGTCAAGAAATCTATGAGGAAGAAGGATTCTGGCATGCAAGTCCCCTGGCCTGGAGAACACAGAGAAGGAGCCTACTCCATGCCAGGCTAAGCCCTGCAGTGATCGAGTCCCTGAAACACAGGCTTGGCCTTGGCTTGGCTTGGCTCCGCGTGAGGAGCGCCACATCCCCAAGGTCGTAGCTCCGCGGGAGAGCTGACCCAAATGGCCTCCCAGGTGCCTGCGCCCTCATGCCCACAGGGCCCCAGCCCTCACTAATGGAGCCACCTGGTCCCAAACACCCTCATGAGGCTGGCGTTCGCTACTGGAGCCTGTGCCTCCTGCACGTCTTGCTGAGCCTCTGGAAGATGGCACTTTGCTGACGCTTTCTCTCTGGCAAACGCGTCCCTCAACAGGCAGAGGTGAGACTCCCGGGTCCCTGGGCACAGGGTGTGCCCTCTCATTACCTGATACTTGGCACTACCTCCACCAACCACGCAATCCCCTCTCCTAAAGACTCAGCCTCTCCCCAGCATCCTCACTCCTGCCCCAACCAAAACTGGCCTCACACGAAGGGAGCACCTCCCCAACTCGCCTCTGAGTGACAGCTGCCTCTTCCTCATCCCCCACAGACTTCAGAGATGGCAGGTGAGGGCAGCGTCTGCCTTCTCCACTGCTCCTTCCAGATCCCTGATGCCAATGCCCACACTCGACAGCACACCCCTAGAGCCCTTCCTACTCACTGTCACCTACCATTGCCAGTTACTGTCCCTTATGCACCTCACTCGCTGGCTCGCCATCCTCTCCATTCCTGCTCTATCACCATCCTCAGTGACTTGACACACACATGTCCACATATATGTGTGTGCATAGGTACAGATCCAACACCTTGTCGCTCAGTTCCTAACCCTCCCCACCTCCAAACAACTTCCTCTCCACCTCCAAACACCCAACCTCCAATACCTCTCCTAGTGTCACCCCCGGAGCTTGGAATCACTTCCCCCCAAAACCTCGTCTCAGGCTTTGCCTCCCTGGCCACCACCCACGACGCTTCAGCAAATGCATTATCTCATTCTGTACTCAACTCTTCAGCCTCGTGGAGACACCCTCCTTGTCCCAGCTTAGCGGCCTGCCTTCATCCAGCTGGGGCCCAGCCTTCGCTGCCATCCTCTGCTTGTGCTTCTCATCCTCCACCCAGGCCTGTCTGGCCAGGCCCTGAAGGAGCCCAGCTATCCCACTGCTCCCACCTGCACCCAAGCAACTAAATGTTGCCGGAGAAGAAAATTCACATCATCAGTTGGACTTGTTTCACCTTCAATTCCTGACACCAAGCCAGGGCCTGCAGCTGCCTGGCAGCTCTCTTCAATGCCCTCTCTGGTGCTCTGGGCACAGCCAGGACACACCCGCCCCATTTCCTCAACCTTCTTGTGGGTGAGACTCCAAGCCCACCTCATCATGGATCTGGAGACTCACCTGCCGCCGGGCTCACTTCTTCCTCCCTTCCTGCTGCACAGGAGGAAGCCACACCACTCCCTTCTCCTGGGCTCCACCTGTGCCCTGGATCCTCCCCCTCTGCCCTTCACAGACACTATGCCCTGCAATACCCGCTTGCTATCCTTCTCCACAATCCTTATTCAAACGTGTGCTGGAACCTCCCAAATGCCCACTTGCTATCCTCCTCCATGAACCTCATTCAAACGCATGCTGGCACCTCCCGAATGCCCGCTTGCTATCCTTCTCCATGACTCCTCATTCAAACACGTGCTGGCACCTCCCGAATGCCCGCTTGCTATCCTCCTCCATGACTCCTCATTCAAACGTGTGCTGGCACCTCCCGCCTTAGATATATACACACACAGCCTTGACCCCCACATTCCAGCTGCTCCCTTCGAAGCAGAATGTCCCCGACAAGCTGCCTCCACCTACCGACCCCACTCCCTCGCCTCCTGCTCCTGCTTCAATCCACTCTAGACTGGGCCTGCCCCTTCACTCCACAGAAATTGCTCCTTGTCACCAAAGACCCTAGTGTCCCTCTGTCCAATGCCCATCTCACCATCCTCACCCACAGGTACTCAGCCCAGCTGGCCACGCCAGCTCTCCTGGGCTCCCCTATCCTGGGTCCTAGCCTGCGCTCCTGGCCTCCTGATCCTCGCCAGCCACCCAGCCCAGACTCCCCGTCTACTCCTCTCCTGACCGCTCCAGGTTGGGTCTAGGCCCTCGGGGGCTCTCAGCCTGCACTCCTGCTTTAAACACCATGTGCATGCTGATGCGTCCCAACCTCTCCCAGCACCAAGTTTCCACCCACCTGGACGCCTCACACACCTCACACAGGATTTCCAACGTGGGAAACGTGATCCCCTACTCCTAAAGCGTGTCTCTCCCCGAGTCTTCCCTCAGTTCCTAGTCTATTTTAGATAAACAGAGATGATAAAGACAGAGCTCTGCTCAAGCAAAACACCTAAAAATCACCTATTTTTCCTACCTTTATTCCACCCCCAATATCAGATCCATCCCCAGGTCTTATGGGTCCCGCCAAAGCACACGTCATCCACCCACCTCTCTCCACAGACCTCACCCTAGTCAAACTGAGTCGTCTCCCACTGAGCGGCTGCAACCACCTCCACTGACTCTTCAACTTCCAGTTCTCACCCCTCCAAGCCATTTCCACCCAGCATCCAGACCCACTCTTTTTAAACAGCTTTACAGAGGTATAAATAATATAATAATCAACATGCAATAAACTGCACATATTAAAAGGGTACAATTCAATAAATTTGAACATAAAGACATACGTGGGAGGCTGGGCGTGGTGGCTCACGCCTGTAATCCCAGCACTTTCAGTGGCCAAGGCAAGCAGATCACCTGAGGTCAGGAGTTCAAGACCAGCCTGGTCAACATGGTGAAACCCTGTCTATACTAAAAATAGAAAAATAGCCGGACGTGGTGATGAGCACCTGTAGTCCCAGCTACTCGGGAGGCTGAGGCAGAAGAATCACTTGAATCCAAAAGGCGGAGGTTGCAGTGAGCCGAGATCACACCACTGCACTCCAGCCTGACGACAGAGCGAGACTCCGTCTCAAAATAAAGAAAGAAAGAAATATTTAAAAAAAGTAAAAGACACACATGGGAAACCCAGATCACCACAATCAAGAAATAAACACGCCTGCCACCCTCAAAGGTTCTCCTTTGTTATCTCTCCCAGCTGTCCCTCCCGTCCCTCCCTGCCCCTGGGGCCCTAGGCAACCACCCATCTACTTTCCATCAGTACAGATTGGATAGTATTTTCTAGAATGTTACATAAAAGAAAGTATAGTCTATACTCTGTTTTGCCTGGCTTCTTTCATCCAGCAAAACTATTCTGATATTCGCCCATAGTGTTAAATAAATGTATCAACAGTGTGTCCTAATTGTTAAATAAATGTATCAATAGTTTGTCCTAAATTTTTAAATGTTTGAGTAAACATTTCTTAAAAGTTTTACTGAGATAGAATTCATATATCCTAATATTCACCTATTTTAAGTGTATAATTAAATAAATGTTAGTATATTTACAGGGTTTTACAGCCATCACCACAATCGAATTTAAAGACACTTCCATCACCCCAAAAAGAAGCCCCATTCCCATTAAGCAGTCATTCCCACAGCCCCTCCCCACAGCCCGGGGAACCAGGGGCTGCCTAGCTCTAAGGATTTGCCTCTTGTTCAGAAACTTTTTTTTTTTTTTTTCTAAGACGAGGTCTCACTCTTGCCCAGGCTGGAGTGCAGTAGCTCAATCTCAGCTCACTGCAACCTCTGCCTCACAGGTTCAAGCAATTCTTCTACCTCAGCCTCCCCGCAAGCAGCTGGGATTACAGGCACCCACCAACACGCTCAGCTAATTTTTGTATTTTTAGTAGAGGTGGGGTTTCACCATGTTGCCCAGGCTGGTCTCGAACTCCTGACCTCTGGTGATCCACGTGCCTCGGCCTCCCAAAGCACTGGGATTACAGGGGTGAGCCACCACGCCCGCCCCATAATATTTCACATAAATAGAATCCTACAATACGTGGCCTTCTGTGTCTGGCTTCTTTCACTCAGTATCATGTTTTCAAGGTTCATTCATGTTGCCACATGAATGGGTAGGTCATTCCTTTTTTTTTTTTTTTTTTTTTTTTGAGACGGAGTTCTGCTCTTGTTGCCCAGGCTGGAGTGCAATGGCGTGATCTCGGCTCACTGCAACCTCCGCTCCCCAGGTTCAAGGGATTCTCCTGCCTCAGCCTTCCGAGGAGCTGGGATTACAGGTATGTGCCACCACGTCCAGCTAATTTTGTATTTTTAGTAGAGACAGAGTTTCTCCATGTTGGTAAGGCTGGTCTCAAACTCCGGACCTCAGATGATCCGCCCGCCTCAGCCTCCCAAAGTGCTGGGATTACACACTTGAGCCACTGCGCCCAGACTTTTTTTTTTTTTTTTTTTTTTTGAGACAGAGTCTCGCTTTGTTACCCAGGCTGGAGTTCAGTGGCACGATCTAGACTCACTGCAACCTCCCGTTTCCCCAGTTCAAGTGATTCTCCTGGGTCAGCCTCCCAAGTAGCTGGGATTACAGGTGCCTGCCACCAAGCCTGGCTAATTCTTTTTGTATTTTTAGTAGAGACGGGGTTTCGCCGTGTGGCACTGGCTGGTTTCAAACTCCTGAGCTCAGGCAATCTGTCCCCCTCAGCCTCCCAAAGTGCTGGGATTACAGGCATGAGCCACCATGCCCGGCAGTCATTCCTTTTTATAGCTGAAACATATTCCATTGTGTGGCTACGTCACATTTTAAATATCCATCCATCACTTAGTGGATACTTGGGGTTGCTGTGAATAGTGTTGCTGGGACATTCGGGTACTAGTATTTGTTTGAATACCTGTTTTCAATTCCGTGGATATACACCTATGAGTTGAATTGCTGGCTCATACAGTGAGTCTATGTCTAACTTTTTTTTTTTTTTTTTTTTTGATCATGGAGTCTCACTCTGTCACCTAGGCTGGAGTCCAGTGGCATGATCTCAGCTCACTGCAACCTCCACCTCCTGGGTTCAAGCGATTCTCCTGCCTCAGTCTCCCAAGAGCTGGGATTACAGGTGCCTGCCACCATGCCTAGCTAATTTTTGTATTTTTAGTAGACAGGATTTCATCATGTTGGCCAGGCTGGTCTCAAACTCTTGACCTCAGGTGATTCGCCCTCCATGGCCTTCCAAAGTGCTGGGATAACAGGCGTGAGCCACCATGCCCGGCCTAACATTTGGAGGAAATGTTTTTCAAGGTGTTTTTCCACACTGGCTGCACTGTTTTATATTCACACCCACAATGTGAATTGTGGTTTTTTTAGAGACTGTCTCACTCTATGTTGCCCAGGCTGGCCTTCCGGCCTTCTGTTGCCCTTCTCAGCCTTCTGAGTAGCTGGGAGCACAGGTGAGCGCCACTCACCCAGCTCCTCCTTGTGGTTTTGACTTGCATTTCCCTAATGACTGATGATGTTTTCAGGTAGTTACTGGCCATCTGTATATCTTCATTGGAAAAATGTCTATCCAAATTCATTGCCCCAAATCCACATTTTAAAAACCTAAATTGGCCGGGAGCAGTGGCTCACGCCTGTAATCCCAGCACTTTGGGAGGCCGAGGTGGGCAGATCACCAGGTCAGGAGATCGAGACTAACCTGGCTAATACGGTGAAACCCTGTCTCTACTAAAAATACAAAAAATTAGCGGGGCATGGTGGCAGGCACCTGTAGTCTCAGCTACTCGGGAGGCTGAGGCAGGAGAATGGCATGAACCCAGGAGGCAGAGCTTGCAGTGAGCCGAGATCATGCCACAGCACTCCAGCCTGGGCGACAGAGCGAGACTCTGTCTCAAAAAAAAAAAACAAAAACAAAAACAAAAACAAAAAACAAAAAACCTAAGTTATGGCCAGGCACGGTGGCTCATGCCTGTAATCCCAGCACTTTGGGAGGCCGAGGCGGGTGGATCATGAGGTCAGGAGATCGAGACCATCCAGGCTAACAGGGTGAAATGCTGTCTCTACTAAAAATACAAAAAATTAGCCAGGCGTGGTAGCATGTGCCTATAGTCCCAGCTACTCTGGAGGCTGAGGCAGGAGAATCGCTTAACCCGGGAGGCAGAGGTTGCAGTGAGCTGAGATTGCGCCACTGCATTCCAGCCTGGGCAACAGAGCGAGACTCCATCTCAAAAAAAAACAAAAACAAAACAAAACAAAACAAAACAAAAAACAAAACCCTAAGTTATGGCTGGGCACGGTGGCTCACTTCTGTAATCCCAGCACTTCGGGAGGCCGAGGAGAGCTGATCACCCAAGGTTAGGAGTTCCAGACCAGCCTGGCCAACATGGTGAAACCCCATCTCTAATAAAAATACAAAAATTAGCCAGGTGTGGTGGCGGGCGCCTGTAATCCCAGCTACTCAGGAGGCTGAGGCAGGAGAATCACTTGAACCCGGGAGGCAAAGGTTGCAGCGAGCCAAGATCATGCCATTGCACTCCAGCCTGGATGACAAGAGTGAAACTCTGTCTCGAATAAATAAATAAATAAATAAAAACCTAAGTTACAGCTGGGCACGGTGGCTCACGCATGTAATTCCAGCACTTTGGGAGGCCAAGGTGTCAGGAAGTCAAGCGGTTAAGAGGTTAAGACCAGCCTGGCCAACATGGTGAAAACCTGTCTTCACTAAAAACACAGAAATTAGCCAGGCATGTTGGCGAACACCTGTAGTCCCAGCTACTTGGGAGGCTGAAACAGGATAATTGCTTTTACCCGGGAGATACAGGTTGTAGTAGGGAGCCAAGATGGCACCACTACACTACAGCCTGGGGGACAGAGTGAGATTCTGTCTCATTTAAAAAAAAAAAAAAGGCCGGGCATGGTGGCTCATGCCTGTAATCCCAGCACTTTGGGAGGCCAAGGCGGGCTGATCACAAGGTCAGGAGATCGAGACCATTCTGGCTAACACAGTGAAACGCCATCTCTACTAAAAAATACAAAAAAAAATTAGCCGGGCGTGGTGGCAGATGCCTGTAGTCCCAGCTACTTGGGAGGCTGAGGCAGAACAGCATGAACCCGGGAGGCGGAGCTTGCAGTGAGCTGGGATCACACCGCTGCACTCTAGCCTGGGTGATGGAGCGAGGCTGTCTCAAAAAAAAAAAAAAAAAAAAAACAAAAAAACCCTAAGTTAGATCACATCAATCTCTCTTCAACTTCACCCTCCACCCACCCCTGCCACCCCCAACATGCTTCCTAAGTTCCAGTGCCAGCTGTCCAGTTCCTTTATGTTACTCAGACAAACAAAGGCCTGGCCCGGCTCAGGCATTGGCACCTGCTCCTCTCCTGGCCTGCAAGGCCTGTCCCGACTCTTCACTGGCCCATTCATTCTTACTCTTCAGGTCTGATGTCAATTCTCAGCTCCCTAGAGCCAGCTTCCCATTCTACCCAAAGCAGCCCCTTCCCTGTTTCCTCTGCAGCACAGCCCCTTGTTTAGTTCCTTCACTAAGCTTATCACAGTTGGAAATCATTTTAGTTTATATGTTGTCATCTTCCCTGCTGTGAGACCTGCCCTGAAACTGGAGACCTTAGGTGTGTTATTTACATATATATCCCCAGTGCTAGCACAGTACTGGGTGCATATTAAGTCGTAAAATGTATCTGTTTAATGAACCCATGAATAAACTGCCTCTTACTCTAGGCTTCACGACAGTGAGCACCATGTTAAAATCAGGTTTAAGTTCTTATCCTTCTAAATGAGTGGTTTCCTCCAAAATTGTTAAAAAAAAATTTTTTTTTAAATCAACAATTACTGTGGGATTATGCACATGAAGTTATTCATTTGGCAAATATTTTGAGTGTGTGATGTGCCAGGCATCATTCTGGGAACTAAGAATAGAGCCAGAACCAAGACAATCCCTGACCTCAGGGAGCTGACACTCAAAAGAGGAAGGGACAGACACAGACATGCAATTTCAGCTTAGAGTACACACTCAGGGTCATGGGACAGAACGACCAGGAGGGGAGGGCAGAGACCTCAGCTGCAGTGGTCAGGGAAGGCCTCTGTGAGGAGGCAACATGCACGGTTCTCAGTTTGAAAGAGAAAAACAATCTAGCTGTGTAAAGAACTAGGGCAGAAACATTCCAGGAAGATGCAACAAGAACAAAGGTCCTAAGACCAGAAACACGTGTGGCACATCCAAGGGGCAGGAAAGAAGCCAGCGTGACAGGAGCAGAGGAAGACAGAGGTTGGAAAGGAAGGCAGGGTCAGATGGCAGACAGCCTTCCCAGCCTGGCCAAGGGACAGCGGGATTTTACCACAAGATGAAGCCAGCAGAGGGCTTTCAGTGGGGCTAACATCATCTGAATTTGGTTTAAAAAATATCACTCTGACTGCTGGGTGGAGCATATCAATTTGTAAATCTATATTTAAATATGTAGGGGGGTGCACTTCAAAAGGTCTGGAAGCATACACACCAAATTCTTAACTAGAGCAAGAAGAGTGGGCCAAGGTGGGTATATGCAGGGAGAGAGGTCAACTGACACATTTTCACACACGCTCATGCTATTGGAGTCTTTTATAAGAATATATTCGGCCGGGCACGATGGCTCACGCCTGTAATCCTAGCACTTTGGGAAGCCGAGGTGGGTGGACCACCTGAGGTCAGGAGTTAAACACCAGCCTGACCAACGTGGTGAAACCCCGTCTTTACTAAAAATACAAAAAATTAGCCGGGCGTGGTGGCGGGCGCCCGTAATCCCAGGTACTCCAGAGGCTGAGGCAGGAGAATCACTTGAACCCGGGAGGCGGAGGTTGTAGTGAGCCGAGATCGCACCACTGCACTCCAGCCTGGACGACAGAGCAAGACTCCATCTCAAAAAAAAAAAGAATATATTCATATATTCCCGAACAATAAAAAGAATGGTCACCCCTGAAGATATTCCAAACCAAGCTCCTCAGAACCTGAGGCTCTGCCCAGGGAAGCCCTATCTCACGCGCAGAGCTGCTGGAACAGGGCAGGACGTGCCACAAAGGCCATCTCAGGAGAGTCCCCTGGGCGTCTGCTCAACTGTTCCCCTCCTACCTGGAGTCCCCTTGCCCTTCACTACCTGGCAGGTTCCTTTTCATTCCTCAAGATGGCAGCACAATGGCGTGGCCTCCCGGGGAGCAGCAGTTCCTGCCTGCCTGCCTGAGCCCCAACGCCACGATTACTTTGAGATCTATGTTCCAATGTCTGTTTACCAGGGAACTCTTTGAAGGTAAGAACTCTCTTACCTATTTGTGTCCCCGCAGCCCCTGGGATGAGGCTGAGCATGCAGCAGATGCTGGATAAATAGTCATGAGGGTGACTGATCAGCCTTGGTCTCTGCTGCTGGGCCCACATCTCTTGTACTCAGTGCCCACTTCAGCACCAGATACACAGTTATCCACTCAGTTACTGACGAGTCCCTTCGCTTTGTCTAGATACTGGGCACAAACTGACCATAGGAATCTTCTACCAATTTAAGAGCCAAATGGAGATAAAGGACCACTGGGTATGGTCTAGATTTGCATTCCCAAACGGGAATTTCTGCAAAGGTATTAATCGAGAAGCTATGAAAAAATGTTCCAGGCTAGAATACCTTTTTTGGTTTTTGGTGTTTTTTTTGAGACAGATTTTCACTCTTTTTACCCAGGCTGGAGTGCAATGGCGCAATCTCAGCTCACCACAACCTCTGCCTCCAGGGGTTCAAGCGATTCTCCTGCCTCAGCCTCCTGAGTAGCTGGGATTACAGGCATGCCCCACCACGCCCACCACACCCAGCTAATTTTTTATTTTTAGTAGAGACAGGGTTTCTCCATGTTGGTCAGGCCGGTCTCGAACTCCTGACCTCAGGTGATCCGCCCGCCTCAGCCTCCCAAAGTGCTGGGATTACAGGTGTGAGCCAGCACCCGGCCTAGAATATCTTTTTTTAAGAGACGGGGTCTTGCTCTGTTGCTCAGGCAGGAGTACATGGCGTGATCATAGCTCACTGCAGCCTTGAACTCCTGGGCTCAAGTGATCCTCCTGCCTCAGCTTCCCAAGTAGCTAGGACTATAGGGACAGGTCAGCATGCCTGGCTTCTTTTTATTACTATTATTATTTTTTTTTAGTAGAGACAGGAGCTTGCTGTGTTGCCCAGGCTGGTCTCAAACTCCTGAGCTCAGGTGATTCTCCTGCCTCAGTCTCCCAAAGTGATGGGATTACAGGCATGAGCTACCAAACCCCACCCAGGCTAGAATACATTTTTTTTTTTTTTTTTTGAGATGGAGTTTCACTCTTGTTGCCCAGGCTGGAGTACAATGGCGCAATCTTGGCTCACCGCAGCCTCCACCTCCCAGGTGCAAGCAATTCTCCTGCCTCAGCCTCCCGAGTAGCTGGGATTACAGGCATGCACCACCATGCCTGGCTAATTTGTTTGTATTTTTAGTAGAGACGGGGTTTCTCCATGTTGTTCAGGCTGGCCTCGAACTCCTGACCTCAGGTGATCTGCCCACCTTGGCCTCCCAAAGTGCTGGGATTACAGGTGTGAGCCACCGTGCCTGGCCGCTAGAATACTTTTGAAGAAAGCTGCATCCCTTACTACCCCAATGCAGTGTCACAAAGCACACAAGCACTTAAAAGCTCTGAAAAGTACTATGGTGAAGAAGCCAATCTAATCCATTGTTTCCCATACCGTGGTGGCTTAAGGATGCCTTTCTTGCGATATGCCTATTAAATCTTACAGAGCGGCAACAGCAGCAGCTAGCATTTGCTGAGCACCTGCTATGTGCCAGGCACATATACTGAGGACTTTCTCCTTATCTCCATTTTACTGAAACCCAGAAAGTTTAATAACTTGCCTGACATCTGGGAATGAGATTCTGGGGAAGTGAGGATGTGAGCCTGGGCAGCCAATGTCCAGAACCCCACTCCAAACCACTGTGCCCTGCAGCTCCCCAGGACACAGTCATGTGGCTGCAGGTCAGCACATGCTGATCCAGGCCACGAGCAGGGTTTTGAAAGCTTAAGTGTGAATGCTGTACACATATTCTTTGCCTCTCAGACTCCTGCTACAGGAACACGATACATCAAGTTCATACCATAAACCAGAATAAAATTCACTACTCTGCAGGACTTGGACTCACATCCAAAGATAAATTACTACCAAATAAGGTCTACGATTCAACTCAAACTCTGTATTTTGTGTTTCTCTGACACCTATTTATCATATTAGAACTTTAAAAGTTGACAATTTTTAGAGGCATTTATATGACACAATGAAGGCCAAATCATACCTTACATTTGTCATTCAGGTTGCTAAATTCAAGCAAAAATGTGGCCAATAAAAGTTATCTAAGTCTAGAAATAAATCCTTATATTGATGCTCAATTAATTCTCAGCAAGAGTGTGAATACAATACAGTGGGAAAAAAGTAGTCTTTTCAATAAATGAAACTGGGACAACAAGATATCTACATGCAAAAGAATGAAGTTTGACCCCCTACCTCACACCATATACAAAAATTAACTCAAAATGGATCATAGGCCTAAATGGAAGAGCTAAAACTAAAACTCTTTTTTTTTTTTTGAGACAGAGTCTCACTCTGTCGGCCCAGGCTGGAGTCCAGTGGCGCAATCTTGGCTCACTGCAAGCTCCGCCTCCCAGGTTCACGCGATTCTCCTGCCTCAGCCTCCTGAGTAGCTGGGACTACAGGCGCCCACCACCACACCCAGCTAATTATTTTTGTATTTTCAGTAGAGACAGGGTTTCACCGTGTTAGCCAGGATGGTCTCGATCTCCTGACCTCATGATCCACCCGCCTCGGCCTCCCAAAGTGCTGGGATTACAAGCGTGAGCCACCGCGCCCGGCCCAAAACTAAAACTCTTAAAGAAAACACAGGGGCAAATCTTTGTATTTTTTGTATTTTTAGTAGAGATGGGGTTTCACCATGTTGGCCAGGCTGATCTTGAACTCCTGACCTCAGGTGATCCACCTGCCTTGGCCTCCCAAAGTGCTGGGATAAGAGGCGTGAGCCACTGTGCTCAGCCGAATCTTTTTCTTTTTAGACAGGGTCTCGCTCTTGTCACCTAGGCTGGAGTGCAGTGGTGTGAACTTGGCTCACTGCAAACCCTCCCCCTCCCCCCACTCTCTCCACCCCCCTGAGGTTCAAGTGATCCTCCCACTTCAGCCTCCCAAGTAGCTGGGATCACAGGCACGCACCACTATGCCTGGCTATTTTTGTTGTATTTTTAGTGGAGGCAGGGTCTCCCCATGTTGGCCAGACTGGGCTCAAATTCCTGAGCTCAAGTGATCTGCCTGCCTCGGCCTGCCAAGTGCTGAGATTACAGGCCTAAGCCACCACACCTGGCCTCAAGCATCTTTTTATGTGCTTATTGGACATTCTAAATTTTCTTTAAAGAAATGTTCATTCAATCCTTTGTTGAGGTTTTCAATTGGTTTGTCTTTTTTTACTGTTAGCTTTTGGACAAGGTCAGGCACAGGATAACTTACTTTTGGGTATAACACTACATTTTTGTATTTTTTGTAGAGACAGGGTCTCACTATGTTGCCCCAGCTGGTCTTGAACTGCTGGCCTCAAGTGATCCTCCTGCCTTGGCTTTCTGCTGAGATTACAGGCATGAGCCACTGTGCCTGGCTTTTTTTCATTGTTAACTTGGAAGAGTTCTTTATATATTCTAGATACAAGTCTCTTATCAGATACATGATTTATAAATATATTCCCTCATTCTGTAGACTTTCATTTCAATTTCTTAATTTTGTCCTTAGAAACACAAAAGTTAGGCCGGGCGAGGTGGCTCACGCCTGTAATCCCAGCACTTTGGGAGGCTGAGGAGGGTGGATCACGAGGTCAGGAGATCAAGACCATCCTGGCTAACATGGTGAAGCCCCGTCTCTACTAAAAATACAAAAAATTAGCCAGGTGTGGTGGTGGGTGCCTGTAGTCCCAGCTACTCGGGAGGCTGAGGCAGGAGAATGGCATGAACCCAGGAGGCAGAGGTTGCAGTGAGCCAAGATTGTGCCACTGCACTCCAGCCTGGGCAAAAGAGTGAGACTCCGTCTCAAAAAAAAAAACAAAAACCACAAAAGTTTTTACTTTTGGCGTAGTCCAATTTTTGTGTATTTCTCTTTTGTCACTTGCATTTTTGTGTCATATGAAGAAGCCATTGCTGACCCAAGGTCAGCAACTCTGTCTCAAAAACTCTGTCTCAAAAAAAAAAAAAAAAAAAAGATGCTTGAGCATCATTAGCCATCAGAGAAATGCAACCCAAAATTCACAAAATCACTTCACACCCACAAGGATGGCTAAAGTAAAACAGAAATTAACAAGTGTTGACAAAGATGTGGAGAAACTGAAACCTTCATATGATGCTAGTGGGAAATGTGCAATAGTACAATTGCTTTGGAAAATAGTTTGACAGTTCCTCAAAATGTCAAACACAGAATTATCCTATGGCCTAACAATTCCATTCCTAGGTATATTCTCAAAAGAATTGAAAACATCTGTAATCCCACCACTTTTGGAGGCTGAGGCACGAGAACTGCTTGAGCCTAGGAGTTTGAGACCAGCCTAGACAACATAGGTAGATCCTACCTCTACAAAAAATGAAAAATTAGCTGGGTGTAGTAGTGTGCATCTGTGGTCACAGCGACTCTAGAGGCTGACGCAGGAGGATCATTTGAGTCCAGGCGGTAAAGGCTGCAGTAAGCCATCATCATGCCACTGCACTCCAGCCTTTTTGAGATAGGGCAAGACCCTGTCTCAAAAAAAAAAAAAAGAAAGAAAGAAAAAGAATTGAAAACAAGATTCAAACAAATATTTACACGAATGTTCATAGCAGCACTATTCCCAATAGCCCAAAAGTGAAAACTGCCCAAACATCTATCAACTGATAAATGGATCAATACATGTAGTCCATACATTAGATCCATACATATCCAATGGCTGGAATATCATTCAGCCATAAAAATAGTAAGTATTGATAGATGCTGCAACATGAATGAACCTTGAAAACATGTGCTAAATGAAAGAAGCCAGACCCAAAAGACCACATATTATATGATGCCATTTATATGAAATCCCCAGAATAGGCAAATTCCTAAAGACAGAAAGTAGATTAGTGGTTGCCAGGGGCTGGCAGGGAGCACAGGAATGGGGGTGACTGCTGATGGGTACAGGGTTTCTTTTGGGGATGATGAAAAAGCTCTGAAGCGGATATGATGATGGTTGCACAACTTTGTGGATGGTTTTGTAAAACCACTGGATTATATACTTCAAATGGGTGGACTGCACGGTATGTCTCTTTTTTTTTTTGAGACAGAGTTTCACTCTGTTGCCCAGGCTGGAGTGCAATGGTGCAATCTTGGCTCACTGCAACCTCCGCCTCCCAGGTTCAAGAGATTCTCCTGCCTCAGCCTCCCGAGTAGCTGGGATTACAGGCACCCGCCCCCACGCCCAGCTAATTTTTGTATTTTTAGTAGAGATGGGGTTTCACCATGTTGGCCAGGCTGGTCTCGAACTCCTGACCTCTTGATCCGCCCGCCTCGACCTCCCAAAGTGCTGGGATTGTAGGCATGAGCCACGGCGCCCAGCTGGTATGTCATTATTATATGTCAATAAGGCTGTTTTTAAAAATCTCTCAGGGAAGCACATCCTCTGTAATTGTCAACAGGTCACTGAGTGGGGGCTTCAGTCCATAAAACTACTCATTTCACCAGAACAAAACAGAAATATCTCAAGCAATACTACTTCTCTTTCCTTAAACACTTTTTCTAAATGAAGTTTCCCGCTGAACCTCTTTTCCTTCAGCTCTTTGGACAATCTGCAAGTGTCTTCACTTTGTGATTCTTTTTTTGAGACAGAGTTTCAATCTTGTTGCCCAGGCTAGAGTGCAATGGAGCAATCTCAGCTCACTGCAACCTCCACTTCCTGGGCTCAAGCTATTCTCCTGCTTCAGCCTCCTAAGTAGCTGGGATTACAGGCGCCCACCACCACGCCCAGCTAATTGTTTGTATTTTTAGTAGAGACAGGGTTTCTTTTTTTTTTTGGAGGCAGAATCTCGCTCTGTCGCCTAGGCTAGAGTGTAGTGGCGCGATCTTGGCTCACCGTGCAACCTCCGCCTCCTGGGTTCAAACAATTATCCTGCCTCAGCCTCCCAAGTAACTGGGACTACATGTGCATGCCGCCACGCCCAGCTAAGTTTTTATATTTTAGTAGAGACGGGGTTTCACCATGCTACGCAGGCTGGTCTCAAACTCCTGAGTTCAGGCAATCCACCTGCCTCAGCCTCCCAAAGTGCTAGGATTACAGGCGTGAACCACCGTACCTGGCTGAGGCAGGGTTTCATCATGTTGGCCAGGCTGGTCTCGAACTCCTGACCTCAGGCAATCCACCTGCCTCAGCCTCCCAAAGTGCTAGGATTACAGGCGTGAGCCACCGCGCCCGGCTGAGATAAGGTTTCATCATCTTGGCCAGGCTGGTCTCGAACTCCTGACCTCAGGTGATCCACCTGCCTCGGCCTCTCAAAGTGCTGGGATTACAGGCGTGAGCCACCGTGCCCGGCCATTTTGTGATTCTTTAATGTCTGCTCTGTCTGGACTAGAAGCTCCATGAGGGCAAGGACTATACTTTGCTCATTGCTGAAACACTGCGGCCTGCAGTATCTAGCACAGTCAGTTCTGAGATATTTGCTGAATAAATGAGCTTTGAGATGGAGTTTCGCTCTTCTTGCCCAGGCTGGAGTGCAATGGCGCGATCTCGGCTCACCACAACCTCCACCTCCCGGGTTCAAGCGTTTCTCCTGCCTCAGCCTCCTGAGTAGCTGGGATTACAGGCATGTGCCACCATGCCCGGCTAACTTTTTTATTTTTAGTAGAGATGGGGTTTCTCCATGTTGGTCAGGCTGGTCTCAAACTCCCGACCTCACGTGATCCGCCCGCCTCAGCCTCCCAAAGTGCTGGGATTACAGGCATGAGCCACCACGTCCGGGCATTGAATAAATGAGCTTTGAACACCCAGGGAACCAGATCAAATTAAACTGGGTATTTCCTCAAGTTCCTGGATCAAAACATCACAGCCTACAAACCGAGATCATTGTATTTGGTGGTTTTCCCCAGGCTCAGCAATGACGAGGCAAGTGCAGCCTTGCGCAGGGCCAAGGAGAGAGAAAGGAGAAGGCAGAGGAGGGAAGAAGCAGGAAGGAGGTACAGGGCTCAGTGGCTGCTCAGACAAACTTACTGAGTGGCTGGGAGGACAAACTTACTTTTGTAGGCTGGCCATCTCCTTGACAGCTTCCACGGCCCCTGGCAGAGGCTCAAGTTCAAAAAAGAAATTCTTTGACTCCCAAATGCTGATGGCCTTCTCCTGAGAAGTTGAGAAAAGCAAGTTACTTCCAGGGTCCTCAGCACCTTACTGCCCTCATCTTGGGGAGTATGGCCAGGCTATAGGGGGAGTGGTTCTTCATTCCTCTCACTCCCCCAAACACACACCCAAGGACGTACTTCCTGGGGGTAGTGCGGAGAGTATGTGGACTTCGAACCCCTTTCCAGAAAGGACCTGACTTCGTCGGGATCCAGCAGAGACCAGCAAAGGTGTCAGGCCCATGGACTCCTACACCTGCTGGAGCTCTCTGGGACCTGAGGCCAATCATCAGGAACTGCGTGCTTGTTAGGCTGGATTCGAGTGGCCAAAAGCATTGTGGAAACTGAGGCTGGACCAGCTCTTACCATGGTAGTAGAGTCCTTAAACTTGAGAACTGGAGGGACTCAGAGATCTTTAAGGTGCCATGAGGGACAAGGGGGAGGGGGAGACAGGGTAAAAGGACAATTCAGGGAGCTCGAGGATCCTCCCCACATTAACCAGAAGAGCTCTGCTTTTATCGGTTTTATATGTTGAGGTGCCAATAAGTACATTTTTAAAAAAAGGATTCTGCTGCTTTTAGAGTTGCAAAGCAAAAATGCAGACCCTCATTTTACATGTCAGAAAACTGAGGCTCAGAACGGGGAAGAGATCCACCTGATGTCACACAGCAAAACAGCAGCTGAGCTGGGAGAAGAACCCCCAACACCAACCCTCTCCTCCCCACTCCCCAACCCCCGCTGCCTTTCTCCTTCCCCTGTTCTGCTGCAGGGCCAGAATGCAGCACCTTTTCTAGGGTCAGGCAAGGGGAAAGTGACAACCAGAGGGGAGACACATCTCAGCCTATGAGCAGGAGCCTAAATCCCACGTGTGCAGTACAGGAAGTGCCTCTACCAGCTGTTCTGCACACTACAGAAAGACAGCCACCCTGTCACATGGACGGCCGGAGGATGCCCTGACAGCATACCAGCAACACTCTCAGGAACCACAGGGACTAGGCAAATGCGTGCTTATTACTGAAACACATTTGATCCTCACATCCCACATAGGGTACTGTGAAGACCAAAGGGAATACAGACAGAGCAGAATTTTGAAAAGTAGAAATGCCTACATACACATAAGGAGCCACGTGTGTGGGGGCGGGGGGGGGGGGGCGGTTGTTTTAACCACAGATACTGGGCCAGCTTGGGGTAGGCCCAGGGATGTCCACAGCAGCAAGCCGTGCCTCAGGAAGGGAAGTAGTGGAAGCCAGCAGATTACTCCCAAGGCACCCTCCTTACTGCCCCGTGCCTTTGCCTTGTGCTTGGAAACCAGTAACCCCACACGTACAGAGCCTACATATTTGCACAAAGAACTGGAAAAGCTGCTGCACTTTTCGGAGTTGGGGGTGGGCTTGGTTTCCACGTTAATACACTCCCGGGCGGATATATGGTGTCCAGACTCCCCATGCCGAGCGCTGCCTATAAATGAACACTCGCCACACACTGGAGCCTATTCCTGAGGCTGCAGAAAGTACCAGGGCATTTTCTCCAGTTTAAAGTTTATCATTAGGCATCCGCTGTAGAAGAGCTCAGCACACTGGGCTCTGTGAAAGTCACCTTCTGAAGTGCCTGGTGTTGATGGAGACAAACGGTACTTGGTTTCCTTTTTTAACACCTGTCCCTCAACAAACCACATTACTGATGAGGCATCTTTCTGATGTCAGAAGAAATGTCACTTGTTAGAGACAGTAGTACAGAGAACAGGACTGTGGAGTGGGGAGCACTAACTGTGCTTGGGAGGCAGACAGACTTGGGTTTGAGTCCTGACTGAGCCCCTGAGCAGCATGTGACTTGGGGCAAGTTTCCTCATCTGGAAAACAGAGATAATAATATCTACCCAACAAAAGAGAGGATGCAGTGAACTTGTGGCTAAAAAACGGGCTCTTGTAACTTCCTTCTCCTCTTTATCAAACCCTCCAGCAGCAACCCTAGGTGGCCAATCAAGGGATGCCAAAAAACACTCAGCCTCTTTAATTTTGTGCATACCAAAATCCCCTGTTCCTTTTGCAAAATACTTCAAATTTACCAACCAAGATCTGTGTGTAAACGTCCCTCCTTGGATCTTTCCCCTCTATCCATCCTGGACAGAACACCTCGGGAGTCGGATGGTAGGGGTTGAGCTCAGGTGTTCAGCAAGGCCAGCTCTGCAAGGGGATAAGACATGAGGTGGATCCCACCTCACCTGGACCACTGACTCACTGTGTGACCCCCAGAAAGTCACACAACCTCTCTGGGCCTCAAATACCCCTGGAAGCTATGCTTTCATGGACAACAGTAAAAAAGATGGGTAAAGACACCCATCAAAGTCCTGGGGACAAAGAAGTGGGAATGTGACTGCGGTCGGGGTGAAAGAGGACAACTTATAACGTTTATTTTTCTAAAAATTTAACAAACGACTTGAGGCCAAATATGCCACAAATTTTGAAGTCAGCTTTAAATGCAGAGTTAGGTATATTAACACTTTGTACTCTCCCGCATTTTCAGAAACCTTGGATGGCAGCCAACAGATCCTGAGCGCGGGGCCGCATCTTCCCGGTGCGCTGTGGCCCCTAGTCCCCCCCAGACCCTATTCTATCAGAGGGCCACCCCGAGGCTGGGGCGCTGACCGTCCAAGGTCACCGGCGCAGGGGCGGTGTCTGGGGCTCGGGGCGAGAAGGAGGCCCGGCGCGGGGCGGGGCGGGGACGCTCACGCTCAGCCCTGGCCGCAGGCGGCCGTACTGCTCCGACACCCAGAAGCCGCGCCGGTCCTCCAGCGCGATGAAGGGCTGGTCGGGAAAGCGCGCGCGGAACTTCCTGAGGAATCCGCCCTCGAAGTCAGCCAGCACGCCGTCCATGTCCACCAGCACCCGTAGGGCGCGGCCTCCCGCCAGGCCCAGCCCGCCCGCCGCCCCGCGCCGCCCCGCGGGAACCGCCGCGCTGCAGAGCCGCCGCGCACACCAGCCGCCCAGCCGGATCATGGCCCAGCGCGCTGGCCCGTCGTGGGCGCGGGGACCTGGGCCGCGCCGTGCTGCCGGAGCCGGCCAGACATTCCCGCCGCGGAGGAGAAGCCCCCAACGCTGGGGCGCGCGTGGAGCGCGGGACGGGGAGCGGGGCGGGGAGCGCGGGGTGCGGGCGCGCAAGTACCGGCCCCAGAGCGAGGCCGCGGCGCGCGCGGTCCCTAAAGGAACACGCGCCGGCGGAGGCGGAGCCCCGGGGCGGGGCTTCGAGGACGGACAGCGGTAAGCGCCGCGCGCCTCCAGAAGGTCCGCGCTCCCGCGCTGTCGATTTGCGTCTTCTCCGTGGACCCTGGGCCCGGGCTGCCTTCTCCCACTGCACAGACTACCATGGAGGAGCAGTGCAAACCGAGAAGCAGGCCTGTGTCGTTAGACATTTTTGAGCACTAACTGTGTCGAGTGTGAACCAAATAGACAAAGTTCCTGCCATCCTGGAACTTACGTTTTAGAAGGGGATCCAGACAACAGGATGGAGGAACAAAAACAGGGTGCACTCTGAAAGCCTCTCTGCTTTATTTACAGCAAATGTCTGCGGAGAGACTGATAGAACCAATATCTGCTAACATCATACAGCCTTAGTAAAACTGATGATTCTCAGGTAAATATATGAATAAATATTAAGTACCCCTGTATTGCTTTTTTTTTTTTTTTTTTTTGGAGACGGGGTCTTGCTCTGTTACCCAGGGTGGAAGCAGTGGCATGATCTCGGTTCCCTGCAGCCTTGAGTTTCTGGGCCCAAGGGATCGTCCTGCTTCTGCCTCCTGAGTAGCTGGGACCACAGGGGCCTGCCACCACACCCTGGTAATTTTTTTTTTTTTTTTTTTTTTTTTGAGACAGGAGTCTTCCTATGTTGGGCTCAAACGATCCTCCCACCTCAGCCTCCCAAAGTGCTGGGATTACAGGCGTGAGCCACCGCGCCCGGCCTCTTTTCAACTTTTAAGTACAGGGATACATGTGCAGATTTGTTATATAAATTGACTGTCTTGGGGGTTTAGTGTACAGATTATTATTACCCAGGTAATAAGCGTAGTTCCTGATAGGTAGTTTTTCCATCCTCACCCTCCTCCCACTCTCCACCCTCAAGTAGGTCACCGTGTCTGTTGTCCCCATCATTACGTCCATGTTTACTTAATGTTTAGTTCCCGCTTTTAAGTGAGAGCATGAGGTATTTAATTTTCTGTTCCTGTGTTTGCTTAGGATAATTGTCTCCAGCTCCATCCATATGGCTGCAAAAGACATGATCTTATTCTTTTTTTATGACTGTGAAGTATTCTATGGTATATATGTACCACATTCTCTCCCTTTTTTTTTTTTTTTTCTTGATAGGGAGTCTTGCTCTTGTTGCCCAGGCTGGAGTGCAGTGGCAGGATCTCGGCTCACTGCAACCTCCACCTCCCAGGTTCAAGCGATTCCCCTGCCTCAGCCTCCCAAGTGGCTGGGATTACAGGCGCCCACCACCACACCCAGCTTTTTTGCATTTTTAGTAGAGACAGGGTTTCACTATGTTAGCCAGGCTGATCTCCAACTCCTGACCTTGTGATCTGCCCGCCTCGGCCTCCCAAAGTGCCGGGGTTACAGGTGTGAGCCACCGCACCCGGCCGATTTTTGTATTTTTAGTAGAGACAGGGTTTCACCATGTTGGCCAGGCTGGCCTCAAACTCCTGACCTCAGGTGATCCGCCCCACCCCCCTCGGCCTCCCAAAGTGCTGGGATTAAAGGCGTGAGCCACTGCACCCAGCCTGTGTTACAGCTCTTTTAGCCCCACCATTTGGCAGGTCCCGAGTTCTTGTCCTGCATCCAGGAAGAATGGGGTAGGCAGACAAGTGGAGAGTGAGCAAGACGAAGAGGAGCTTTATTGAGCAACAGAATACTTCAGAAGAGACCTGCAGTGGGCAGCTCCTCTCCATAGCCAGGGTTTCCCCACAAGTGTTCAGCTTTCAGCAGAGAGGGTAGCTCCTCTCTGGTAGGCAGTTCATCCCAACAAGTGTCCAGCTCTCAGCAGAAAGGGTAGTTCCTCTCTGCAGCTGGTTTTCTCCCCATCTACCCGTCCTCTCTTTGAGTCTGGCTGAGTCCAGGGTTTTTTATGGACCTCAGAGGGGAAGAAGTGAGTGCTGATTGGTCCATGGGCGGCCATAGGTGGCCATGAGCAGGCCTGGGGAAAAGCACCACAAGTTCCCCGCTCTGGTACTGGGACTGGTGACCTGGCCCCCAGGCTTCAGGCCCTTCCAGGATTGAAGGTGGGGCTTCACCAGGGACCCGCCCCCTTCCACCGAGGAGCTGTCTGCATTCCTGCTGCTGTTCATGGCGCCCAGGCTGTTCATGCCAAGGGGTACCTGCAGGCCAACACCAGGCTGTCCTCATGCCCCCCTCGGCCGTTCTCCGATGCTTGTTGGCACCCAAGTCCGGAGGGGGCCAAGGAGGCAGGGGGCTGGCGTGTCAGTGCTGCCCTGAGCGTGTGCACTCCCGGCTGGGCTGTGACGGCGCCCTAGCTCGGCCCGACTTTGCTCCGAGATTGAAGCAGGCACCAACAGCAGGGAGAAGCCAGGCAGCAGGAGCAGGCACTTCCGAGCCTGCGAGGGGCAGTGGAGCCTTCACAGGTTCCCAAGAGCACAGAGATGCTGGGCCAGAGCCGCAGCAGGGCAACTGCAGCGGCATCTGGGGAACTCCCGCCCCGCCAACTCAGAAGGGGCGGGGCTCCTGCTGTGCCTTCTATATTGGGTTGCCGTTGCAGTTTTTTAAAAACTCCATCCATCAGGCCGCGCACGGTGGCTCACGCCTGTAATCCCAGGATTTGGGAGGCCGAGGCGGGCGGATCACCTGAGGTCGGGAGTTCGAGACCAGCCTGACCAACATGGAGAAACCCTGTCTCTACTAAAAATACAAAATTACCCGGGCATGGTGGCGCATGCGTGTAATCCCAGCTACTCGGGAGGCTGAGGCAGGAGAATCGCTTGAACCCGGGAGACGGAGGTTGCAGTGAGCAGAGATCGCTCCATTGCACTCGAGCCTGGGCAACAAGAGTGAAACTCCGTCTCAAAAACAAACTCCATCCATCCTATTTCTGTGGATCTATTTCTAGACTCTCCTATTCTGTTCCATTGATCTGTATGTTTCTCCCTTTGCTATTAGCAAACTGTCTTGATTACTTTAGCTTCATAGTAAGTCTTAATATTAGGTATTGTGAGTCCCACAACTTCTTTTTCAAAATTGTTTTAACTATTCTAGTTTCATTGACTTTCCATATAAATTTTAGAATGAGCTTGTCTATATCTACACACACACACACACACACACACACACACACACACACACACACAAAACTTCCTTGGTTTGGTTGGAAGTGCACTAAATCTGTAGATCAATTCGGAGTGACTTGACTTCTTAATTATGTTGACTATTCCAATCCATGAACACAGTATATCCCTCTTTTCTTTGGCTTCTTACACCAATGTTTTGTAGTTTTCAGTATACAGATCCTGCATGTGTTTTGTTGATTTATACCTAAATATTTCACTTTTTGGTTTGTTTTGTTTTGTTTTTGTTTTTTGAGACGGAGTTTTGCTGTCGTTGCCCAGACTGGAGTGAGTGCAATGGCGTGATCTCAGCTCACCGCAACCTCCACATTCCAGGTTCAAGTGATTCTCCTGCCTCAGCCTCCTGAGTAGCTGGGATTACAGGCATGCACCACCATGCCCGGCTAATTTTGTATTTTCTTTAGTAGAAACGGGGTTTCTCCATGTTGATCAGGCTGGTCTCGAACTCCCGACTTCAGGTGATCTGCCTGCCTCGGCCTCCCAAAGTGCTGGGATTACAGGCATGAGCCACTGCACCCAGGCAGTATTTTTTAAATTTAAATTATTTTGTTTGGGAAAACTAAGACACATCATAATCAAATTGCTCAAAGCCAGAAATACACAGAATCTTAAAAGCATCCAGAAAAATAAAGACACATTATATACAAAGGAACAAAAAAAGAAAAGGATGGGCCAGGCACGGTGGCTCATGCTTGAAATCCCAGCACTTTGGGAGGCCAAGGTGGGCGGATCACAAGGTCAGGAGATCGAGACCATCCTGGCTAACACGGTGAAACCCCGTCTCTACTAAAAATACAAAAAATTAGCCCAGCGTGGTGGTGGGCGCCTGTAGTCCCAGCTACTCGGGAGGCTGAGGCAGGAGAATGGTGTGAACCCAGGAGGCTGAGCTTTCAGTGAGCCGTGATCGCGCCGCTGCACTCCAGCATGGGTGACAGAGTGAGACTCCGTCTCAAAAAAAAAAAAAAAGAAAAGGATGACAGCAGACTTTTTGTCAGAAACAATGCAGATTACATTAAAAATGAGCAACAAGGCCGGGCACAGTGGCTCACACCTGTAATCCCAGCACTTTGGGAGGCCAAGGCAGGTGGATCACCTGAGGTAGGGAGTTTGAGACCAGCCTGGCCAAGATGGTGAAACCCCATCTCTACTAAAAATACAAAAATTAGTTGGGCATGGTGGTGCGCACCTGTAATCCCAGCTACTTGGGAGGCTGAGGCAGGAGAATTGCCTGAACCCGGGCAGTGGATGTTGCAGTGAGCCGAGTTTGCACTACTGCACTCCAGCCTGGGCAACAGAGTGAGACCCCATCTCAAAAAAAAAAAATGAGCAACAGATTTGAATAGGCACTTCTCCAAAGACATACAGATGGCCAATAAGCACATGGAGAGAAACTCAACATCACTATTAACTAGGGAAATGCAAATCAAAACCACAATGAGATACTACTGCATACCCATTAGGATGGCTATTATAAAAAACCAAAACAAAACAGAAAATAACAAGCATTAGTGAGGATGTGAAGAAATTAAAACCTTTATGCATTCTTAGTGGGAATGTATATGGTACAGCAACTGGGAAAAACAGCATGATGGTTCCTCAAATAATTAAACATAGAATTACCATTTGATCTAGAAATTCCACTTCTGGGTATATACCAAAAAGAATTGAAAGCAGAGTCTTAAGAGATATTTCTATACTCATGTTCATACCAGCATTTTGCACCATAGCCAAGAATTAGAAGCAACCCAGTGTCTATGAATGGATAAATAGATAAACAAAATATGACATACATAATGGAATGTTATTTAGACTTAAAATAGAAATGAAATTCTGACACATGGTACAACATGGATGAACCTCGAGGATATTATGCTAAGTGAAATTACTCACAAAATGACAAATACTATATGAGTCTTAGATGAGGTATTTAGAGTAGTCGAAGTTATAGAACTAGAAAGTAGAATTGTGGGTCCCAGGAGATGAGGGGAGAGGAAATGGAAAGTTATTTAATGGGTAGAGTTTCAGTTTTGCAAGATGAGCTCCAGCCTGGCGACAGAGTGAGACTCCATCTCAAAAATAAATAAATAAATAAATAATTAGGCCAGGTGTGGTGGCTCACACCTGTAATCCCAGCACTTTGGGAGGCCGAGGCAGGTGAATCACCTGAGGTCAGGAGTTTGAGACTAGCTTGGCCATCATAGTGAAACCCTGTCTCTGCTAAAAAAATACAAGAATTAGCTGGGATGGTGGTGGGCACCTGTAATCCCAGCTACTCCAGGGGCTGAGGCAGGAGAATCACTTGAACCTAGGAGGTTGCAGTGAGCCGAGATTGCGCCACTGCACTCCAGCAGCTTGGGCAACAGAGAGAGACTCTGTCTCAAAAAACAATGAAAAAATAAATAAAATAACAGTTAGAAATTAGCCAGGCTTAGTAGTGTATGTCTGTAGTCCTAGCTACTCAGGGGTCTGAGGTGGGAGGATTACTTGAGCCCAGAAATTTGAGGCCATAGAGAAGTATGATCATGCCACTGCCTTCCAGCCTGAGTGACAGAGTGAGACCCTGTTTTTAATAATAATACCAATAATAATAGACTTCAATACCTTCCTTCAATAAGCGGTAGAACAACTAGGCCACAAGGACATAAAAAACACAAATAATACTAAACCAACTAAACATAATAGACATCCACATCTATAGAACAACGCTCCACCGAACAACAGCAGAATACATGTTCTTCTCAAGCACATATGGGACATTTTCCAGGATAGGCCATATGCTAGTCATAAAACCAACCTCTATACATTTTAAAGAACTGAAGTCATACAAAGTAAATAGTCCAACACATTGCTTACACTGGAGAGCAGTAACAGAGGAAACTTTGGGGAATTCACTAATATGTGGAATTTTAATTACATACTCCTAAATAATAATGGGTCAAAGGAGCAGCCACAAGAGAAATAAGAAAATCATTGGGAGAAAAATGTAAATGAAAAAACATCATCCCCATATTTACACAATATAGCCAAAGCAGCACTTAGGAGGAAACTTATAGTTGTAAATGCCTATATTAAATAAGGACCTCAAATTAGTAACCTTTCACTTGAAGAATCTAGAAACAACCAAATCCAAAGCAAGCAAAAGTAAAGAATAACAAAGATTAGAGCAGAAATACAGGCAATAGAGACTAGAAAAATCAAGGAAAGCAGAAGCTGGTTCTTTGAAAAGACCAACACAAATTGATAAACCTTTAGTTAGACTTACTAGGAAACAAAAAGAGAGGACTCAAATTACTAAAATCAGGAATGAAAGAGGAACATCCCTACCCACCTTAGAGAAACAAAGAAAAATATATATATGAAAATATTATGAGCAATTGTATGCCAAAAATTATATAACTTAGATGAAATGAACAAATTACTAGAAAGATACAAACTGCCAAAGCCCATGACTCATATTCACATTTTCTTTTTCTAGTTCAAGAATAAAAAGAAAAAGAAAATATGAATATGCATATAACCATTAAAGAAGATTGAATGAGTAATTTTAAAAAACTTTCCCAAAATAAATGTCTAAGACCAGATGGCTTCACTGGTGAATTGTACCAAATATTTAAGAAGAAATAATAGCAATCCTTCACAACTCTCCCAAAAAATCGAACAGAAGGGAACATGTCTCAACACATCCTGTGAGGCCAATTTACTCTGACACCGAACCAGAGAAAGATATCATAAGAAAAAGAAATCACATAGTAAGAACTCATTTCTAAAAAAAAGATTTTTTTGGCCGAGCTTGGTGGCTCATGCCTGTAATCCCAGCACTTTGGGAGGCGGAGACAGGCAGATCACCTGAGCTCAGGAGTTTAAGAGCAGCCTGGGCAATATGGTGAAACCCCATCTTTACTAAAAAAATACAAATATTAGCCGGGCATGGTGACGGATGCCTGTAGTCCCAGCTACTCCGGGGGCTGAGGCAGGAGAATCGCTTGAACCCGGGAGACGGCGGTTGCAGTGAGCTGAGATCATGCCACTGCACTCCAGCCTGGGCGACAGAGGAGACTCTGTCTTTAAAAAAAAAAAAAAAAAAAAAAAAAAAAAAAAAGCCTGGGCACAGTGTTTCATGCCTTTAATCCCAGCACTTTGGGAGACCGAGGCGGGCGGATCACGAGGTCAGGAGAGCGAGACCATCCTGGCTAACACGGTGAAACCCCGTCTCTACTAAAAATACAAAAACAAAATTAGCCAGGCGTGGTGGTGGGCACCTGTAGTCCCAGCTACTCAGGAGGCTGAGGCAGGAGAATGGCATGAACCCGGCAGGCGGAGCTTGCAGTGAGCCGAGATCCTGCCACTGCACTCCAGCCTGGGTGACAAAGACTCCATCTCAAAAAAAAAAAAAAAAAATTTAATTAGCCAAGTGTGGTGGTGCACACCTGTAGTCCCAGCTACTTGGGAGGCTGAGGTGGGAGAGTCACTTGAACCCAAGAATTAGAGGCTGCAGTGAGCTATTATTGCCCCACTGCACTCCAGCCTGGGTAACAGAGCAAGACCCTGTCTCAAAAACAAACAAACAAACAAAAAAAAAGGTGCAAGCAAGCCAAGTATCCACTGATAGATGAATGGATAAATACAAAGTGGTATATACGTACTATGACCTTGAAAAGGAAGGAAATTCTGGCACATGCCACAACATGGGTGGACCTTGAAGATGTTTTGCTAAGTGAAAGAAGCCAGTTACAAAAGGTCAGGTCTTAAAAGATTCTGTTTATATGAAATGTCCAGAATACAGGCAAATCTATAGAGGCAGAAAGTAGATTAGTAGTTGCCAGGTGTTGTGGGAAGGGTGAAATTGAAACTAATTGCTAAGAGCCTGGGCAACATGGTGAAACCCCATCTGTACAGAAATACAAAAACTAGCCAGGTGTGGTGGTGCACACCTGTGGTCCCAGCTACTTGAGAGGCTGAGGAGGTCGAGGCTGCCATGAGCCATGACTGTATTACTGCACTCCAGCCTGGGCAACAGAGTGAGGCCCCGCCTCAAAGAAAAAAGAGAATGAGGCCGGGCGCGGGGACTCATGCCTGTAGTCCCAGCACTTTGGGAGGCCGAGGCAGGTGGATCACGAGGTCAGGAGATTGAGACCATCCTGGCTAACACGGTGAAACCCCATCTCTACTAAAAATACAAAAAATTAGCCGGGTGTGGTGGTGGGTGCCTGTAGTCCCAGCTGCTCGGGAGGCTGAGGCAGGAGAATGGCATGAACCCGGGAGGCAGAGGTTGCAGTGAGCCAAGATAGTGCCACTGCACTCCAGCCTGCGCAACAGAGTGAGACTCCATCTCAAAAAAAAAAAAAAAAAGAAAAGAAAAAAGAAAAAAGAGAAGGGGAGGGAAGGGGAGGGGAGAGGAGAGCTAATAAGTGTACTGTTTCTTTGGTGGGTGATATAAATGCTCTGGAATTAAATGGTGATGGTTGTGCAACACAGCTTTAACATGGGTGAATTGTGTTACGTGAATTATATATTTAAATTTAAGTAGTATTGTATTATATGGATGTATATAGTATACTCACACTTTAACATAGTGAATTTTGTTATGTGAATAATATATTTAAAATGACTATAAAAGTAGAATAAAAGGAAACACCGTTTTATAATATATAAAACTGCAAAGGGAAATAGGCAAATTCACAATTACTGTCAAATATTTTAATATTCCAGCTGGGTGCGGTAGCTCACACCTGTTATCCCAGCAGGCCTTTGGGAGGCCGAGGTGGGCAGATCACGTGAGGTCAGGAGTTTGAGATCAATCTGGCCAACATGGCAAACCCCATCTCTACTAAAAATACAAAAATTAGCTGGGCATGGTGGCGCATACCTATAATCCCAGCTACTCAGGAGGCTGAGGCAGGAGAATCACTTGAGCCTGGGAGGCAGAGGTTGCTGTGAACCGAGATCATGCCACTGCACTGCCGCCTGGGCAACAGGGCAAGACTCTGTCTCAAAAAAAGAAATTAATATTCCTATCTTAATAATAGAACAAGTAGACAGAAAGCAAGTAAGGATATGGAAGCCTCAAAGAACACTGTTAACCCACTTGACCTAATTGACATTTCTATGACATCCATACAGCAGCAGAATAGACATTATTTTCCCGTGCATATAAAACATTTAAAAAGACAGGCCATACTCTGGGCTGTAAAAATATCCTCAATACATTTTAAAGGATTCAGAGTACACAGAGTATGTTCTTTGATCTCAATAGAATTAAATTAGGCATCAATAACAGAAAGGTCTCTGAAAAATTCCCAAATATTTGTAAACTAAAACATACTTCTAAATAACCCATAGATCAAAGAAGAAATTAAAAGAAACATTAGAAGGTGATTTGACTTGAATTAAAATAGAAATACGGAAAAAAAAAAAGAAATACGGCAGGGTGCGGTGGCTCATGCCTATAACCCAGAACTTTGGGAGGCCGAGGCAGGTGGATCACTTGAGGTCAGGAGTTTGAGACCAGCCTGGACAACATGATGAGACCCCCATCTCTACTAAAAATACAAAACTTAGCTGGGCATGGTGGCACACTCCTGTAATCCCAGCTACTCAGGAGGCTGAGGCATGAGAATCGCTTGAGCCCAGGAGGCAGTGTTTGCAGTGAGCCGAGATGGCGCCACTGCACTCCAGCCTGGGACACAGAGTGAGACTCCATTTCAATAAATTAATAAATTAATAAATTAAATAGAAATACAATGCATCAACATTTTTGGGGTATCATTAAAGTAGTGGCAGTTATTTAAACAGACATTTCACCAAAGAAGATGTACACATGGCCGATATGCACATGAAAAGATGCTCAATATCATTAGTCCAAGGAAATGCAAATTAAAACCGCAGTGTGATACCACTTCACACCTACTAGGAGGATTAAAATGAAAGAGACTGACCATAGAAAATGCTGGCAAAGATGTGGAGGAACTGGAACTCTCACACACAGCTGGTGGGATGAGAAATTAATTGTGCAAACACACTTTAGAACACATTTGGATGGTTTCTTAAAAAGTTGAAACAGGCCAGGTGCGGTGGCACACGCCTGTAATCCTAGCACTTTGGGAGGCCGAGGCAGGCTGATCATGAGGTCAGGAGATTGAGACCATCTTGGCTAACACAGTGAAACCCTGTCTCTACTAAAAGTACAAAAAATTAGCCGGGCATAGTGGTGGACGCCTGTAATCCCAGCTACTCAGGAGGCTGAGGCAGGAGAATGGTGTGAACCCGGGAGGCGGAGCTTGCAATGAGCCGAGATTGCACTACTGCACTCCAGCCTGGGCAACAGAGTGAGATTCCATCTCAAAAAAAAAAAAAAAAAAAAAAAAAAGTTGAAACATATACCTACTGTATGAGCTGGCTATTCCACTCCTGGATGTGTACCCAAGAGGAAAGAAGATATGTTTATATAGAGACTTGTACATAAATATCCTTAGAAGCTTCCTTTGTAAGAGCTAAAAGGTAGAACAACCCAACTGTCCATCAACATGTGATAAACAAATTGTGATACATCCATATAATACAATACTATTTAACAATAAAAAGGAACAGGCGGCCGGGTGTGGTGGCTCATGCTTGTAATCTTAGCACTTTGGGAGGCCGAGGTGGGTGGATCATTTGAGGTCAGGAGTTCGAGACCAGACTGGCCAACATGGTGAAACCCCCCCTCCTACTAAAAATGCAAAAATCAGCCAGGCATAGTGGCAGGTGCCTGTAATCTCAACTACTTGGGAGGCTGAGGCAGGAGAATTGCTTGAACCTGGAAGGCAGAGGTTGCCGTGAGCCGAGATTGCACCACTGCACTCCAGCCTGGGTGAAAGAGTGAGACTCTGTCTCAAAAAAAAGGAGGGCCAGGTGCAGTGGCTCACGCCTGTGCTCACGCCTGGGTGCAGTGGCTCCCAGCACTTTGGGAGGCCAAGGCGGGCAAATCACAAGGTCTTGGAGTTCGAGACCAGCCTGGCCAACATGGTGAAACCTCATCTCTACTAAAAATACAAAAAATTAGCTGGGCATAGTGGCAGGTACCTCTAATCCCAGCTACTCGGGAGGCTGAGGCAGGAGAATCACTTGAACCCGGGAGGCGGAGGTTGCAGTGAGCCAAGATTGCACCACTACACTCCAGCCTGAGTGACAGAGTGAGACTCCATCTCAAAAAAAAAAAAAAAAAAAAAAAAAGGAACAGGCGCAGTGGCTCACACTTGTGATCTCAGCACAGCATTTTGGGAGGTTGAGGCAGGAGGAGTGCTTGAGCCCAGGAGTTGAAGGTTGTAGTGAGCTATGATCATGCCACTGCACTCCAGCCTGGGTGACAGAGCAAGACCCTGTCTCTAAAGAAAATGAAAAAGAAACAAACTAAGGACAAATGAAGAATATAGATGAGTCTTAAATTAATTATAATGAATGAAATAAACCAGATAAAAAAGAATATCTACAATATGATTCAATTTATTTACATTTCTAGAAAATGTTAACTAATCTATAGTGACTGAAAGCAGATGGGGGATGTGGGGGATGAGAGGTATTTGCAAAGGGGCTGGGGGAACCTTTGAGGAGTGATGGATGTATTCACTACCTTGATTGAGAAGATGGTTTAACAGTGTGTACATAAGTCAAAATGTATCACATTTTACCAACAATCTACCAAATTTCTATCAAACTTTAAATGTATGCATTTTCTGTTGGTCAATTATACCTCATTTTAAAAACAGAATTCAGGCCCAGCGCAGTGGCTCACTTTAGGAGGCCGAGGCGTGCGAATCACCTGAGGTCAGGAGTCAAAGACCAGCCTGGCCAACATGGTGAAACCTGTCTCTACCAAAAATACAAAAATTAGCTGGTCATGGTGGTGCATACCCGTAATACCACTACCCAGGAGGCTGAGGCAGGAGAATCACTGGAACCCAGGAGGCAGAGGCTGTAGTGAGCCGAGATCGCGCCACTGTACTCCAGCCTGGGCAACAGAGCGAGACTCCGTCTGAAAAAAAAAAAAGTTAAAAAATAAAATGATAAAATAAAAACAGGATTCAGCCAGGTGTGGTAGCTCATTCCTGTAATTCTAGCACTTCGGGAGGCTGAGGTGGGAGCATTGCTTGAGTCCAGGAGTTTGAGACCAGCCTGGGCAACACAGGAGACCCCACCTCTACAAAAGAAATTTTTTTTTTAATTAGCCAGCCTAATGGTGTGTGCCTGTAGCACTAGATACTTGGAAGTCTGAGGAAGTCGAGGCTGTAGTGAGCCCTGATGGTGCCACAGCACTCCAGCCCAGGCAGCAGAGTGAGACTCTGTTTCTAAAAACCAAGCAAACAAACAAACAAACAAACAAACCTCAAAAGTTTTATCCAAGAAACGGAAAGAAAAAAGACAAGTGAAATTGAGACAGTGTTCACATTGCTACATTGCCAAATCCATCTTTTCCTGAAGCTGTAGTCGCTTGCCAGTAACATGGGCTGGTAAATTCGCCTTGTAATTAAACCAGTCTAAATTGTGCTTTCTGCCACTTGCAACTGAGAATCCTGGGTAGTACAGTCCAGATCTCCGAGGGGTTGAGATGGAGGCTAGAATGGAAGTTGTGCGTGGGTGCAAGGAATCAGAGGCTTCACATATCTTAAAGGTAGAAGTGGCCGGGCATGGTAGCTCACGCCTGTAATCCCAGCAATTTGGGAGGCAGAGGCAGGTGGATCACAAGGTCAGGAGTTTGAGAGCAGCCTGACCAATATGGTAAAACCACGTCTCTACTAAAAATACAAAAATTAGCCGGGTGTAGTGGCTTATGCCTATAATCCCAGCTACTCAGTAGGCTGAGGCAGAAGAATCACTTGAACTCAGGAGACAGACATTGCAGTGAGCCGAGATCGTGCCACTGCACTCCAGCCTGGGAGACAGAGCGAGACTCTCAAAAAAAAAAAAAAAAAAAAAGGTGGAAGTGGCAGGAAAGGATAGCAGATCCTCCAGACAATAGGGAAAAGGGCTCTTGCTTGGCCTCCCAGCTGCGGGTAATGTGCTGCTCATATGGATGCACCAGTGTTGTTAGCCTACGAAGGATGTGGATACCTGCTTGGTTGCCACATGCTGTCATGAAAAGAGGTTTGGATGGGAACGCTGGCAATGTAGTCCTACCTCTGCCACTGGTTGCTGTGTGACCTTGGGTAAGTTGCAGTCTCTCTGGCCTTGAGGGACTCAACAGTCATAGGAAGGGGTTGACAAATGGCTTCACACACATTGTCGCTGGAATGTATCCATCCTCTCAAGAAGCAGATTCCGCACGTGGCTGTGGATGGAAACATGGACCTGCTAAGCTAACAGAAGAATGATTATGAATATATCTGGGAATGTGGCTGTATTGTAGGAAATGATTACAAGATTGTGGGGTGCGTCCTTGTCTGTCGTCCTCTCACCCCACACAGTCAATAGGCCCTACCACATCAAAATGTGTCACGTTTTATCAACAGCTGCTATGAAGGGTTGCTACTGTCCCATGGACTGAAATTGAATACTTTTCCTATCCTCATGTTTCCTAGTCGCCCAATACATATAGTGAATAAAAGCTCAGGACCTGGAGGCCAGGCAGGGTGGCTCACATCTGTAATCCCAGCACTTTGGGAGGCTGAGGTGGGTGCATCACTTGAGGTCAGGTGTTCAAGAACAGTCTGCTCATGAGCTGAGATGGTGCCACAGCACTCCAGCCTGGGCGACAGAGTGAGACTATGTCTAAAACGAACAAACAAACAAACAAAAAAAACTCAGGGCCTGAAGTCAGACAGATATAAGTTTTAATCCTAGTGCTGCCAGTACCTGGCTGTGTATCTTTGGCCAAATCCCTTAATCTTTCTGAGCATCAGTTTCTGAAGGATGGGAGATAAACATTGTGTCAGATGACAGGCTAGGTTATGTTGCAATACCAATGCCAAAATCTCAGTGCCTTAACAATGGTTTATTTCCTACTCATTGTGGTAGGCGGCCTCTAAAATGGCTCCCAGAATCGCTTGAACCTGGGAGGCAGAGGTTGCAGTGAGCCAAGATTGTGCCACTGCACTCCAGCCTGGGTGATAGAGCAAGACTCAGTCTCAAAATAAAGAAATAGCTGGGCTCATGCCTGTAATCCTGGCACTTTGGGAGGCCAAGGCGGGCAGATCACCTGAGATCAGGAGTTCGAGACCAGCCTGACCAACATGGAGAAACCCCATCTCTACTAAAAATACAAAATTAGCCGGGAGTGGTGGCGCATGCCTGTAATCCCAGATACTCGGGAGGCTGAGACAAGAGAATCGCTTGAACCTGGGAGGCAGAGGTTGCGGTGAGCCGAGATCGCTCCATCGCACTCCAGCCTGGGCAACAAAAGCAAAAACTCTGTAAATAAATATGGTGGCTCACGCCTGTAATCCCAGCACTTTGGGAGGCCGAGGTGGGCGGATTATGAGGTCAGGCGATCGAGACCATCCTAGCTAATATGGTGAAACCCCGTCTCTACTAAAAATACAAAAAAAAAAAAAAAATTAGCCAGGCAGGGTGGCATGCACCTGTAGTCCCAGCTACTCAGGAAGCTAAGGCAGGAGAATCATTTGAACCCGGGAGGTGGAGGTTACAGTGAGCCGAGATTGTGCCACTGCACTCCAGCCTGGGTGACAGAGCGAGACACCATCTCAAAAATAAATAAATAAATAAACAAACAAAGAAAACAAAAAATAAGATAAAATGACTCCCAATAAACCCTGCCTCCTGACACGCTGTTGGAACATCCCTGCTCTTGAGTATCAGCTACACCTAGCAACTCACTTCTAATGGATACACTATGGCAAAAGGGATGGGACATTAATTCCAAGATTAGGTTACAAAAAGCCTATGACTTTAGCATTACTTCTCTTCCCTTTCCCATCCCCTTCAGCATCCTCCTCCCCCTCCCCCTCCCCCACTCCTCCCCTCTCCTATTTTCTCTTTCTCTGAGAATCCATCTGCCGTGTTCTGAGCTCCTTTATGGAGAAGCCCATGTGGCAAGCAACTGAGCAAGGCCCCTGGCCAATAGCCAGCAAGCAACTGAGGTCCTCAGTCAAGCAGCCTATGAGTAGCTGAATCATTCCAGCGACCATGTAAATGAACTTGGAAACAGACTATTTCCAGTGAGCTTTCTGATGAGACCACAGCCCTAGATAATACCCAATTGCTGTCTTGTGTGAGACCTTGAGGGAGAGGCAGCCAGCTAAGCCATGGCAGAATTCCTGAAACACAGAAATTGTGACATAATAACTGAGAAATAAAAAATGTTAAGCTTCTATGTTTGGGGGTAATTTGTTTTACTTTATATATATACATATAAAATAAAACAAATATATATATAGAATAAAACATGTATATATATACACAAATATATATAAAATAAAACACATATATATACACAAACAGACACACATACACATTTCCAGTGTGGGTTCAGAAGGGTGGTTGGTGGCTTGCCCATCCTATCCTGGTGCCCTGACACTTAAAGCTCCCACCCAAAAGTCAAACATGCCACTTCTACTTGTGTTTCAGTGGCCAAATAAAGTCACATAGTGATAACAAAATTCTAAGGGTGTGAAAGGAAAATAAATGGAATATTTGTGAAAAGCCTGGAGGATTCTACAATAGCACCTGCCTGGAAGGATTATTGTGGAGACAAGGCCTACAAACTGCTCTAGAGCCAGGCACGGTAATTCACACCTGTAATCCCAGCACTTTGGGAGGCGGAGGCAGGCAGATCACTTGAGGCCAGGAGTTTGAGACCAGCCTGGCCAAAATGGCAAAACTCTGTCTCTACTAAAAATACAAAAATTGGCTGGGCAGCTAGGCGCAGTGGCTCACGCCTGTAATCCCAGCACTTTGGGAAGTCCAAGGCGGGCGGATCACGAGGTCAGGAGATCGAGACCATCCTGGCTAACACGGTGAAACCCCGTTTCTACTAAAAATGCAAAAAAAATTAGCCGGGCTTGGTGGCGGGCGCCTGTAGTCCCAACTACTCGGGAGGCTGAGGCAGGAGAATGGCGTGAACCCAAGAGGCGGAGCTTGCAGTGAGCCGAGATCGCGCCACTGCACTCCAGCCTGGGCGACAGAACAAGCCTCCGTCTCAAAAAAAAAAAAAAAAAAAAAAAAAAAAATTGGCTGGGCATGGTGACTCACACCTGTAATCCCAGCACTTTGGGAGGCCGAGGTGGGCAGACTGACTGCAGTCAGGAGTTTGAGACCAGTCTGGCCAACATGGTGAAACCCCGTCTCTACTAAAAATAAAAAAAGAAATTAGCCAGGCATGGTGGTGTGTGCCTGTAATCCCAGCTACTTAGGAGGCTGAGGCAGGGGAATTGCTTGAACCAGGGAGGTGGAGGTTGCAGTGAGCCAAGATCGTGCCACTGCACTCCAGCCTGGGTGACAGAGCAAGACTCCATCTCAAAATAAATAAATAAATAAATAGAAATGGAGAATGTGGAAGGTGTTTACAACAGTGCCTGACACTGTTCCTGCCCCTCCCCAAGTGCTATCTACTATTCCTTTTTTACAAGTTATCACTTGAAAAAATTTGTAGACATTACTGAATCCGAAAATGTTTTGCATTTGAAAATCTGGACAAATCTGAGATTGCTATAGACAAGCATTTCTCAAGGGAGACATACCAGGATCCTCCTCACTCCCTATATTCTAGCTGCACTGGCATTTTTTTCTTTTCCTGAAACACACCAAGCTTGTTTGGATTTTAAGACCTTTGCCCACCATGCATATCCCTCTGTCTCCAACTCTGGCCCCACATCTCTCTTAACTGGCTCTTTCTCATCCTTGAGGGCTCAAAGAAGCATTTCCTGACCTTCCTATACCCCCATCGCCATGCTTTATTTTCTTCATAACACATATTACTATCCAAATTATGTATTTGCTTGCTTATTGTTTTACTCTCCAAACCAGAACTTCATGTGACCCGGGACATTCTGTCTTGTTCACAGACATATTCCCAGCATCTGGCAAAGCCTTGACACATATTTGATACAAAGTAAATGTGTGTTCAAAGAATAAAAGAACAAAAGATTAAATGTATCATATCCACCCACTGCTGAGCCATCCTTCCTTGTGAGGCATTCTCAAGTAATTGCCAGATTTTACAAAATTCTGGCTTAAAAAAAACTACAGGTGAGAGGGCTGGGCCCGGTGGCTTACGCCTGTAATACCAGCACTTTGGGAGGCTGAGGCAGGTGGATCACGAGGTCAGGAGATCGAGACCATCTTATCTAACACAGTGAAACCCCGTCTCTACTAAAAATACAAAAAAAAAAATTAGCCAGGCATGGTAGGGGGGACCTGTAGTCCCAGCTACTCGGGAGGCTGAGGCAGGAGAATGACATGAACCCAGGAGGCGGAGCTTGCAGTGAGCCCAGATTGCGCCACTGCACTCCAGCCTGGGCGACAGAACGAGACTCCATCTCAAAAGAAAAAAAAAATACGAGTTAGAGGCCAGGCACAGTGGCTCATCCCTGTAATTCCAGCACTTTGGGAGGCCGAGGTGGGCGGATCACCTGAGCTCAGGAGTTTGAGACCAGCCTGGCCAACATGGTGAAACCCCATCTCTACTAAAAATACAAAAATTAGCCAGGCATGGTGGCACACACCTGTAATCCCAGCTACTTGGGAGGCTGAGGCAGGAGAATCACTTGAACCTGGAAGGTAGAGATTGAGATGAGCCAAGATCACTCCACTGCACTCCAGCCTGGGTGACAGCGAGACTCTGTATAAAAAAACAAAACAAGGCCGGGCACGGTGGCTCACGCCTGTAATCCCAGCACTTTGGGAGGCCGAGGCAGGCAGATCATGAGGTCAGGAGATCGAGACCATCCTGGCTAACACGGTGAAACCCCGTCTCTAATAAAAATACAAAAAATTAGTCGAGTGTGGTGGCAGGCGCCTGTAGTCCCAGCTACTTGGGAGGCTGAGGCAGCAGGATGGCGTGAACCCGGGAGGCAGAGCTTGCAGTGAGCCAAGATAGCGCCACTGCAGTCCAGCCTGGGCGAAAGAGTGAGACTCCGTCTCAAAAAAAAAAAAAAAAAAAAAAAAAACAAGTTAGAATATATTCAGGTTTATCCCTATAATCACGTCTCTTTCAGTCATTTGTTTTTGAGAGGAAAGAGAAGGGTGGAATTTAGCTGTTTTGAATTTAGCTTTTAGCTGTTTTGAAATGTTATTTGCATGCTGGCTCATCTGGAGGCCACGGTCCAGATGCTCTCAGAATTTAGCACCATCAGAATTACCTGCAGGCTTGTTAAGCTCAGATTTCTGGAAATCACCGTTTTTTTTTTTTCGAGACAGGGTCTCACTCTCTCACCGAGACTGGAGCGCAGTGGCATGATTTCAGCTCACCACAACCCCCACCTCCCAGGCTCAAGCGATTCTCCTGCCTCAGACTCCCAAGTAGCTGGGATTACAGGTGTGCACCACTACCGCCTGGCTAATTTTTATATAGGCGTGAGGGTCCGTGCCCAGTTTCAGAGCTCTTGATATAGGAAGTCTACAGTGGGGTCCAAGAATGTGCATTTCCAAGAAGATCCCAAATGACGCTGACGCTGCTGATTGGTGGAGTCACAGTTTGAGAGCAGCTGCCACAACCTAAATAGGCAATAATAAATAAACAATCAAAGTATTATTAGTAGCTGTGGCTACTTTGAATTATTGTAGTGCTTTACTTATCTTCAACATTTTTGGCTTTCACCAAAATCCATGTATATCCATGGAAATGTGTCCCATAAGTCAAAATGTCTGTCTTGTGTGTTGCAAATGATCAAAGATTAAGGACCAATTGCTTCCATAGAACATTCAGGAGCATTTCCATCTTAGAGTACAAGTGCTACAGTCATTCATCTAAACATGTCTCAAGTTCACCAATTTATCCTGGTGAATTTATCTACACTTTCGAAAGAACTATTATTATTACTATTTATTTGAAAGAAACAGGGTCTTACTCTGTCACCCAGGCTGGGGTGCAGTGGCGAGATCATAGCTCATTGCAGCCTTAAATTCCTGGGCTTAAGTGGTCCTCCCACCTCTGCCTCCAGAGTAGCTGAGACAATAGGCATGCACCACCACAACCAGCTAGTTTTTAAAATTTTTTTTGTAGAGACAAAGTCACGCTGTGTTGTCTAGGCTGGTCTCGAACTCCTGGTAAGAGTAAAACTATTAGCATTCAAGGTATAATTATTTAAAGTATAATTATTACTATTCTATTTTATGTTGACTATTGCAATAGCTTCCTGTCTCCCAAGTTATCCATGTGAAGCCAGACAAATCTTTTTAAAATGCAATTTTTGTTGTTGTTGTTTTGTTTTTTGAAGTTGAGTCTCTTTTTATTGTCCAGTCTGGAGTGCAGTGGCCTGATCTCAGCTCACTGCAACCTCCACCTCCCTGGTTCAAGCGATTCTCCTGCCTCAGCTCCTGAGTAGCTGGGATTACAAGCACACGCCACCACACCCGGCTATTTTTTGTATTTTTACTAGAGACAGGATTTCATCTTTCTGGCCAGGCTGCTCTTGAACTCCTGACCTCGTGATCCACCCACCTCAGCCTCTCAAAGTGCTGGGATTACAGGCGTGAGCCACCACGCCCGGTCCTAAAACGCAAATTTGATCCTGCCACCGCTTGCATAAAACTCTCCAGTCCTCCCAATCTTCTCAGGAAAAAGTCCAGTACCTTTAACACAGCTTACATGACCTGGCCCCTGTCCACCTTACAAACTACTCCCCTCCAACCACAAGGACATTCTTTCAGTTCTTCATTCTCAACTAGCATGCTCCTTTCACTTGCAGGGTCTTAGCACCATACTGTCCTCTCACTCAGAAATATTCCTTCCCCCTTATCTTATTAACTCTTCCTCTTTCTTCGTTGCTCAGTTTATGCCATTTCCTCAAGAAAGCCTTCCCTGTTTCTCCCAAGCCAGGTCAATCTCCTCTGTGACATGATTTTATAGAACCATGTTCCATTCCTTCAGACCACTAACTCCTTTTATCTAGGGTCTTCATGTGTTGTCTGCAGGAGAGAAGGACCGAAACTGTTTTGTTTTGTTTTGTTTTGTTTGAGTCAGATTCTTGCTCTGTCGCCCATGCTGGAGTGCAGTGGTGCCATCTCGGCTCACTGCAACCTCCACTTCCCGGGTTCAAGAGGTTTTCCCATCTCAGCCTCCCGAGTAGTTGGGACTACAGGTACCCATCACCAAGCCCAGCTAATTTTTGTAGTATTTTTAGTAGAGATGGCTTTTCACCATGTTGGCCAGGCTGGTGTCCAACCCCTGACCTCAAGTGATCCACTTGCTTCAGTCTCCCAAAGTGCTGGATTACAAGCGTGAGAGACTGCACCAGGCCCCAAGACTGTTTTTACTACCACTGTATTTCTAGTGCCTGGTACAACACATTGTAAGTGTCAGTAAACATATGTTGGATAAAATTTTAAAATGCATGTTTATTTTCTCAGTCCCTACTATGCAGCAAATCCTATGCTGGGCCCTAAAGGGGAACCAAGGTTAGTAAGAGAAATGCTTGACCTTAAGGAACTCCATGCCAGTTAGAAGCAATGGATCCGTAAACCAAAAGTATCTGAGACCAGTCTCAATCGAGAAAGTTTATATTGCCAAGGTGAAGGATGCGATGATAACACGGCCTCAGGAGCTCCTCAGGACATGTGCCCAAGGTGCGGGTACAGTTTGGTTTTATACATTTTAGGGAGACATGAGTCATCGATCAATACATGTAAGATGTACGTTGGTTAGGATCGGAAAGACGGGCTAACTCGGGGCAGTGGGGGGCTTCTACCTTATAGGTAGACTTAAAGATTTTTTGATTGGTAATTGGTTGAAAGAGTTATTATCTAAAGACCTGGAAGTAAATAGAAAGAAATATCTGGGTTATGATTATAAGGGGTTGTGGAGACCAAGGTTTTATCATGCAGATGAGGCTTCCAGGTAGCCTGCTATTCAGACAGAATAGATTGTAAATATTTCTTATCAGTCTTGAGTCTACCAGTCTTAAGGTCTCTGTGTTGATGTTTGTGAGGCATGTCTGACTACCACTTCCCATCATGGCCTGAACTAGTTTTTCAGGATAAATTGGAATGTCCTTGGCTTCAGATAGGGTCCACCAGTCAGTTGGGGGGCTTAGACTTTTATTTTTGGTTTACAGATATCACATGGACTATAGAGACACATTTCTGTAACAGAGTAGAAGTGCAACATGAGAAGAACAAAGTGCTTTAGGCGACAAGCGGAGGAGGGAGACATCAATCCCAGATGGGAAAAATCAATTCACTTTCTGTGTGTGGTGTTACTTATTTATTTATTTTTTGCAGGGAAGGGATCGATTCATTCAACGTACACCTTGAATGAATAACTATAGTTCTCCCTACGTCCTATGCACTGTCCTAAGTGTTTTACGTGGTTAAGGACACTAAGATTTTACAGATGGGGAAAACAATGCACACGACAGTCAAGTGACCCGCTCAACGTCACACAGCTACTAAGTGGTAGAAAAGGCAGTTGAACCCAGGCTGCTTGGCTCCAGAGTCTAATATCACGGGGAAAACCTCACGGGAGACGTGGCAACGAAGTTGTGCTTCATTGAAGTATCTGTCCAGGTGGAAAACCGCAGGGCCTCTCTAGCAAAATCCAGAACCAGAAAATACTTGCTTAATTATGAGTTTCCTTCCTTCTTTTGCCCACTATCCCCATTTAACCTGCGGAGGGATTTCAGAAGTGCAGTGAATAAAGATGCAGGGGACTATGGAACACTAATTTCCGGCTACGGCGAATTCAGGCTGTTTCCATGGAAACAGTAACGGGTGGGCAGCTAGGTATAGTCTCGCGGTGCTTGAACCAGCGGAAGTGACGTCGCCGCTCGCGAGGACCTCAGGTGGATCGCCGCGGCCCCTCCTCCCAGAGCGGCAGCCTTTTCCCGCGCGTGCTGCCTTCGCCGCTCGGGCCGCCCGGGGGAAAACATGGCGTCTGCCCTGGAGCAGTTCGTGAACAGTGTCCGACAGCTCTCAGCTCAAGGTAACGCCCTAGGCCGCCGGGCTGGGCATGGGCGGGTACCGGGAACTGGCCTGGATCCCCAGGCGCCAGCACGGACGGCTGGAACAGCCCTTTTAGTCCTGAGACTCTTCTCCGGGGCCGGGCTTGGGGTTGCGGCGTTTAGATCAGGGCAGGATCGAGCGCGGCCGAGTGTAGGCAGCCCCCTCGCGCTCCGCTGTCCTCGCCGGCCGGCCTCCCCTCCCTCGGGCCGCCGGGAGCCCCCTCCCCCCGGCCTGGGCCCCTTCCACCGGGCGCTTTGCTTGACAGTTTGGGGGCGTGACTTCCGCCAGGAGCCATCTCGGGCGACTATTGGTTCCTTCTGTCTCTCTTGCCTTCGGTGATTGGCGCACCGCCATGTCATCTTTGCCGCCGATCCGCAGCTTGCTGACTAGGCCGCCGGGAGCGGGCGGGAGGCGAGTCCGTTCTGGGTGTCTTGGCTCTATGGCTCGCCTCTGCCAGCTCCTCCGCTGCCAGGCGGCGCACGCTCGGGAACCTGTGCGCCTATTTTGGTCCTACAGAATGCTGCGGAAGCTCTCGCTCGTAGGACTCCATTTCTTCTTCTTTGTTTTTTTTTAGCCGAGGCTGGAGTGCAGTGGCGCGATCTCGGCTCACTGCAACCTCAGCCTCCCGGCTTCAAGCGATTCTCCTGTCTCAGCCTCCCGAGTAGCTGAGATTACAGGCGCCCGCCAGCTCACACGGCTTTTTTTTTTTTTGAGACGGAGTCTCACTGTCTCCCAGGCTGGAGTGCAGTGGCGCGGTCTCGGCTCACCTCAACCTTCGCCTTCGAGGTTCAAGCGATTCTCCTGTCTCAGCCTCCCGAGTAGCTGGGATTACAGGCGCCTGCCCGGCTAATTTTTGTATTTTTAGTAGAGACAGGGTTTCACCATGTTGGCCTGGCTGGTCTCGAACCTTGATCTCAGGTGATCCACTGGCCTCGGCCTCCCAAAGTGCTGGGATTACAGGCATGAGCCACCGCGGCCAGCCCACGCGGCTAATTTTTTCGTATTTTTAATAGAGATGGGGTTTTTACCATGTTGGCCAAGCTGGTTTCGAACTCCTCACCTGAAGTGATCCGCCCACCTCGGCCTCCCAAAGTGCTAGGATTACAGGCGTGAGCCACTGCGCCCGGCCAGGACTCCATTTCTAGGGGTAGAATTGTGATGATTTTACTCGCACTTTCCAGGTTGTTTGGTTCATTCATTGCGTATGAATGTACCGAATTCTGGACCTGAAATTCGAATGATTAGATGCTGGCTGTGAAGGCCCTTTTAACTATCCCGTGCTTCAGTTTCTTCGTCTGCAAAATAAGTCCCTAGTTTATGTAGAGTTGTGAAGATTCAATGAGAGAAACCATGTAAAAGCAGTTGGAACAGTGCCTGTCATAAGGGGTGCAATAAATATAGCTGCAAATTATTGTTACCGTCATTAATTGCAAAGTTCTAGGAGCTGCTTGACCTTGGACAAATAACCTTTAATCTCTGAGTCTTTTGCATCTCCATTGTAAAAATGGAGGGGTGCTTTTACCTCACTGGTGTAAGACAAATGGTCTGATATGGAGCTGCACTTAATAAGAATTCTTCCTCTTTTTCCTTTTTATTAATAGAAATGAGGTTCACAGGGAAGGCACAGGCTTGCCTTTTCTATGAATAAAGGAACCACTGGTTTGTTAATTTATTCGACAAATACTTAGTGTTCTCCTTCCTGGGGTGTAGTGTAGTTAGAAGCTTCAGGTTGAAATCCTGTCGCGGTCACTTCTTGGGTGAACCACTTAATTTCCCTGGGCCAATTTTCTTAATTACAAAACAGAACTAGGGCTGTTGTGGTCTTCAGGTTATAGGATGCTATAGGAACAGTCTGCTAGACAGAGATAAATATGGTAACTTTCATTGCTGTCGGCTACTGTGCCTCACACTCACTGGATAGGAAATCTTTGAGTTTCAGGCCAGGCGCAGTGGCTCACTCCTGTAATTCCAGCACTTTGGGAGGCCGAGGCGGGCGGATCATCTGAGGTCAGGAGTTCAAGACCACCCTGGCCAACATGGTGAAACCCTGTCTCTACTAAAAATGCAAAATTAGCCAGGCATGGTGGCGGGCGCCTGTAATCTCAGCTACTCGGGAGGCTGAGGCAGGAGAATGGCATGAACCTGGGAGGTGGAGCTTGCAGTGAGCCAAGATCGCGCCACTGCCCTCCAGTCTGGGTGACAGAGCAAGACTCCGTCTCAAAAAAAAAAAAAAGAAAAAAAAGAATTTTATTGGCCACATCTCTGGTTACACTGATTTCAAATGCACTCTGTGACACTTAAACTTTTTTTTTTTACTCTGCCCTTGGCCCTGCACTAATTAATTATCTGGTGATTTCATAGTGACCCAGCTTTTATTTCAGTCTCAACTGGGCACTGATTGTTAACTAGTAGAGAACTAATGGATTGCAATGCTTATTTCTGGGTGTTACAAATTATTGTTAATATATTTAGAGTAATGGTTTACAAAGGCAAATTATTCAACTAGAAGTTACTTCATACCTACCAGTGAGATCTGTAATACAATGATGATGAGTTGGTATTTCCCAGTTAAATCTGTGTGATCTCAAGAGGTGACACCTAATAAGATCACAGCTGTTTTATTCTTGTTTTGTAATGCATGTATAATAATGATACATTTCCTTTGCTTTCAGTAAAATGTATCAAATTGAAAAGTGTTAAATTATCAAAAGTACCTAGCTATAGTCACTTGTATTTTAAGCATTATACTATGTTGTATTCTTTTAGTAAGGAAAAGATTATGCAGTTGCTCTGTAGAAATAGAGAAGTTGGAAACTTGAGGTTAATGCCCATGGACTTAAATATATCCTCACTGTTACCAGAAAGACAGAGTGTGACCATGGTATCTGTCATGACAGTAATTGTCAAAATTGATGGGTCTACTTAAAGGTACCAATTCAGGCCTAATTTTTTTTTTCCCCCGAAACGGAGTCTTGCTCTGTTGCCCAGGCTGGAGTACAGTGGCGCAATCTCAGCTCACTGCAGCCTCCATCTCCCGGGTTCAAGGATTGTCCCAGGTTAAAGGATTCTCCCACCTCAGCCTCCCGAGTAGCTGGGATTACAGGTGTGTGCCACCACACCCAGCTAATTTTTGTATTTTTAGTGGAGACAGGGTTTCACCATGTTGGCCAGCCTGGTCTTGAACTCCTGACCTCGAGATATCTGCCCACCTTATCCTCCCAAAGTGCTGGGATTACAGGTGTGAGCCAGCCTGGTCTTGAACTCCTGACCTCGAGAGATCTGCCCACCTTATCCTCCCAAAGTGCTGGGATTACAGGTGTGAGCCACAGCACCCGGCTGAGGCCTAATTATTAATAGATTCTGTACCTTAGTTGTTAAAATGTAGCATTGCAGGCTGAGTGTGGTGGCTCATGCCTCTAATCCCAGCACTTTGGGAGGCCAAGGTGGGAGGATTGCTTGAGCCCAGGAGTTAGAGACCAGACTGGGCAACATAGTGAGACCCCTGTCTCTGCAAAAAACTTAAAAAATAAGATGGGCATGGTGACGTACACCTGTAGTTCCAGCTACTCGGGAGGCTAAGGTGGGAGGATTGCTTGAGCCCAGGAGATGGAGGCTGCGTTGAGCTGTGATCACACCACTGCACTGCAGCCTGAGCGACAGAATGAGACCCTGTCTCAAAAAACAAAACAAAACAAACATAGTATTGCAGTATAGGGGAAAAATAGATCAATTAGGAGATTAATTCAACAAGTAGCTGCTTGATGAACTGCTAAGCAGGTGATGTATTCTAGAGCTGGAGAAAGGGACAATCCCTCCACCTGAGTTTACTGAAATACCTAACCACTACAGTCCCATGCGAGGCAGAGAGGGCAGATACCCAGCTTAGCCATGGGGAAGGGAGCTGAGATGAGGGTCTAGAGACGCCACAAGTTGATTGCTGAATGCTGGATGAGGCTCAGTCAGGTAGCAGAGGATGTGGGGGAGAAGGACAGAGAACAGCATGTGTAGAAGCATAAAGAGGAGAGAAGATAGAATGTTGATTTTCTGAGCTTGCTGTGATCGAAGAGTAGGTGTGTGAGGGGAAGTAGCAGGAGATAAGGCTGGAAAGGTAGCAGGGACCAGTTATTGAAGGGCCTTAGTTCAGGCTGAGGCGTTTGCACTTCTTAAAGTCATTGGAATAACTTGATTGAATGCACAGTTTATAGAACAGACAGTACTAATATGGAGTGCGGGTTGGAGGAGAGAAAGATCACAGTAGGCAGACCATTTAGAAGATTTATGATGTAGGCTGGGCGCGGTGGATCATGAGGTCAGGAGTTCAAGACCAGCCTGGCCAAGAAGGTGAAACCCCCGTCTCTACTAAAAATACAAAAAAATTAGCCAGGTGCAGTGGCAGGCGCCTGTAATCCCAGCTATTTGGGAGGCTGAGGCAGGAGAATTGCTTGAACTTGGAGGGCGGAGGTTGTAGTGAACCGAGATTGCGCCACTGCACTCCAGCCTGGGCGACACAGTGAAACTCCATCTTAAAAAAAAAAAAAAGATGTAGTCCAGACAAAAAATGATGAGGATCTGAATTAGGGCAGAGAGGGGAGAGAGAAAGAAATGGAGCTGAGAGACTTTGGAAGTAAAACTAAATCATTTGGATGCAGAGAGCTGTTAATAGTAACGTGCATTTCTGGCTTGGGAGACTAGAAAACAGAATAGAGAAAAAGGTGAAACATTCAGGGTCAGAGAGAAGTGGGAGGTCCAGTGTAATCTCTAATTCGTTTTGAGACCACGGACAGGTTGTTTCACTCCTCTGGTCCTTCTGGATCCTCATCCGAAGTGAAGGAGATTAAGAATCAATTTTGGGAACTTCAGGCTCTGAAGTACAAAGTTGTGGTTAGAGTTCCATCAGTTTGGTTAGTGCTGTAGCTGAAATGCAATAGTGTTGTTCCTGTTTTCCAGGGCAAATGACACAGCTTTGTGAACTGATCAACAAGAGTGGGGAACTCCTTGCGAAGAACTTATCCCATCTGGACACTGTGCTCGGGGCTCTGGATGTACAAGAACACTCCTTGGGCGTCCTTGCTGTTTTGTAAGGAGCATCTTCTTTTATAGTTCTGTGCTTGTTAAAATGGAACACTGTGCACTTCCTGGCTTTATTTTTATTTATTTATTTATATTTTTTGAGATGGAGTTTCGCTCTGTCACCCAGGCTGGAGTGCAGTGGCACATTCTTGGCACACTGCAAGCTCCGCCTCCCGGGTTCACTCCATTCTCTTGCCTCAGCCTCTTGAGTAGCTGGGACTACAGGCACTCGCCACCCGCCCCAGCTAATTTTTGTATTTTTAGTAGAGACAGGGTTTCACCATGTTAGCCAGGATGATCTCGATCTCCTGACCTCTTGGTCCGCCCACCTTGGCCTCCCAAAATGCTGGGATTACAGGCGTGAGCCACCACGCCCAGCCCTGGCTTTATTTTTATTTATTTATTTATTTTTTGGTGTAGAAAGTAAACCATTGTAAATAACATTGAGCTCTTTTGCAAAACTAAAGTTATGGCAGTTACAGTTTATTGATTCCAGCTAATAATTGCTTGTTATATTTTGTTCAACTTTATCATTTTTAAAAACTCTTTTATGTATCCGGGCATAAAGAGGTTGCAGTGAGCCAAGGTCGCGCCACTGTACTCTAGCCTGGGTGACAGAGCGAGACTGTCTCAAAAAAATAAAATCAGTTGTTGCAGCTGGGCACAGTGGCTCCCGCCTCTAATCCCAACATTTTGGGAGGCAGAGGCAGGTGGATCACTTGGGGCCAGGAGCTCCAGACCTGCCTGGCCAACTGGTGAAACCCTGTCTCTACTAATAAAAAAACTAGCCGGGTGTGTTGGCGCATGCCTGTAGTCCCAGCTACTCAGGTGGCTGAGGCATGAGAATTGCTTGAGCCTGGAAGGCAGAGGTTGCAGTGAGCCAAGATTGCACCACTGCACTCCAGCCTGGGCGACAGAGGGAGACTCTCTCAAAAAAAAAAAAAAAATCAGTTGTTGCTTTTCCTGCTTTGAGAACATACTAAGGGGGCCAAGAGTGAGAGCTATGGGCTGGCTGGAGGTGGGCAGCAGCTTAAGTTAAAGATGCTGCCACCAGCTGTGTGGTCTATCTGAGAATAACACTGACAGAACAACTGATAGGCAGGACAAGAGGAGTAGAGTGGTGAGAAGAGGGAGGACTCAGGTGATCCTTCCCAAGTAACTCAGACTGCCATGAGAAACACTCCAAGGAGGCACTGGTGATAGGTTTTAGGGGAGAAATCATGTAAACTTAGCACTATTAAGGCATTGGTTGTAAGTAAATTTCAAATTCTTTAAAAAAAAAAAAAAGCACGATTGAAATGTAATTTCAAGAAAAATTAGGCCAGACACAGTGGCTTACATCTGTAATCCCGGCACTTTGGGAGGCCAAGGCGGGTGGATCACAAGTTCAGGAGTTCAAGACCAGCCTGGCCAACATAGTGAGACCCTGTCTCTACTAAAAATACAAAAATTAGCCGGGTGTGGTGGCATGCACCTGTAGTCCCAGCTACTCGGGAGGCTGAGGCAGGAGAATGGCTTGAACCTGGGAGGCGGAGGTTGCAGTGAGCTGAGACAACGCCACTGCACTCCAGTCTGGGTGACAGAGTGTGAGACTCTGTCTCAAAAAAAAAAAAAAGAAAAGCTAATCATAATTTCTACTACATCTTTTGGTTTATCTGCTTCCATCTATACTGTATTATTTGACTTAACAATGTCACCATACATCTGTATTTACACTTTGTAATTATCAAGACATGTCAGAAACAATTTCATCTGGGGTTCACAATAGGTCAGTGAGGCATTGCGACTGCCAGTTTATAAATAAAAATATGAAGCTCAGGGCCCCACAACTCAAAATTGGAAGAATATGTAGATTCAAAACCAGGGTCCTCAGCCAGAAGCTCAGGGTTCTTTCCATACCTTATCTAACATATACAACGGTAAACACCTTATACCTTCAAAATGCATTCATGTCCATTACTCACCTGATATATATGTTTATGTGAGTTTATGTGTGTATAAAACATGCATGCTCTCTGTTCTTTCTTGAGATAGGGTCTTGATGTCACTCAGGCTGAAGTGCAGTGGTGCAAGCATAGCTCACTGTAGCCTCGACCTCCCAGGCTCAAGCAGTCCTCCCACTTTAGCCTCCTGGGTAGCTGGGACCACAGGCATGTGCCACCACACTCAGCTAACTTTTTTTCTTTTGGGGGGACAAGGTCTTGTTCTGTCACCCAGTCAGGAGTGCAGTGGCATGAGCACAGCTCACTGCAGCTTCAATCTCATGGACTCAAGTGATCTTCCAACCTCAGCCTCCTGAGTAGCCAGGACCACAGGTGTACACCACCACGCCCGCCTAATTTTTGTGTTTTTTTGTAAAGACAGGGTTTCATCACGTTTCCCAGGCTGGTCTTGAACTCCTGAGCTCAAGCAATCTGCCCATCTCAGCCTCCCAAAGTCCTGGGATTACAGGCATAAGCCACCATACCTGGCCACTTTTTTTTTCTGTAGAGATGGGGTCTTGCTATGTTTCCCAGGCTGGTCTCAAACAGAGCCTCCCAAAGTGCTAGGATTACAGGTGTGAGCCACTGTGCCCAGCATCTGCTCTTTCATATAAATAAGAAAATACAGACAGTAGAAATCCTTACCAGCACTGTCCAATAGAACTATCTGCAGTGGTGGAAATGTTACAAACCTGTGCTAAGACAAGGACATGTGACCACATGTGGCTACTGAGTACTTGAAACATGGCAAGTGCACCTGAATCTTTAATTTTAATTTAAATAGCTGCATATGGCTAGTGGCCACCATACTGCAGAGCATAACTCTAGATCCTTCCATTCTGACAAAGCTTCTTCTCTAAACTCTGCTCCGGACACATACCTTTGTCTCAGGAATCCCAGCGTAAGTGAAGCCAGACTCTCACTTTAAGTCAATTTCTTCTCAGTTTATTTATATCATTTCAAATGTCATGACAACCACAATATCCCAATTTATAATACTATAACATCAAGAGAAAAAGAATTCTACTGTCAAGTACACGGTTACAAGGAACCCCAATTAAAATAAGGTCTATTTAATTTGGTCTTAAATAGCTTAAATTTGTTTGAAGGGAATTCTAAGCAATGTTGCTTTGGATCTTTGATACTTTTTCTTTTTTTGAGAAAAGGTCTCACTTTGTCATGTAGGCTGGAGTGCAATGGCTTAATTGTAGCTTACTGAAGCCTTGAACTTCTGGGCTCAAGCAATCCTCCCACCTCAGCATCTTGAGAAGCTAGGACTATAGGCATGTACCACTACACCCAGCTAATATTTTTATTCTTTGCAGAGATAGGGCCATATTATGTTGCCTAGGCTGGTCTCAAACTCCTGGCCTCAAATGATCCTCCGACCTTGGCCTCCCAAAGTGTTGGGATTATGAGCAACTGTGCCCAGCCAATATTTTCATTCAATGTATTCTGCCATGCCCTGTGGCAGTACTCCTCCGAACTTCTTTTTAATTTAGAAAATGTGGACATTCCTGTGGATTACATGGATAAAAGTATTCAGATAAATGCAAACTATAGTCCCCACAATTGAGATGGCCATTTTTTAAAACAAATTTTCAGGATTTGTATAAACATAAAGGAGTTTTTTTTTTTGAGACGAGTCTCACTCCGTCACCCGGGCTGGAGTGCAGTGGCACGATCTCAGCTCACTGCAAACTCTGCCTCCTGGGTTCAAGCAATTCTCCTGTCTCAGCCTCCCAAATAGGTGGGATTACAGGCACCTGCCACCACGCCCGGCTAATTTTTCTATTTTTTGTAGAGATGGGGTTTCACCCGATTGGTCAGGCTGGTCTTGAAATCCTGACCTCAGGTGATCCACCCGCCTTGGCCTCCCAAAGTGCTGGGATTATAGGCGTGAGCCACCGTGCCTGGCCAATTTTTGTATTTTTAGCAGACATGGGTTTTCACCATATTGGCTAGGCTGGTCTCGAACTCCTGACCTTGTGATCTGCCCATCTGCCCACCTTGGCCTTCCGTAGTGCTGGGATTACAGGCTTGAGCCACCATGCCCAGCCTATTTGGCTTCATTTAGTGGAATTTTTCATCTTGAAAGTTGTTCCTTATTAAACATATATATATATATAAAACATATATGTTTAATATATACATGTTTATTATTTAATATATATTATTAAACATATGTGTGTGTATGTGTGTATATATATATATATATAGATATATATAGATTTTTTTTTTGAGACAGTCTCGCTCTTGTTGCCCAGGCTGGAGTGCAGTGGCACCATCTCAGCTCACTGCAACCTCCACCTCCCGGGTTCAAGCAGTTCCTCAGCCTCCCGAGTAGCTGGGGTTACAGGCATGCATGCACCACCACGCCCGGCTAATTTTTTTGTATTTTTAGTAGAGACGAGGTTTTTCCATGTTGATCAGGCTGGTCTCGAACTCCCGACCTTAGGTGATCCTCCCGCCTTGGCCTCCCAAGGTGCTGGGATTACAGGCATGAGCCACTGCGCCAGGCCTAAACATATTTTTCTTAACCCTTATTTGTGTCCGTTCTGTATAGTGATTGTGCAAAATAACCAGGTCAGGAAAATCTCATGGATTCTAGTTCTTATTTATTTGTTTTTTGAGACTGGATCTTGCTCTGTCACCCAGGCTGGAGTGCAGTGGCATGATCATAGCTCACTGCAGCCTCAACCTTCTAGGCACAAGTGATCCTCCAGCCTCAGCCTCCCAAGTATCTGCAACTACAGGCATGTACCCCCACGCCTGGCTAATTTATTTTTTGTAGTAGAGACAGGGTCTCACCATGTTGCTCAGACTGGTCTCAAACTCCTGGCCTTAAGCAGTCCTCCTGCCTCAGCCTCCCAAAGTGCTTGGATTACGGGCATGAGCCACTGTCCTGGCCTAGTTCTTAATTCTAAAAAATACTGTTGCTCATTTAATTTTACAGAGTATTGGAGGCAGGATGGATTTCTTGCATACATTGTTTCTGTATTTTATCCCATGAACTATCAGGGTAATTTGATTCTTTTCTCCTTATTCTAGGTTTGTGAAGTTTTCTATGCCCAGTGTTCCTGACTTCGAAACGCTATTCTCACAGGTTCAGCTCTTCATCAGCACTTGTAATGGGGAGCACATTCGATATGCAACAGACACTTGTAAGCTAAATAACATTTTATTCTCCATTGAAAATATTTTGCCCTTGTGGTTATATTTATATTTTGAATATTTTGTTATTGTATCTAGTTGCTGGGCTTTGCCATCAGCTAACAAATGCACTTGTGGAAAGAAAACAGGTAAGAAATACTATTCAAGTATTCCTAGTTTTGTTATAATATGTAACTAGCTTACACAATGAATTACTTTATCAAGATTCCAGTTAGTACTGAGCATCCACCACCTAGATATCTGTGGTCACTTGAGAGCACTCACAGCCATTGCTGTAAGCTCAGGCAGTCCCCGCATCCCCTGAATGAGGTGGAGGCACGGGGTGGTTTGGCACCTCAGGGAGGCTGCTGCTGGAACTACCAAGTAGTTGGAATTACCAAGCCAGTACCCTTTATGTTGTAATATGCTGGGTTTTGTCTGTTACATTTTTTCTTTTAACTTTTAATTAGGACATTATTTTAGCCTTACAAAAAGCTTCAAAAATAATATAAAAAATTCTCATACATTTTACCTAGATTTTCCAAATGTTAACATTTTACCGCACTTATTCTTTTTTTTTTCTCTTCCTCTTTTATTCTGAGCCATTGTAGAGTAAGTTGCACATATGCTATTGCTGTTCTTTATCCCTAAATACTTCAGTGGGTAAAGCCTAAAAATTAGGACATTCTGTTACATAGTATAGTGTAATGGTCAGCATCCAGAAATGAACTCTTACTGTTTTTTTTTTTGGAGACAGAGTCTCGCTCTGATGCCTAGGCTGGAGTGCAGTGGCGCCATCTCTGGTCACTGCAACCTCCACCTCCCAGGTTCAAGCAATTCTTCTGCCTCAGCCTCCTGAGTAGCTGGGGACTACAGGTGCATGCTGCCACGCCCAGCTAATTTTTTGTATTTTAGTAGAGACGGGGTTTCACCATGTTGCCAGGCTGGTCTCGAACTCCTGAGCTCAGGCAATCCTCCCGCCTTGGCCTCCCAAAGTGCCAGGATTACAGGCGTGAGCCACCACGCCCGGCCCAGAAATGAACGTTAATATAATGCATCAACAAATTGACAGACCCCATTTAGATTTTCCCCCAGTGAAAAGGACTGTCTTTTGCTATAAAAGGACATTAGCTGTTTGGACAGTGTACTATATATTATATAGCAAAAGAAAACCGTGGACCATGGATTGCATTAGACTGCTTTGTTTCTTTAGTGTCCCTTAATCTGAACAGTTATTTCATTCTTTATCTTTTATAATACATAATTTATAATGTGGATTTTTAAAAAATTTATTTAGTTATTTATTTTTTTGAAATGGAGTCTCATTCTGTTGCCTAGGCTGGAGTGCAGTGGTGTGATCTCAGCTCACTGCAACCTCCACCTTCCAGCTTCAGGCGATTCTCGTGCCTCAGCCTCCTGAGTAGCTGGGACTACAGGCGCATGTCACCTTTCCCAGCTGATTTTTGTTTTGTTTTGTTTTTTGAGACAGAGTCTCGCTCTGTCACCCAGGCTGGAGTGCAATGGCGCAATCTCGGCTCACTGCAACTTCCGCCTCCTGGGTTCAAGCAGTTCTTCTGCCTCAGCCTCCCAAGTAGCTGGGATTACAGGTGCCTGACACCATGCCCGGCTAATTTTTGTATTTTTAGTAGAGACAGGGTTTCACCATGTTTGCCAGGCTGGTGTCAAACTCCTGACCACAGGCGATCCGCCTGCCTCGGCCTCCCAGTGATTTTTGTATTTTTAATAGAGGTGAGGTTTTGCCATGTTGGCCAGGCTAGCCTCTAGAACTCCTGACCTCTGGTGATCCGCCTGCTTCAGCCTCCCAAAGGGCTGAGATTACAGGTGTGAGCCACTTCACCCAGCCAGGTGTTTCTTTTTAATTTGAAAGTAAATTTAAGATTAGTGGTTTGAAAGAGGCTGAAAATAGAACCAGTTGTTATTTTGTAGTACTAAGTAACCATGTTTGAAAGAGATGGTTAAGAAAAATCATGAGTTTTTGAAAAAGCTGTAAGTTATTGAGCTATTTTTAGTCTCTTCACATATATATATATATATTTTTGTTGTTGTTGTTGTTGTTGTTGTTTTTTTGAGATGGGGTCTTGCTCTGTTGCCCAGGCTGGAGTGCAGTGGCGCGATCTCAGCTCACTGCAACCTCCGCCTCCCGGGTTCAAGCGATTCTCCTGCCTCAGCCTCCTGAGTAGCTGGGACCACAGGCACATCCCACCATGCCCGGCTAATTTTTGTATTTTTAGTAGACATGGGGTTTTGCCATGTTGGCCAGGATAATCTTGATCTCCTGACCTCATGATCCACCCATCTTGGCCTCCCAAAATGCTGGGATTACAGGTGTGAGCCACCGTGCCCAGCAATTTTGGAAGAGACTATATTTTAGTCTGCCAAAAACTGATTATGCCTTACTTGACACTTGGTCTTCTTATTTATAATCAGGGCAGGAAACAGTCCTTTTGAAATCTATGGTGTTAGTTTTGGTAGTAATTTACTACCAGGTAAGGGGTAGACTGCCCTATGGGAAAATGCCAACACCCTTAGCCACAAGTAATTTTCCTAAGCATAGGCTGTTGTCTCTTGTATAATAAGTGATTTGGAAAGTTTTCATTTGTTTAGATGTTAATATAATAAACTGTTGAGAAAGTAATACTGTTTTTGATTATTGATCTTCATTGTAAAAATAAAAGCTTTTTATGATTTAAAAAATGGTGCTGAGTTATCTAAAAATTCCAAGAAACAGCTTAAGAAAAGTTTTCTGACTTAAATGGGACAGAAATTTCCTGAAAGAGTATGGAAACCTCATATTGCTATTTAAAGGAACCTATCAATTAGTGTTATTTTTTATTTATAAGTGACAACATAAGATCCAATGTGCTGCCATCTTTGAGAACTTATCTGAAAGAGATGTCATTTCTGACAGCCCCTGCGAGGAATTGGCATCCTTAAGCAAGCCATAGACAAGATGCAGATGAATACAAACCAGCTGACCTCAATACATGCTGATCTCTGCCAGGTAAGCAACCAAAGTGTGTGATTCACACCAAGTCAGAGGTGTAGGTTGTTTATGGGCTTGCTCAACATTGGGTTTGATAAACACAGGCAAGTTGGCGATATTGTGATGTGTTATAGAAGTTGGAATATGTAGGTACATCTATTACATTCAGGCGGGTGCTGGATGCAAACTGTAGGATGGGGCTCAACTAGTAAGCTTGTCGAACAGATAGGGTAATTAATAGTTGTAACTTTTTTTTTTTTTTTTTTTGAGACAGTCTCACTTTGTCGCCCATGCTGGAGTGCAGTGGCACAATCTCAGCTCACTGCAACCTCTGCCTCCCGGGTTCAAGCAATTCTCCTGCCTCAGCCTCTCGCGTAGCTGAGACTACAAGCACCCACCACCAAGCCTAGCTAATTTTTGTATTTTTAGTAGAACAGGGTTTCACCATGTTGGCCAGGCTGGCGTTGAACTCCTGACCTCATGATCCACCCGCCTCAGCCTCCCAAAGTGCTAGGATTACAGGTGTGAGCCACCACACCCGGCCCTAGTTGTAACTTTTTTTTTTTTTTTTTTTTGAGACGGAGTCTTGCTCTGTCGCCCAGGCTGGCGCCATCTCAGCTCACTGCAAGCTCCGCCTCCCGGGTTCACGCCATTCTCCCGCCTCAGCCTCCCGAGTAGCTGGGACTACAGGCGCCCGCTATCACGCCTGGCTAATTTTTTTGTATTTTTAGTAGACACGGGGTTTTACTGTGTTAGCCAGAATGGTCTCAATCTCCTGACGTCGTGATCCGCTCGCCTCAGCCTCCCAAAGTGCTGGGATTACAGGCGTGAGCCACTGTGCCCGGCCTGTAACTTTTTTTAAAATCCCGAATCATTTTTTTAAAATTGTGGAGCCTGCCAGGTGCAGTGGTTCACGCCTGTAATCCCAACACTTTGGGAGGCTGAGGCGGGCGGATCACCTGAGGTCCGGAGTTCCAGACCAGCCTGACCAACATGGAGAAATCCCATCTCTACTAAAAAAAAATTGTGGAACCTGAGACTTAACATAGCTAACTTCTTACACCTTAAAATGTTATTCATTTATCTTTTTTTTTTTTATTTTTTGAGATGGAGTCTTGCTCTGTTGCCCAGGCTGGAGTGCAGTGGCATGATCTAGGCTCACTGCAAGCTCCGCCTCCCAGGTTCAAGCAATTCTCCTTCCTCAGCCTCCTGAGTAGCTGGGATTGTGGACGTGCACCACTACACCCGGCTAATTTTTGTATTTTTAGTAGAGATGGGGTTTCACCATTTTGGTCAGGCTGGTCTTGAACTCCTGACTTCAAGCGATCCGCCCACCTCAGCCTCCCAAAGTGCTGGGATTACAGGTGTGAACCACCGTGCCTGGCCTCATTTATTTATCTTATTTTGCGATGTTCAAAGTCCAGAAGGCAAAAGGGCAGGTATATAATGAAGTCTCCTTCCCATTCTGTTTGCTAGCCATCTATTTCTTCTCTACAAAGGAAACTATGTTAGTTATTTCTCGTGTATCCTTCCAAAAACTTTTTATGGACATAAAAGCAAATACGAATATATATTTTCTCATTTTTTACACAAATTGTAATAATCTATGCATACTCTTATGTAGCTTGCTTTTTGTATTTAACATATCTTGGAGATGATTCTGTAGCAGTACTCTACAGGTACGGAGTATTCTATAATATGAGTATGCGATGGTTTTAGAAGTCTGCATGGGATATTTACATTGTTTCCTTCAAGAATAACATGGTATGTGGATTATTTCAAACACATGTTCTAGTTTCATATGAAGATGTGCTTTTTAATGTTTTAAAAAAATTGTGATTGAGGTACAACATATAGACAGTAAAATACTAAAGTGTATAGCTCAGTGAGTTTGTACGCATGTCTACACTGCGTCTCCATTAGCTAGATAACTGTTCTAAGGGCTTGCTTTCTTGAGTTGCACAATTCCCTGTATTTACCTAAAGGATTAATTAAAGGAACCACTTCTACTTGTATCACACCATGCTGGTCTCTTTCTATTCCACTAGTTCAGTAAAGAAAGAGGACACACTCTTTTTCCCTCTAATCAGATGGGTAGGGATAGGTTAAGAGATAAGTGAGTCTTGTCTGTAGAGTTCTCTATTCTCAATCATCTATAGCATGCTTGGCCTTATAGCTGTTTAGCTTTTTATAAAGAAATGCTCCCCCAGGTGAGGTGGCTCACGCCTGTAATCCTAGCACATTCGGAGGCCAAGGTGGACGGATCACTTGAGGTCAGGAGTTCGAGACCAGCCTGGCTAATGTGGTGAAACCCTGTCTCTACTAAAAATACAAAAATTAGCTGGGTGTGGTGGTGCACGCCTGTAATCCCAGCTACTCGGGAGGCTAATGCAGGAGAATCACTTGAACCCGGGAGGTGGAGGTTGCAGTGAGCTGAGATGACGCCACTGCACTCCAGCCTGTGTGACAGAGTGAGACTCCATTTCAAAAAAAAAAAAAAAGGTAATGCTGTTTTTTTCTGAATGGCTAAGAAAATGGAGTACAGGTTGACTATTCCTAATCTGAAAATTTGAAACCCAATCCAAAAATTTGAAACCCAAAATGCTCCAAAATCTGAAATCTTTAGAATGCCAACTTGGCACTCAAAGTGCTCATTGGAGCAATTGGATTTCAGGTTTTCAGATTAGGGATGCTTAACTGGTATGTATTCTGCAAATATTCCAAAATTTGAAACACTTGTGGTCCTAAGCATTTCAGATAGCAGATACATGAAATGTGTTGACATTTAGATAATTTTAGTCAATAAAATGTAAAACACAATTACATTATTTGGAAATTTCTGGAATCAATGAATTTTCTCCTTCTGCTAATACCTGCCTAAGTAAAATTAAAGTGATGATTTAATATCAATTTGTTCACAGCTTTGTTTGCTAGCAAAATGCTTTAAGCCTGCCCTTCCATATCTTGACGTGGATATGATGGATATCTGTAAAGAGAATGGAGCCTATGATGCAAAACACTTTTTATGTTACTATTATTATGGAGGGATGATCTATACTGGGCTGAAGAACTTTGAAAGAGCTCTCTACTTTTATGAACAGGTAATCTCTCTAAAAATTAGCTGAGGTTGTTCTGAACTTGTGTGATCAAAAAAGTGCTCCCATAGGTTTGTGGCTAGAGTGGTCTGATCCCAGGGCCTCCGTTTCAGGTGTTGGTCCTTTCAGAGACTACTTCTCTGTGATCATGTAAATAGTGGTAACCTGATCCCTAAGTTGAGGAGCAGCGCCAGTGCATAGAAGAGCACTTGTCTGGGGGTTCTAATCTAGGCTTGCACTTATACCTTATCTGATTTGGAATAAGTTATGACATCTCTTGACCTTTATAGCTTCCTTTGCATATAAGGAAGAGATTGAACTGAGTGATCTTGGTTGTGTCTTATTCTAAAACCATGTGTGGTATTTTGTTAAGTTTTATTTAATCAGTGAAACATTCTCTTGATTCAAAATTTAAAGGGTAGAAAGGAGTACACAGTAAAAGTCCCTCCCACCCTTTCTGTGTCTGTGTAATGAAACATAGTACACAATTTGGTAGAATATTCTGGAGGTTTACTCAGACTCTGAAAAAGAGATACACAATATTGATTAATAAACCACTTTACTTAAGGTAAATTAGTTAGATGTTCGTAAGTTCCTATTTAGTTCATAGCATGTATTAAGTAATAAAGGATATTTAAAACCTTCAGAGAGCTCGGTTTAGTTGGAATTCTAATACATAATACACATGCATACATGTACACACATCCGTGGCTCTGAACCATACCACAATGAGTGGTTGATGTGTCCTGTTGAGGGGACCTGAGGAGGGCCACCATAAGGTGCCAGTAGGCAGAGATGGTGTCATTAAAGCACGTGTCTAGTCAGGTTAAATCTTCAAGGTGGCTTCTCTTTAAGACTACGCATTCGGAAAATTATAAAAATGCACTTCGTAGCCACTGGATGCATTATCATTGCTGTAGCCAAATATAGTTAACTCATGAGCAAACTTGATCTTGAAATATCAGGATGAGTGGGTGTTAAAAAGGTAAGAGGCGTCCGAGTGCGGTGGCTCACGCCTGTAATCCCAGCACTTTGGGAGGCCGAGGCCGGCGGATCACCTGAGGTCGGGAGTTCGAGACCAGCCTGACCAACGTGGAGAAACCCCATCTCTACTAAAAATACAAAATTTAGCTGGGCATGGTGGTGCATGCCTGTAATCCTAGCTACTCAGGAGGCTGAAGCAGGAGAATTGCTTGAACCCAAGAGGCGGAGGTTGCAGTGAGCCGAGATCGTGCCATTGCACTCCAGCTTGGGCAACAAGAGCAAAACTCCATCTCAAAAAAAAAAAAAAAAAAAAGAAAAGGCAAGAGGCTGGGTGAGGTGGCTCACACCTGTAATCCCAGCACACTGGGAGGCCGAGGCAGGCAAATCGCCTGAGGTCAGGAATTCAAGACCAGCCTGGCCAACATGGTGAAAATGTCTCTACTAAAAATGCAAAAATTAGCTGGGCCTGGCAGCAGGCGCCTGTAATCCCAGCTACTCAGGAGACTGAGGCAGGAGAATCTCTTTTTTTTTTTTTTGAAATGGAGTCTTGCTCTGTCGCCCAGGCTGGAGTGCAGTGGCACGATCTCGGCTCACCGCAAGCTCCGCCTCCCGGGTTCACACCATTCTCCTGCCTCAGCCTCGTGACTAGCTGGAACTACAGGTGCCTGCCACCACACCTGGCTAATTTTTTGTATTTTTAGTAGAGATGGGGTTTCACCATGTTAGCCAGGATGGTCTTGATCTCCTGACCTCGTGATCCGCCCGCCTCGGCCTCCCAAATTGCTGGGATTACAGGCATGAGCCAACACGCCCAGCCAGGAGAATCTCTTGAACCAGGAGATGGAGGTTGCAGTGAGCCGGGATTGCGCCACTGCACTCCAGCCTGGGTAACAGAGACTCGTCCTCAAAAATAAAAAGACAAGAAAGTGGCCAGGCGTGGTGGCTCATGCCAGTAATCCTAGCACTTTGGGATGCTGAAGTGGGAGCATTGCTTGAGCTCAGGAGTACAAGACTGAACAACATAGTGAGCAACATAGGAGTCAGCCTGAGCAACATAGTGAGACTCCATTTCTACAAAAAATATTTTTTTTTTTGAGACGGAGTCTCGCTTTGTCGCCCAGGCTGGAGTGCAGTGGCGCAATCTCAGCTCACTGCAAGCTCCGCCTCCTGGGTTCACACCCTTCTCCTGCCTCAGCCTCCCAAGTAGCTGGGACTACAGGCGCCCACCACCACACCCGGCTAATTTTTTTGTATTTTTAGTAGAGATGGGGTTTCACTGTGTTAGCCAGGTTGGTCTCGATCCCCTGACCTCGTGATCCACCCACCTCGGCCTCTCAAAGTGCTGGGATTACAGGCATAAGCCACCGCGCCTGGCCTCTACAAAAAATTTTAAAATTAGTCAAGCATGGTGGCCCACTCCTATAGTCCCAGGTACTCAGGAGGCTGAGGCAGGAAGATTGCTTGAACCCAAGGAGTTTGAGGGTACAGTGAGCCATAATTACATCACTGCGCTCCAGCCTAGATGACAGAGCGAGACCCTGTCTCTAAAAAATGCATAAATAAAAATAAAATGAATTCTATCTCAATAAGGCTGTTATAAAAATAATGGGACATTTAAAAAGTATTATTGACTTATAATTAATGTGATACATGTGGTTGATTGTTGTTTGCTACTGTGGTATGTTCTCTTTACAGCAAGCATTCTTCTCTTGCCTAGGCTATAACTACTCCTGCCATGGCGGTCAGTCATATCATGTTGGAATCATATAAAAAGTATATTTTAGTGTCTTTGATATTACTTGGCAAAGTACAACAGCTACCAAAATATACATCTCAAATTGTGGGTAGATTCATTAAGGTAAGTTTTTTACATAAAACTGATTTCTTACGTGAGCATGTTGAGTATATAAAGAAATTGCAATGATACAGTTCTGTAACTTCGTTTTATACTGATTTAGCTCTCCTAGCAGCTTCAGGTGAGCAGACATTTATTGAATGTCTGCTACACATTCTCATTACCTGATTGGAATGGAATATTTCTCAGGAACCCGTTTTCAAACTTGTGCTCTAGATACTTACAGCTATAGATGTTTAAGCTCCTATAACAGTTGATTTTTTTTTTTTTCCCTAGAGACAGAGTCTCGCTATGTTGGCCAGGTTGGTGTTGAACTCCTGGCCTCAAGCAGTCCTTCTGCGTCTGCCTCCCAGAGTGCTGGGATTACAGGTGTGTGCCACTGAGCCTGGCCTTTATTTTGTTTTGTTATATTTTTCATTTTATTTATTTATTTATTTATTTAGAAATGGAGTTTTGCTCTTGTCACCAAAGCTGGAGTGCAGTGGCGTGATCTCAGCTCACTGCAACCTCTGCCTCCCGGGTTCAAGCGATTCTCCTGCCTTAGCCTCCCGAGTAGCTGGGACTACAGGTGTGTGCCACCATGCCCAGCTAATTTTTTGTATTTTTAGTGGAGATGTGGTTTCACCGTGTTAGCCAGGATTGTCTCGATCTCTTGACCTCGTGATCCACCCGCCTCGGCCTCCCAAAGTGCTGGGATTACAGGCGTGAGCCACCATGCCCGGCCCTGTCTTCCTTCTTGCTAGCAGAAGTAGCAGATTGTCCTGTTGCATCTGGTGAGGTGTGAGAAAGAGAGAGGGAGAGTTGGGAATGATGAATGTTTTGACTCCTTTCTTCTCTATATGATTTATCAGTAGAAAAACAGAAGCACTGATGAAGACGTGTGCCTTCACTAAATTCAGTGGGTTTTCACCTGCTGTGTTATTACTTGGTCTGTAGTACAAAATTTTGTGGAAAATGAATTACTCCATAGTGACTTTCTATCCCTGGTCTTAAAAACCAGGCATTTGCTTTGGGTAAATTATAATTTGTAGGGTAACAGTGTGTAGTTACCTGACAATATGGGATATACTTGCTTAAAAAATAGTATGTAAGTGTGTTTTTGCTTCCTATACACATTTGAGTCTTCTGAAGTTTGTTTGTTTGTTTTTGGTTTTTTTTTTTTTTTTGAGACGGAGTTTTGCTTTGTTGCCCAGGCTGGAGTGCAGTGGCACGATCTTGGCTCACTGCAACCTCCACCTCCTGGGTTCAAGCGATTCTCTTGCCTCAGCCTCCCAAGTAGCTGGGATTACAGGCATGTGCTATCACGCTCAGTTAATTTTGTATTTTTAGTAGAGACGGGGTTTCTTCATGTTGGTCAGGCTGGTGTTTAACCCCTGACCCCAGGTGATTTGTCCGCCTCGGCCTCCCAAAGTGTTGAGATTACAGGCGTGAGTCCCCACACCTGGCCTCTTCTGAAGTTTTAATCTGAATTTTTTCCCTCCTTTGCATCTTTAGCCTCTTAGCAATGCATACCACGAGTTAGCACAAGTGTATTCAACCAACAACCCCTCAGAACTCCGAAACCTGGTGAATAAGCACAGTGAAACCTTCACTCGCGATAACAACATGGGGCTGGTGAAGCAATGCTTGTCATCTCTTTATAAGAAGAATATTCAGAGGCTAACAAAGGTGAGGAAAGTGCCACCTTCACAGGGCAGCTCCTGACCCCCTGGGGGCCATGTTTCCCTTTCTCTCCCTTTTCAGAGCTGAGGAAGCAGGTACAGGGATAAAGCATGGCAGGATTTCTGTGCTGAGAGAGAACTCTCTTGTGATTGGCTTCTTAGAAAGAATTTGATGTATACCTTTGGTCTTTTCAGGGCTAGAGCAGGGTATTTGGAGCAGGTGAAGAGGAAGAAAGGTAGGAGACAAGGCTACATTGGGAGACAGTGAAAGGCAGCCTCAGAGAGGTCAGCAGCTCCAGCAGGGCAGATGAGGGATGCTAATGATGCAGACCTCAGTGCACTGTCACCAGCCTTGCAACCTGTCTGTTCTGTCTGTGCTGATCTCTATTAGAACATTTTTTTTTTTTCTCTCTTGACACAGTGCCTTGCTCTGTTGCCCAGGCTGGTGTGCAGTGGCGTGATTTCGGCTCATTGCACCCTCTGCCTCCTGAGCTCAAGTGATCTGCCCACCTCAGCCTCCCAAGCAGCTGGGACCACAGGTGTGAGCCACCACGCCCAGCTAATTTTTGTATTTTTTGTATAGACAAGGTTTTGCTATGTTGGCCAGGCGGTCTCGAACCCCTGTGCTCATGTGATCCACCTGCCTTGGCCTCCCAAACTGCTGGGATTACAGACATGAACCACCGCACCCAGCCAATGAGAACACCTTATGTGAACATAGTACTACTCGGACATTACCATTTAGGCCAGGGTTGTACAAACTTTGTGCAATTGACTTCTAGGATGTAAGCCAATTATATAATTTTTATTTTCTTCTAGGATGTAAGCCAATTCTATAATTTTTATTGTCAAGATGAAAATAACCTGCTAGGTTTTGACTATAGAAAATATGCTTAATGTCAAACGTTCAAACAGTACAGAAAAATAATGAAAAATGAAATTTTTTGTGTTTTAGGAAGGTATAGGCTGCAAGTTACAGGAATCCTGTAGCTCAACAAATAGAGGATTGCTTTTTTCTCTTGGGAAGTCTGGCCAGATATGCATAGTTCACAGCTGCTGAGAACACAGTGCATCTGTTCCTGTGCACATCCTTTGCCTTGTGTCAGCCATGGTGATGCATGGTTGGGGACGAGCCAAGGAACCAGAATAGGGTAGCTGTTTTTTTGCTAGGCTACCCAGCAATGGAAAAGGCTGATGGATTTGGCTACGTGAGGACTTAGGGGAGAGGTGACTTCCCCTAGCCCAATGGAGAAGCTAGAGAAGAGAGGTGGGTCGGGGTGGCCGTTGAGGTGGGCAGACCTCATACAAGGATAAAGGATCCTAAGGAGAAGAGGAAGGAAGGTGAGGAGAGGGTCAATGGGCAAGAAAAAGAATCCTTCCAAATACTCTAGAAAGACTAGCCATAGCTTCTAGAATAGAAGGAAATCAGTAGTGAATTTGTAAAAAGTTAATTTTTATGAGAGAAAAATGAAGAACGTGAAAGAGAAATCAAGTCAAAGATCAAAACCAGTGTAACTTGTGAGCCAGAAAAACCAGCTTGACCTACAGGTTTAAAAGACCAGGATCTAAGAGACTTAAATAACAAGCAGCCTAATTCTCTCCATAAAATTTTCTTTTTGGCCCAAGTGCCAACAGAACCATTCTAAGTAAATTTCTGTCTTTTGCCATCAAGAGGTAGCCATTAAAAAACAGCTGCCATTAAAAACACAAACTCTGTTTGTGACTAGTAATTGAAGTTTAGATAAAAGAACCCAAATGCTAACAAACATAAAAGATAGTACATGTTACAAAAGATGTTAAATTGCAAAATAGCAAATGAAAATTAAATAACGGTTTCAAAAATTAGCTGGGCGTGGTGGCACATACCTGTAATCCCAGCTACTTGGAAGGCTGAGGCAGGAGAATCATTTGAACCCAGGAGATAGAGGTTGCAGTGAGCCGAGATTGCACCACTGCACTCCAGTCTGGGGGACAAAGTGAGACTCCGTCTCAAAAAAAATTTTTTTTTGATCAAACAGGAAGAGTCTCAACTCGAAATGGTCTTTCCAGGGCTGGGGTAGTGACTCACAAAGTCATCAAGGTCCTGGGTCCTTCGTATGTTGACACGAAGTGGTGGATTGTGGTACACTGAGCTCACAAGCACTGCCTGCCAGAGGGACCTGGGGAGGGCTACCATAAGGTATGGTGGGCAGGAACCGTGTCTTTAAAGGACATAGCTAGTCAGAAGGTTACATCTGTGATAGTGGCTGCTCCATTTTTGGCATGATGTCCCAGTGCTAAAATGAAAAGAACGGGGAAACATCAAAGGATTTTTCTAGCCAAGTTTTTCTTACTAGAAAATCCAAAGAAGTCTCAACAGGTAGACTGTATCAGTAGGTGATGGCATGGCTGGGATGGAAGGCAGCTGGGGATGGGTTAAATCTGCCACCTCTCCCATTGAAATATTACTTTGTGTTAACATTTTAGTAGATGTTTTTCTTTTTCTTTTTCTTTTTCTTTTTTTTTTTTTTTGAGACGGAGTCTTGCTCTGTCTCCCAGGCTGGAGTGCAGTGGCTCGATCTCGGCTCACTGCAAGCTCCACCTCCCGGGTTCACGCCATTCTCCTGCCTCAGCCTCCCGAGTAGCTGGGACTACAGGTGCCCGCCACCACACCTGGCTAATTGTTTGTATTTTTAGTAGAGACGGGGTTTCACCGTGTTAGCTAGGATGGTCTCGATCTCCTGACCTCGTGATCCGCCCGCCTCAGCCTCCCAAAGTGCTGGGATTACAAGCATGAGCCACCACGCCCGGCCTAGTAGATGTTTTTCTAGGTTCCTCTTCTCTGTTTCTTTTCTATGTGTATGCATAGACTCTCCCAGTTATATGTAATTGGGGTCATACTCTACGTGCTATTCTTGACCCTGCTCTTTTGTTTGTTTGGTATTTTTTCTTTTTTTTTTTTTCTGTGACTGAGTCTCGCTCTGTTGTCCAGGCTGGAGTGCAGTGGTGCGATCTTTGCTCACTGCAGACTCTGCCTCCTGGGTTCAAGCGATTCTCCTGCCTCAACCTCCTGAGTAGCTGGGACTACAGGTGCACACCACCACACCTGGCTAATTTTTGTATTTTTAGTAGACACGGGGTTTCGCCATGTTGGCCAGGCTGGTCTCAAACTCCTGACTTTAAGTGATCTGCCCACTTTGGCCTCCCAAAGTGCTAAGATGACAGGTGTGAGCCACCGCGCCTGGCCTACTTTTACATTTTTTGTAGAGATGGGATCCCACTGTGTTGGTCAGGCTAGAATGTTGACTTTTGAGTCTTTGTTTGTGTTAAACTACTTGTGTACTTCTTAAAGTTAGCAGTAATTTCAATTTCTTGGGTACTATTCTCTGAACTAAAGTATATGTAGGTTTTAAAATTATTGGCTCATCAAGAATTTATGGCCAGGCACAGTGGCTTACCCCTGTACTTCCAGCACTTTGGGGAGCTGAGGCAGGAAGATACGTTGAAACCAGGAGCTTGAAACCAGTCTGGGCAACTAAGTAAGATCTCATCTCTACAAAAAATAAAACAATAAAATTAGCTGGGCACAGTGGTGCACACCTGTAGTCTCAGCTACTCAGGAGGCTGAAACAGGAGGTTCCCTTGAACTGCTATGAACTGTGATTGCGCCTCTGCACTCTAGCCTGGGCAACAGAGCAAGACTCCATCTCAAAAAAAAAAGGAATTTTCAAGATGAGGGTTTTAATATGCCCAGCTCTGAAAATGCCATTGTTGTAAATATTACCAGCTGCCATTAAGAATAGAGCTCTTTTAATATGTTTCTGAAAGGGGTCATTTTCATCAGATCCCAAGAGAGCAGTGGTAAACACTGGTTTCCCTCATCACAAGTGTGTAGCCTCTTTTATTTAACTCCCCCATTTGTTTAAAAATGTTAACTTTGAATTTTGAATGATGAATGTTATTTTTTCAATTATATTTAATAGATTATACATTTATAATACAAAATTCAAAAGATGAAAATCTTCATAATGATGTGCATACCTTGGATTCCTTTTCAGTTTACATATATATATAAAATTATTTTTCATTACTCCTCTAGGAAATTGACAAACCACTGGGTTCATCAGTTTTTATTTTTTTATTTTTTTTTGTGACAGAGTCTTGCTCAGTTGCCCAGGCTGGAGTGCAGTGGCGTGATCTTGGCTCACAACAAGCTCCACCTCCTGGGTTCACGCCATTCTCCTGCCTCAGCCTCCCAAGTAGCTGGGACTACAAGTGCCCACCACCACGCCCGGCTAATTTTTTTTTTTTTTTTGTATTTTTAGTAGAGACAGGGTTTCACCACGTTAGCCAGGATGGTCTCGATGTCCTGACCTCGTGATCCACTCGCCTGGGCCTCCCAAAGTGCTGAGATTACAGGCATGAGCCACCGTGCCCAGCCTATCAGTTATTTATTTATTTATTTATTTATTTATTTATTTATTTATTTTGAGATGGAGTCTCACTCTGTTGCCCAGGCTGGAGTGAATCACGCGATCTCGGCTTGCTGCAACCTCCACCTCCCAAGTTTAAGCGATTATCCTGCCTCAGCCTCCTGAGCAGCTGGGATTACAGGTGCCTGCCACCATGCCTGGCAAATTTTTGCGTTTTTAGTAGAGGTGGAGTTTCATCATGTTGGCCAGGCTGGTCTGGAACTCTTGACCTCAATTGATCCACCCACCTCGGCCTCCCAAAGTGGTGGGATTACAGGTGTGAGCCACCACCCCTCGCCCATCAGTTTTAAGTCATCTACACAAATCTATTCTGTACATCAATGGGAAGAGCTCTGTACACTTTTTTTTTTGAAATAGAGTCTTGCTCTGTCGTCCAGGCTGGAGAGCAGTGGCGCAGTCTCAGCTCACTGCAACCTCCACCTCCTGGGTTCAAGCAATTCTCTGATTCTCTTGTCTCAGCCTCCCAAGTAGCTGGGACTACAGACGCATGCCACCACGCCTGGCTAATTCTTTTTTTGTTTTTTGTTTTTTGTTTTGAGACAGAGTCTCACTTTGTCACCCAGGCTGGAGTTCAGTGGCTCAGTCTCCACTCACTGCAACCTCCGCCTCCTGGGTTCAAGCGATTCTCCTGTCTCAGCCTCCCAAGTAGCTGGGACTACAGGCGTGCACCACCATACCAGCTAATTTTCTGTATTTTTAGTAGAGACAGGGTTTCACCATGTTAGCCAAGATGGTCTCAATCTCCTGGCCTCATGATCTGCCCACCTCAGCCTCCCAAAGTGCTGGGATTACAGACATGAGCCACCACGCCTGGCCGCTCTGTACACATTTAATAAAATGTCCTTCCTTCGTTGTTCCTACCTGTGACTAATTCTGCTTCTGACTTTCAGACCTTTTTAACTCTATCATTACAAGATATGGCAAGTCGTGTGCAGTTGTCTGGACCTCAGGAGGCAGAGAAATACGTTCTGCACATGGTAAGTGGATTTTCTTTTTCTTTTTCTTTTTTTTTTTTTTTTTTCTTTTTGAGATGGAGTCTCGCTCTGTCACCAGGCTGGAGTGTAGTGGCACAGTCTTGGCTCACTGCAACCTCCACCTCCCGGATTCAAGTGATTCTCTTGCCTCAGCCTCCCGAGAGCTGGGACTACAGGCATGCGCCACCATGCCCGGCTAAATTTTTGTATTTTTAGTAGAGATGGGGTTTCACCATGTTGGTCAGGCTGGTCTCAAACTCCTGACCACGTGATCTGCCCGCCTCGGGCTCCCAAAGTGCTGGGATTATAGGCATGAGCCACCGTGCCTGGCCTTGATTTTCATTTTTTTGAAAATTAATTACTGGATTTTTGTTACTGTAAGAGTAACAGATGTTCATTGTGGAAAATATTAAAAAGGAGAAAAGCGGGGGGAGCCTCCAAAGTCTACCACTATTGACAATTTGGTCTGTTTCCTTATAGTTTCTAGTTTTAGTGTGCTCATATGATATACACATCAGGCTTGCGTCCTATTTGTGCTTCCTTTTTTTTTTTTTTTGAGATGGCTTCATCTTGTTGCCCAGGCTGGTGTGCAGTGGTGCAATCTCGGCTCACTGCAGCCTCAATTCCCTGGGTTTAAGTAATCCACCCACCTCAGCCTCCCAAGTAGCTGGGACTACAGGCATGTATGTGTCACCATGCCTGACTAATTTTTGTATTTTTTTGAAGAGATGGGGTTTCTCCATGTTGCCCAGGCTGGATTTGAACTCCTAGGCTCAATCTGCCCTCCTAGGCCTCCCAAATTGTTGGGATTACATACGTGAGCCACTGTGCCCAGCCCTGTACTCCTTATTATTTTCTTTTATTTTATTTTGAGGCGGACTCTCGCTTTGTTGCCCAGGCTGGAGTGCAGTGGTGTGATCTTAGCTCACTGCAACCCCCACCTCCAGGGTTCAAACAATTCTCCTGTCTCAGCCTCCCGAGTAGCTGGTATTACAGGCGGCTATATTTACATATTTTCATTATCAGAATTTTTGTAAACCTCATAACCCTCATGAAATATTTTTGGTATACAAAGAGGTATAAGGTAGGGCTACTTCCTCTGCTTATCTGTGATGAGATCACAAGCTTTTGCCAGTACGTACATCAAGCAACTGCTGCAGCAAGAAATCTTGCTGAACAATGTTTGCTGAACTACACAGTGTGCTTAGCGACATCATTGACTGACATTCTGACTTAGCCTCTTCCGTCACTGAGGGTTTTGGTCCATAAGCAGCACTGACATAAAGGAGGCCAGAGCACACACCCAGGACTTAGCATCCAGCTTAGGAAATGAAATAGCACCAGTGCCCTGACACTCCCTCTTTATCACCTGCCAGTTGCATTTCCCCACTCTCAGCCCCACCCCAACCAGGCAACCACTCCTGATTTGGATAAGCATCATTTAAATGACTATATGATAACCCACCACATTGATGTATTGTAATCTACCTACCTATTCAGTTACATAAGTACATAGTTCTGATCTGGTTTTAGTTCACTGAAAACCTGTGTCCTTAGCTCAGGACAGGCAAAGCTTCATATGACCCCTTGTATGATTTCAGAATTTGGAGTATTTTGATTGATTGATTGATTGATTGAGACAAGGTCTTCCTGTGTTGCCCAGGCTGGAGTGCAGTGGCGTAATCATGGCTCACTGCAGCCTTGACTGCCTAGGCTTAAATGATCCTCTCACCTCAGCCTCCCAAGTAGCTGTGACTACAGATGTGTGCCACCACACCCAGCTAATTTTTAAATTTTTTGTACAGGCAGGGTCTCTTTATGTTGGCCAGGCATAACTTGAGATTTCTGGCCTCAAGTGACCTTCCCACCTTGGCCTCCCAAAGTGCTGGGATTACAGCTGGATACAGCCACTGCACCCAGCTGAGTATTTCATTTTGATAGTTGAATTTACAAGTGTTCTAAAGGGTTTTTTGCTTCAACCTACCATTCAAAACATGCACACACCAAACAAAACCATACCTCTATGACTTGTGTCTGCTAAGAGCATCTTGGTAACCCCACAGGGGTTACACAGAATAAGCTATAGACGCTTTCCCCAAGAAATTCCCTCTTCAGTGGCGAGTGAGAAGAAATACATGAGTGGTTATGACACCAGACAGGACATACTAGCTAGCAACGCGTTGCGGGGTCAAAGTGGGTGTGAGTTTTGAGCCCTGCTTAACCAGCCCAGACACCCTGACAGGCTCTGGAGCAGTGGTTCTCCTCTGAGGGTGATTTTGTCTGCCAGGAGACATTAGGCAACGTCTGGAAGCAGTTTTGGTTTTCACAGATGGGGGTGCTACTGGCGTCTAATGGGTACGGGCCAGGGATGCTGCTAAACGTCCTGCAGTGCCCAGGACAGCCCACACACCAAAGCGTTATCTGTACCCAGGACAGCCCACACACCAAAGCGTTATCTGTACCCAGGACAGCCCACACACCAAAGCGTTATCTGTACCCTGGACAGCCCACACACCAAAGCGTTATCTGCCCCCAAATGTCAGGACTGCCAGGCTTGAGAAACCCTTCTGGAATGAAAGGTCTGTGAGACCAGGGTTTTTTTTTGTTTGTTTGTTTTTTAAAGTAAACATTGGAAAAGTACACTTAAGTGTACGGCTAAACACATTTTCACAAAGATTCCAACACCTAGAAGAAGGAACAGAATATGACCAGCACCCGGAAAATATCCCTTGTGTCTGCTTCCAGCCCTGTGCCTCTCTAGAAAGGTTGTTCCCATCCTGACTTTTTTTTTTTGAGACGGAGTCTTGCTCTGTCACCCAGGCTGGAGTGCAGTGGTGCGATCTCAGCTCACTGCAAGCTCCACCTCCCAGGTTCACGCCATTCTCCTGCCTCAGCCTCCCGAGTAGCTGGGACTACAGGCGCCCACCACTACGCCTGGCTAATTTTTTGTATTTTTAGTAGAGACGGGGTTTCACCATGTTAGCCAGGATGGTCTTGATCTCCTGACCTCGGCCTCCCAAAGTGCTGGGATTACAGGCATGAGCCACCGTGCCCGGCCTCCCATCCTGACTTCTAACATCCTATTTTAGTTCTGTTTGTTTCTGAGTTTGATGTAGAAGGAAACACACAGCACATTCTTTCTGGGAATCTGGTTTTTTGGCTCAGCATTGTGAGAGTCATGCATGATGCTGTATGTAGCCGTAGTTCATTCGTTTTCAGGGCTACAATGTTCCAGTGTTTGATACACCTTTCCATTTTAATTAGTTGGACAGGCTGGGCGTGGTGCCTGTAATCTCAGCACTTTGGGAGGCTGAGGCAGGCAGCTCACCTGAGGTCAGGAGTTCAAGACCAGCCTGGCCAACATGGTGAAACCCCGTCTCTACTAAAAATACAAAAAAAATTAGCTAGGCATGATGGCGGGCGCCTGTAATCCCAGCTACTTGGGAGGCTGAGGCTGGAGAATCGCTCAAACCCAGGAGGCGGAGGTTGCAGTGACTGGAGATCACACCATTGCACTCCAGCCTGGGTGACAAGAGCGAAACTCCGTCTCCAAAAAAATAAATAAATAGGCCGGGTATGGTGGCTCACACCTGTAATTCCAGCACTTTGGGAGGCTGAGGCGGGCAGATCATGAGGTCAGGAGATCGAGAGCATCCTGGCTAACATAGTGAAACCCCGTCTCTACTAAAAGTACAAAAAATTAGCCAGGCGTGGTGGCAGATGCCTGTAGTCCCAGCTACTCGGGAGGCTGAGGCAGGAGAATGGCATGAACCTGGGAGGTGGAGCTTGCAGTGAGCTGAGATTGCGCCACTGCACTCCAGCCTGGGCAACAGTGCAAGACTCTTGTCTCAAATAATGTAAATAAATAAATAGTTAGACATTGGGGTTGTTTCCAGTTCTGGTTAATTTATTATGAATAGTGCTGCTGTGGTGAAGGTAGGTCCAAATTTTGCTTAGATACATTCCATCTGCTTAAAGAGGCAGCTCTCTGTGATCACATAGAGAACTATGCATTTTGTATAATATGTATTGGGCTGGTTACTGTTTCACTAAATAGCATCTATCCCTTCCAAAGCTAGAGACAAGTAGGCCAGCAGTTTCACTGCTAACAAATGGACAAGTTATTATCACCGTGTGGAACATCTTGTTAGGAATAAAATACCTGTTTTGTACTTTTATTGGTATCTCACTTTTTAACTTCATGGGCAGGATTTGGCTTTGAGGATCAGTCAAATAATTCCCCAGTAACTGATGCAAATAAATAATATATAGACCTTGAATCTACCTTGGAATCCCCAGTGGTAGTAAAGTTTTCTTGAAGAATCGGAAGATAGTTTCCACTGGGATGAAAAGAAAACGTGTTAGGCTTTACTTTTTAAAATACAGTGGCCCAGCCTGGCCAACATGGCAAAACGTCATCTCTACTAAAAATAAAAAAAATTAGCTGGGCATCGTGGCACATACCTGTAGTCCCAGCTACTTAGGAGGCCGAGGCAGGAGAATCCCCTGAACCCAGGAGGTGGAGGTTGCAGTGAGCAGAGATCAAGCCACTGCACTCCAGCCTGGGCAACAGAGCGAGACCCCATCTCAAAAAAAAAAAAAAAAAAGGCGATGTAAGTTATATTTCAGTGCAGCTGATGTTGAAAAATGCAAGGGCACCTCAAATACATCATGCTAAGGGAAGCCAGACCACAAAAGATTACATAGTATATGATTCCATTCATATATCCAGAAAAGGCAAATCCATACGAGACAAGAACAGATTGGTGGTTTCCAGGGGCTGGGAGGAGAAGGAGGGAATGGGGAGGGACTGCTAATGGGCCTAGGGCCTCTTTCTGGGGTGACGAAAATGCTCCAGAACTAGATAGAGATGGTGGTGGCACAACATTGTAGAATGCATTAAATGCCAATTAATTGCTCACTTTAAAAAGGTAGGCCAGATGTGGTGGCCCATGCCTGTAATCCCAGCATTTTGGGAGGCCGAGGCAGGTAGATCACTTGAGGTTAAGAGTTCGAAACCAGCCTGGCCAACATGGTGAAACCCCGTGTTTATTAAAAATACAAAAAAATGGCTGGGCGCGGTGGCTTACGCCTGTAATCCCAGCACTTTGGGAAGCCGAGGCGGATGGCTCACCTAAAGTCGGGAGTTGGAGACCAGCCTGACCAACATGGAGAAACCCTGTCTCTACTAAAAATACAAAATTAGCCAGGCGTGGTGGTGCATGCCTGTAATGCTAGCTACTTAGGAGGCTGAAGCAGGAGAATTGCTTGAACTCAGGAGGCGGAGGTTGCAGTGAGCCGAGATTGTGCCATTACACTCCAGCCTGGGCAACAAGAGCGAAACGCCATCTCAAAAAAAACAACAAAAAAATTAGCCTGGTGTGGTGGCGGGCACCTGTAATCCCAGTTACTTGGGAGGCTGAGGCAGGAGAATTGCTTGAACCCCGGAGGTAGAGGTTGCAGTGAGCCAAGAACGCACCACTGCACTCCAGCCTGGGGGACAGCGAGACTCCATCTCAAATAAATAAATAAATAAATAAATAAAATGGTTAATTATGTTGTGTGGACTTCACCTCAATAACAAAAATGCAAGGGCAGGGATTTTGTGTGTATCAGTTTTACACCTCTTAGCATCTATAATGGTGCCTAGCAAATAGTAGGTATTTAATAAATACTTGGATAAACAGATGGCGCTTAAAAATATACAAGTTTATTTATATCCATGTTGCCTTCCATGCTTTTCTGTGATTATACTGGATGACTATTCATATAGCATTCAGGTCTAAACTGCTTTCCTGATTTTTTTTTTTTTCTTTCTGCAGATAGAAGATGGTGAGATTTTTGCAAGTATTAACCAGAAGGACGGTATGGTCAGTTTCCATGATAACCCTGAAAAATATAATAACCCAGCCATGCTTCATAACATTGATCAGGAGGTAAACATGAATGCCAGGTTTTTATTTTTTTAATTGATGGTTGAGATGTATTTGAAAATTGCTCCTATGTTCCAGGATAATTTTAGTTTTAAGTACAGGTAGTTCCCAGTCTGTGAACATCTTAGTTACTAGAAAGTTAGTTTCAAAATGGGCTGCTTAAGGAGAATTGCTTGAACCCTGGAGACGGGTTACAGTGAGCCGAGATTGTGCCACTGTCCTCCACCTTGGGTGACAGAGCAAGACTCTGTCTCAAGAAAAGCAGCAACAACAACAAAAGAAACCCAGAATGGGCTGCTTAAAACTCTTCCAGGCTGGGTGTGGTGGCTCATGCCTGTAATCCCAACACTTTGGGAGGCTGAAGTGGGTGGATCAGCTGAGGTCAGGAGTTCAAGACCAGCCTGCCCAACATGGCAAAACCCCGTCTCTACTAAAAAAAATAAAAAATCAGCCGGGTGTGGTGGTGCACGCCTGTAATCCCAGCTACTCTGGAGGCTGAGGCAGGAAAGTCTCTTAGAACCTGGGAGGCAGATGTTACAGTAAGCTGAGATTGCGCCACTGCACTCCAGCCTGGGCAACAGAGGGAGACTCTGTCTCAAAAAAACAAAACTCTCTCAGATTGTATGGCTGTAAATAAATGGTGGGTTAGATATCCCAGCTAACTCATCAAAACCTCCCTTAACTGTGAAAACACTTAAAGGGCCCAGTATAACTTTATCTATTCCCAGCTGCCACCTACAACATAGAGCCTTATGTTTTTGCTGAAATGTCTGTGGAGTTCCAGGTTGGGAGGTTAGGAAACATCTCTCCCTATGTGAGAAGCAGAGTCGGGGTGGCTGGAGGAGAAGAGCAAAGCCCTCCCTGACGGTCCCCTTTAGGCAACAGCCTGGCTACAGCTGCAGCAGTCACCTCTGTGTCTCCTGAGGGCATGCTGCCTCTGATTCTGGGGGCTGAAGGGGGAGTTTTGTGGGTGGTCTGTGTTTCTTACCTCTGAGCAGGGAAGTGAACTGAATATTAAATCTCAGAAAACTATGTTTTTTTGTAATTAATTTAATGGCAAAATGTCACCTGAAATGGTGTCTAGTCTTCATTTATCTCAGCATGAATATACTCGTTTCACTGCAAAAGATACTATGTGTTTGATTATGAGGTTTGCCTAGATCCTGCTGGGTGGGATATTTGGTATTATATGATAGATGTATTAGCTTTCTGAGTCCAAAATACTCTGGCTCCAAAACCCATGTGGCCCCAGGGGTTTCACATCAAGAGATTGTGAACCTATAGCACCCTTGTGAACAGTGTAAGTTAGAAAGGATGCAGCTGACCTAAACCCGCCGCTGACCACCTTCTAATGTGCCTGTCATGCAGATGCTGAAGTGCATTGAGCTGGATGAGCGGCTGAAAGCCATGGACCAGGAGATCACAGTGAACCCTCAGTTTGTACAAAAGGTGATGAGGGTTCCCTTATTACAAGAAGTAGGCTGGGTGGAGAAGGAGGGGTGTTGTCACATCAGGCACAGGAACTAAGTTTCAGGTTATTAAATATTTCTTGAAAACCTTACCAGTACGGTCATGGAGAAATACTAGTTGAGAGCATTTTCAAATGATGGCCTGGAAGTACACTTAGGGATGCTTAGGGTGGTTCCTGGAATTGCCTGCCCTTGTTCACAGGGGGCTTTGTTCTGGGAGGGACAGGGCAACTGGTGTGCTTATTGGGCTGCCGGGGAACCCTTGATAAAAGCAAACATAAATACATAACTTCACTTTACCTTTACAGAGTATGGGCTCACAAGAAGATGATTCAGGAAACAAACCATCCAGTTATTCTTGAAACTAACATCCATCCTGAGCTAAACAAGAGAAACTACCATCTTGGCCAGTGACAAGTGTTCGGAGGGCAGCAGAGAGGACCAAGCCTGTGTCACCTGGAGACTAAGAAATTAAGTTTTGTTTTGACATCTTCAGTCCTGTGTGCTTTCAGAAAACCATTTTCTCTGCAAAGAAAGGAAACAGATTTGCAAACTTTAAAGTCTGTCGTGGATTTATTTATCCTCAGATTATTGTTACTGCATTAAATCTACCTTTTTGTTTTAAGTTGCTTGAACATTAATGTGTCTTCTGTATCACTTTTTTCTCCTCTGAAGTTTTTAATAAGCACATTCATTGTGAACAGAAATAGCTGGATTTTAGGAATTTTTGGAAGATTTGGATCTGAAAGGTTTTTATTTATTGACAAATTTGTATCTACAAAAAAATCTAAAAGTTGTAATCATTGTCTTCAGAAAATAAAAGAAAAGAAAGGCCAGACAGACACAGTGGCTCACACCTGTAATATCCTAGCACTTTGGGAGGCCGAGGCAGGATTGCTTGAGGCCAGGAATTCAGACCACCTTGGCCAACATAGTGAGACCCTGTCTCTGTTTACAAAAAAAAAAAAGGGTAGGAGCGTCCCTGAGGCATAAGCTAATTTTTAAAATTAAAATTAACATGCATATTAGTGAGAGTATGAGTTGTGGATTATGAGATGCCATTGGTGCTTCACTTTTTTTTCTTTTTTTTTTTAAGAGACAGGGTCTCTGTCACCCAGGCTGCAGTGCAATGGTGCCATCATGGCTTACCTAAACTTCCCAGGCTCAGCTGATTCTCCTACCTCAGCTTCCTAAGTAGCTGGGACTACAGGCGAGCACCACCACAGCCAGCCTTTTTTTTTTTTTTTTTTTTTTGTAGAGATGGGGTTTTGCCATGTTGTCCAGGTGGTGTCAAAAGCACTTTCCAACCTTTAGTGGGTGCTACACTTTTGTAGTCTTGAAAATGGCTTTTCTCCCCCTCTCAACTTACAGTTTTTAAGAGACAAATGGCAGGCTTTCCCACTTTTTCTTGTCAAAGCATATCAGGTAAACTGATAGTTGCATTTTGATTATGTTCAGGGCCTCTCCTGTCACAGGAATTTGGACTAGGATTTACTGATTTAGCCCTGGAATGGTGTGGAGCAGAATAAAGTGTGGTCAGGTTAAAACACATCAAATTTGTTCCTTAAAAAAATCTCTCTCACTACAAACATTCAGTTTTTAAAATGTTTCAAGTTGTCTGGTAAGGCACATTTTCATTATTTAAAAAAGAAACCTCAGCTGTGTGCAGTGGCTTACGCCTGTAATCCCAGCACTTTGGGAGGCCAAGGCAGGTGATCACCTGGGTCAGTAGTTTGAGACCAGCCTGGGCAATATGGTGAAACACCATCTCTACTAAAAATACAAAAAATGAGCCGGGCATGGTGGTGGGTGCCCGTAATTTCAGCTACTCAGGAGGCTGAGGCAGGAGAATCGCTTGAACCCGGGAGGTGGAGGTTGCAGTGAGCCAAGATCATGCCACTGCAATCCAGCCTGGGTGACAAGAGCAAGACTCTATTAAAAAAAAAAGAAAAGAAAAGAAACCTCATGAGTCACATAAAAAGTTACCCTAATAGAGTCCACACTTAGGCTTTGGAGGTCATATGGCCTATTGTAACTGTGGCCATTTTAGTAGTAAAACTTTATTTATAAAAAGTAGGCAGTGGCCAGGCATGGTGGCTCATGCCTGTAATCCCAGCACTTTGGGAGGCCAAGGCGGGTGGATCACCTGAGGTCAGGAGTTTGAGACCAGCATGACCAACATGGTGAAACAGTCTCTACTAAAAATACAAACATTAGCTGGGTGTGGTGGCAGGCGCCTGTAATCTCAGCTACTCAGGAGGCTGAGACAGGAGAATCGCTTGAACCCGGGAGGTGGAGGTTGTGGTGAGCCAAGATCATGCCATTGCACTCCAGCCTGGGCGACAACAGCAAAACTCCATCTCAAAAAAAAAAAAAAAAAAAAAAGGTAGGCAGCAGGCTAGGTCTGACCTGAAGCCTATAGTTTGCTGACCTATCAACTAAACTGTCAAATTCTCTAGCCCTTGAATTAGGACTATTTGTGGGTTGCATCCCTTTCACTTGTTTACGTATACCTGCACTTAGGAAACAAAATATTTAATGGGAAATGATCATTTATCTGTGTAATGAATTATAGACCCTGTTTTATTTTTAAAAAACAATTAGCTTCTCATTATCTGGATCTGAAATCAAAATCACTTAGAATGTGTCTGTGAACTGCTAGTACTTGTCAGTCGTGACTATATAAGTGAAAAGTACTGTGAGCTGCTAATGATGTGGATGCTATTATAATTTTTTACCCAAGGTGGATTCATTAAAATAACTGCATTTTTTGGAAACTTGAACTGAAAGGGGATATGTTATTTAGAACCTTGTCCTAGTACCTGCAAACCCTGAGTCTGTTTGAGGGGAGAGCTGGTCACAATCGTTTCAGCTTTGAATCCCCTGTTCTGTGTTCTGCTTTGTGATTCTTGGGCTAGACCTCTGCAAACCAGCAAGAAGGGGATTAGAGCTCGGGGGAGAAAGTGACAGGCTCCCTGCATCTGCCTCTGTTGAGCAGCATGGTCCAGGCAAGTCTGCTTCCAGTGTGCAGTTTCCCCCATGCTCCTAGAATCAGCCTCAGCACAGCCCCTTAGAGATAAAGGGGCCCAGGAGGCAGGCCTCCCCCATCTTCCCACTGTGCCCTCCTTCAGAATTTTAAATTCTATTCGTCCCAATCTTTTCCCTTTGTTCCCCAACCCTTAAGGGGTGGTATCTGCTCACTGTAGCTACTACCTCAGTGAGACTCCTGAATTTTTTTTTTTGAGATGGAGTCTCCTCTGTAGCCCAGGGTGGAGTGAAGTGGTGTGATCTCAGCTCACTGCAACCTCCACCTCCTGGTTTAAGCAATTCTCCTGCCTCAGCCTCCCTAGTAGCTGGGATTACAGGCACCCACCACCACGTCTAGCTAACTTTTGCATTTTACTAGAGACAGGGTTTTGCCATGTTGGCCTGGCCAGGCTCAAACTCCTGACCTCAAGCAATCCACCCACCTTGGCCTCCCAAAGTGCTGGGCTCACAGGCGTTAAGCCACCGCACCCAGCCGATTTTTTTTGTTTCTTTTACAGCAGTACTTTTATTTTTCCTTACACAATGACGTGTTGCTGGGGCCTGATGTTCTCACATAACAGTAAAAAAACAAAATGTGTTGTCATCTCAAAGAATTGAGAATTGAGTACAAGAAAACCCTACATAAATTAAAGGGATGAATACATTTACAGGTGGAAATACGAACTGCTTCCAACTCAAGACAAGTAGCAGCTCATGGTGTTCTGGCATGAAAACATCAGCTAAGAGAGGAAACTTGGTCCTATGGCTTGGACTTTTCCAACCCTGATAGACCGGCAAGACAGAAACAATTGGTTCAGGAGCCCTTACCAGGCTCTACAGCAGAACACTCTGCCCTGACACATTAATACACTGCACAGATCGGAGACTGCTGGCCACACAGACTCACCAAACCACTGACCTGTCTTCCACAAGCCAGTTCTTACCTCAGCCACGAAGTGACCAAGCCACACGTACTAAGGGTTGAAATCAAAGATGTATAGGGCATTACACAAATACCAAGGAGAACAGTTAACTTGAATACAAGGTCAAAATCAGCAACAAGTTTTACAATCCAGTGCTGATATCAGATACAAACCTTAAGGACAAACTTCTTTCAAAGGCTTATTCCAGTTTCGTGAGGCTAGTATGAGGTGTATGCATTTGCCAGGGGCAAATTTTTTTTTTTCTTTTGAGACGGAGTTTCGCTCTGTTGCCCAGGCTGGAGTGCAGTGGCACAATCTTGTCTCACTGCAAGCTCCACCTCTCAGGTTCACACCATTCTTCTGCCTCAGCCTCCCGAGTAGCTGGGACTACAGGCACCCTCTACCACGCCCGGCTAATTTTTTTGTATTTTTAGTAGAGATGGGGTTTCACCGTGCTAGCCAGGATGGTCTTGATCTCCTGACCTTGTGATCTGCCCACCTCGGCCTCCCAAAGTGCTGGGATTACAGGCGTGAGCCACCACGCCCGGCCTCCAAGGGCAAATTTATACTCTGGAATTAACCCATGCAGTAAATGCTACTCATCGGCTCACAGTCCGTTTAAAAGCGTTTGTGGTGGATGATGGAGGGGCCTGACTCATCTTACTCCTGCTTGCTGATCCACATCTGCTGGAAGGTAGACAGTGAGGCCAGGATGGAACTGCCGATCCACACTGAGTACCTGTGCTTGGGGCGGGGCACAATGATCTTGATCTTCGTGGTGCTGGGCACCAGGGCAGTGATCTCCTTCTGCATCCTGTCAGGATGCCCCAGTACATGGTGGTGCCGCCAGACAGCACGTGTTGGCATATAAGTCTTTGCAGATGTCCACATCACACTTCATGATGGAGTTGAAGGTGGTCTTGTGGATGCTGCAACATTCCATGCCCAGGAAGGAAGGCTGGAACAGTGCCTCCAGACACTGGAACTGCTTGTTGCCAATGGCGATGACCTGGCCATGGGCACCTCACAGCTATTCTCCAGGGAGGAGGAGGATGCGGCGGTGGCCATCTCCTGCTCGAAGGGCAACACAGCTTCTCCTTGTCATGCATGATCTCCCACTCGGCCGTGGTGATCAAGCTGTAGCCAAGCTTGGTGAGGATTTTCATGGGGTAGTCAGGTCCTGGCCAGCCAGGTCGACACAGGATGCCATGGGGGAGGGTATAGCCCTTGTAGATGGGCACCATGTGGGTGACCCCATCTCCAGAGTCCAGGACAATGCCAGTGGTGTGCCCAGAGGTGTAGAGGGACAGCATGGCCTGGATGGCCACGTACATGGCCCAGGTGTTAAAGGTCTCAAACATGATCTGAGTTATCTTCTCTCTGTTGACCTTGGGGTTCAGGGGGGCCTTGGTCAGCAGCACTAGGTGCTCCTCTGGGGCCACGTGCAGCTCACTGCAGAAGGTGTGGTGCCAGATCTTCTCCATGTCATCTGTATTAGTCCATTTTTGCACTGCTGATAAAGACACACCTGAGACTGGACAATTTACAAAAGAAAGAGGCCTAATGGACTTACAGTTCCAGGTGGCTGGGGAGGCCTCACAGTCATGGTGGGAGGCAAGTCACGTCTTACACGAATGGCAGCAGGCAAAGAGAGAGAGAGCTTGTGCAGGGAAACTCCCATTTTAAAAACCGTCAGATCGGCCAGGCACGGTGGCTCACGCCTGTAATCCCAGGACTTTGTTTGGGAGGCCGATGCAGGCAGATCATGACGTCAGGAAATCGAAACCATCCTAGCTAACATGGTAAAACCCTGTCTCTACTAAAAATATGAAAAATTAGCCAGGCGTAGTGGCACCTGCCTGTAGTCCCAGCTACTCGGGAGGCTGAGGCAGAAGAATCACTTGAATCCCGGAGGCGGAGCTTGCAGTGAGCCAAGATCGCACCACTGCGCTCCAGCCTGGGTGACAGAGCGAGACTCCATCTCAAAAAAAACAAAACAAAAAACACAAAACAAAATATGAAGTTTTGGGTTTGTAAGTCCTAAGTTTCTGGGTTCCAACCTGAATTGGTACCCACTTTGTGGAAGGTTATGTTATTTGGACCTAAGTCTGAGCAGTTGCAAAGGGGCCAGAGAAAATAAATGACTAGGTAAATCAGGTATCTGTGAATAAGAAAATGTGATGGCTATCTTTTTAAGTAACTGAATTACTTAATGATAGTGAACAAAGAAAATCCTATCTGTATCCTTTCCTAACATCAAAGGCTGAAATCAGAGAACTTTAATTGCAAAAAGCATTTAATAAGTCTGAATCCATAGGCTGGCTCTATAGTTGATTGTTAGACGAAAATGTCAACACATGGTATTTAATAGGCACCTAGTAGTAGATTAAAACACAAAAGGCATAGCAGATGAATTCTAATTAGTGGAGAGAGGTTAATTTTTAAAAGCTTACAGAAATTGCTATGGTAAGAAATATTAAATTAATCCTAATGGCCTTTATTGAACCACTAATAACTCATACCTCGCAACTGACTGGATGCCTTATGTGCAGAGTTGATTGTCTAATTACCTAAAACCTGAACTTAGAAACTGTGCATGGGCTAGGCTGGGCGCAGTGGCTCACGCCTGTAATCCCAGCACTTTGGGAGGCCGAGGCAGGCAGATCGAGAGCATCCTGGCTAACACAGTGAAACCCCGTCTCTACTAAAGATACAAAAAATTAGCTGGGCCTGGTGGCAGACGCCTGTAGTCCCAGCTACTCAGGAGACTGAGGCAGGAGAATGGCATGAACCCTGGGGGCAGAGCTTTCAGTGAGCGGACATGGCGCCACTGCACTCCAGCCTGGGCAACAGAGCAAGACTCCGTCTCAAAAAAGAAAAAAAAAAAAAAAAAGAGAAAGAAAGAAATTGTGCATGGGCTGGGTGCAGTGGCTCACGCCTGTTATCCCAGCACTTTGGGAGGGCAGATCACAAGGTCAGCAGTTCGAGACCAGCCTGACCAACATGGTGAAACCCGTCTCTACTAAAAATACAAAAATTAGCTGAGCCTGGTGGCATGCGCCTGTAGTCCCAGTTACTCGGGAGGCTGAGGCAGGAGAAGTGCTTGAACCCGGGAGGGGGAGGTTGCAGTGAGCGAAGATCACGCCACTGTACTCCAACCTAGCGACAGAGTGAGACTCCGTCTCAAAAAAAAAAAAAAAAGAAATTGTGCATTTATCTCACCTTCTGAAATGTTACTCATTGCTTGCTGCCTTTCAGCAGCTGGCCAGACTCCTAAACTGTTCAAAACATCTAAAAACGGAATGTTTTCTCAGTTGCTGGAAGAAACAAAAACTTAGATCATTATTTTTATAACAGGGAATCAATTATAGTAACTTGAAAATATGAGATGTGATTAAAAATATTAAATTGAAATGCTTACAAATGAAATACACCCCTTCTTCCTGAAACTGGAAACTAAGAGTCATTGACATGTGGTTTGACTGAAAGATAAAGCCCAGCTGTATCCTACAGCTACATCAGAGCCCCTGTGGCTAAGGGTACATATAAAAAACTCTAAAACAAATTTCTGAATAAGATGTGACTTTTCCCTGCCACTTGGCTCTATGGTCCTGGCAACTGATGCCTTGGAAGTGATTGATCAGTTTGGATACTCAGCTATAATGAAGCCTCTTGGTTTAGCAGTAGTAAGAAGGCAGAAAAGCATCAAAAAACCTTAATTCTGATTGAGCCTATTTCAGTGGTGGAAAAAAATCTTAATTCTGATTGAGCCTGTTTCAGTGGTGGAAAAAACACATTCTGGATTGTATGCATGCCAGGCAGTAACATATCCAGAGCTTCTGGAATCATTTCATACAATTTCCATTATGGGATAGAAGCTTTGAGATTAGCATTGCATTTCATTTGGTTGTGAATTGTTGAACATTATTGGTATCTGTGCTTTCTGAACATTACTGCTGAGTTTCAATTATCTTTCCCATGAGAATGGGCACATTTTCCGACTTCTAAGATGTCCCTTTTGTTGCATGACCTTGAAAGTTTTTATACCCCATGAGAGCCCAATTTAAATAACCTTTGGTACAATTCACTGAGGCAAAGATTTGGCAGTTGTTAATTTTTTTTTTAAAGATTTATAGGTTTATTTAAGAAAGTACCTCCAAAAGAGGTAGGTGGCTGAAGCCAGTGGTGTTGGGAAAGATGTTAATGGCCTAAATTGAGCCCAGGTGTGGTAAATGCACATTGACTTTTACTGAAAATACACTAGTTGAATAACCTTCCGCCATTAGCCTATCACCATGGAAATAAGGATAATCTGAGCAAGGTGGTGAACTCCACTAACAAACTGAAAAAGGTAATTCCTGGAATTAAAGTTACAAGGTGAAAAAAACCTTGTTCTTGACTTAAAAATCTCATTAACAAACATTAGTTTCAAGAACTTGAACCCGGGAGGTGGAGGTAGCAGTGAGCCGAGATCGCGCCACTGCACTCCAGCCTGGGAGACATAGCAAGACTCCGTCTCTAAAATAAAATAAAATAAAATCACCCTGTAACTTACTACCTCCTCAGAAATTAAGTTTGCGCTGTCCAACAGCAAGAGGAATTCGCTTGATAAGAATAATTAAACACATAAAGGCAATGCCTAACCTCGTAACGCCACCCCATATTCCTTAATCTTTACCAAGCCACTATAAGACGGCAGAAAACACAAGCTGCACTTTCGTTCTTTTCTCGTGTCCCGTTTTCAACAGACCATGGATTTTTTTTTTTTTTTTTAGATGGAGTCTCGCTCTGTGCCAGGCTGGAGTGCAGTGGCACGATCTCAGCTCACTGCAACCTCTGCCTCCCGGGTTTAAGCAATTCTCCTGCCTCAGCCACCAGAGTAGCTGGGACTACAGGCGTGTGCCACCACGCCCAGCTAATTTTTTTTGTATTCTTAGTAGAGAGGGGGTTTCACCTGTTGGCCAGGATGGTCTCCATCTCTTTACCTCGTAATCCGCCCACCTCGGCCTCCCAAAGTGTTGGGATATTATAGGCGTGAGCCACCGCGCCCGACCAGAACATGGAAATTTAAAGAGAAAAAAATAAGTGACTTCTGATTTCAAAAACACAACCACCCACTTTTCTATTCTATTCCTGGTGAGCACATTCTGGAGACTCTGCGGCAACCATAGCCTCGGCCGCGGCGGAAGGCTCCGGGGCGGCCACACCTCAGGGGGCAGCCACACCTCAGGGGGCAGCGCGCACAGGCGGGTCAGGCTCTGATTCCCATCTCTCTCCGGTCTTCACTGGAAGGACCCACACTACATCACAAACTAATGGCTTTACAATTAACTTCTAAGTAGCTAAATTTAGTAATGGGCGCTCTAGTTTTAAAAAATATTATTCAGGCCGGGCGCGGTGGCTCACGCCTGTAATCCCAGCACTTTGGGAGGCCGAGGCTGGTGGATCACCTGAGGTTAGGAGTTCAAGACCAGCCTGGCCAAAAGGGTGAAAACCCGTCTCTGCAAAAATACAAAAAATTAGCCAGGCGTGGTGGCGGACGCCTGTAGTCCCCAGCTACTCGGGAGGCTGAGGCAGGAGAATCGCTTGAACCCGGGAAGCGGAGGTTGCAGTAAGGCGAGGTCGCGCCACTGGACTCCAGCCTGGGCAACAAGAGCGAAAGCGAAACTCTGTCTCAAAAAAAGAATATTATTCAAAAACTGATTTTCACATTTTTAAAAAAGACCCACTGAGGGAGGAAGACCGAATCCCACACATGCGCGCGCACAGCGGTTCCGAGTTCTGCAACCAACCTCCCACGGGCGCCGCGCCTTCTCCGCGTCACGTGACGGCCGTCTCCCGCACCTTCCATACTCTCAATGTAGGGAGAGGACGGGTTCCATCAGCAATTTAATAAAAACCATTGGTGAAGCAAAAAAAAAAAGCCTGCCAACCTCTTATAACGTTTTTTCTTTATTTTTCTCTTTTATGTGGACAGGAAGCCTTAGGTTGGCTATATTTACCCTCAAATCTCTTTTTAAAATGATTTTTAAGTTTCAGCATACTCCCGCGCTTAATGAAATGGTTTCCCCCAGCATCCCCAGCTGGTGCGGTCTGAACCATTCGGAACTTCCCAGAGGGGGGCACCGGAATAGGGGCGGTGGAAAAGGGTAATTGTCGGGCAGCGGCCCCTGCTTCCCAGTCAGACCTCGGAGTTGTAGGACTCGGACTGTGTTCCTGGGCTTGCGAGAGCTAGGGAGGCCCGGCTCTCCTCGCGGTGCAGGACGCGCTCGGACGGCTCCCGCACCCCCACCGCAGTGTTGGGTGGTGGTACGGCTCAGGGAGTCACGCGCCTGGGTGTCGGCGGGGCTGCGGGACCGCGAGTGAGTGTGGTCGCTCCTGGTTCTGCCAGCTCCCCTGAGAGCCTGAACCCGGGCTTGAGAGCCTCGCCACCCCGGGTGACATCCCTGCCGTGGGCTTGGGGGCTCTGGGTGTGATTCCGCCGGTCCGGGTCCCGCAGCGACCACCTACCCAGCGCAGTCAGGGGCGGGGCTGGGACCCAGAGCGGGACCCCGGCTGCCGAGTCCAGGTGTCCCGCGGGCCTCGATTTGGGGAGCAGGTAGGCGGGGGTCTGAGGGGTTGGCGGAGGGGCATGTCCGAGTTTTCGTTGGTCCCAGGTGGACGAGTAATGGGGGAGGGTTTAGGGCCAGAGTCCAGGGCGTCGCCGAGACCCTGAGATTTGAAGATAGGTTGGGGGCACGCCCATTAACCAAGTCTATGGGGATGAGGACTGTGATCTCATTTGATGTTGCCATGAAACGGGACTGTTTGCCTTCCCTTCTCCCAGGTTTTGTCTTCGCTCTGTTTGGAGGAGAGGGTGTGTGTCATCCTCTTCTCCCAGTTTGGCGTTCAGGAGGGTCCTCTGATGCGCTAATAGGGTAGCACCGTGTCCTCCAGGGAGGGTGGAAGACCGCGCTTCTCTCCAGTTGAGAGTACTGTCAGTCGCGTCCTTGTCTCCTGGAAAGAATGGATTGGCTTGTGGATTGAAGTCCAAGGTGTGGTCACTAGCAGTCTCTTCAAGTGGGGACACAGGGCAAGGAGGAGCTTGCTGGAAGTAGGTTCTGGCTCTCTAGCCTTTGGCCACAGCCAGTTTAGTGCCAGATTATCACCGTGGTCATCAAGTAATTGAGTAATAGTGGCAGGTGACACTGCGTTTGCCCTTCTAGTGTCCTATGTCAGGGAGCTCTGTGAATGGAAATCCAGGGAAACGGTGGAAATAGAGCCACAGTGAGAGTGGATCTGAACTGGCAGTCATCCCCTGCAGAACTTTTCACCCTGGGCTTGTTGGGATCCCAGCTGCTAACTTAATGAGGCTCCCCAGTGGGAGACTAGTTATAGAAGCTGTGTGTCCACTGCTGGTTAAGATCCGTTATAGTGCTTTGTTTATTTAGAGTGCCCTTACTTAGTGGCCTCTTTAATTCTCCACGGTGCTATGAGAACACCATAGGAAGTAGGGTTGAAATAGGGCCAGGGCGCACCACGGGTGGTGGTGAGGTCACTGTCCAGGTCTGGGACTCAGCCATTGTGGGAGGGGGACATGAACAGACACTCTACCACATCAGGGAATTTGAATACTGTCTTTGGATATGTTGATGAAGAGACTGTCAGCCAGGGCATTTCGGCTTCCTATGTGGGTTCTGGAAAGCTTGTTGGAAACAGACTCGTGAGACACACTCAAACCAGTTTGTTTTCTTCAGCAAACACCTGGTAGAGATTGGAATTGAACAGTGAGTGAAGAATGACCTCACGCTGCCCAGAATTCTGATTCCATGTGTAATGCGAATTCTGAGAGGCCTCTGTTTCTCAGCTTTTGGGTGGTATTCAGAGAGGTCTAGTAACACTTGGTGTCACCTGGCTGGTGAGGGCAGGCTCCGGTGACCGCAAAGCTAAGTGCTCTGTAGGGCACCTCCCTCTCTTTCAGGGGCTGCCTGGGCCTCTGGTGCACATGATCCATGGAGTCAGAGTCAGAGCTCTCGTCTGACAAGTGCTTTTGCTTTCTTTCTTTCTTTCTTTCTTTTTTGGAGACAGAATCTCATTCTGTCGCCCAGGCTGGAGTGCAGTGATGCGATCTCGGCTCACTGCCACCTCCGCTTCCAGGCTCAAACGATTCTCCTGCCTCAGCCTCCTGAGTAGCTGGCACTACAGGCACGTGCCACCAGGCCTGGCTAATTTTCGTATTTTGTATTTTTTGAAATGGAGTTTTACTCTTATTGCCCAGGCTGGAGTGCAATGGTGCGATCTCAGCTCACTGCAACCTCCGTCTCCCAGGTTCAAGCAATTCTCCTGCCTCAGATTCCCCAGTAGCTGGGATTACAGGCATGCACCACCACCATGCCTGGCTTTTTTTTTTTTTTTTTTTTTGAAATGGAGTCTTGCTCTGTGGCCCAGGCTGGAGTGCAGTGGTGCGATCAGCTCACTGCAAGCTGTGCCTCCTGGGTTCACGCCATTCTCCTCCCTCGGCCTCCCCAGTAGCTGGGGCTACAGGCCCCCGCCACCATGCCCAGCTAATTTTTTGTATTTTTTAGTAGAGACGGGGTTTCACTGTGTTAGCCAGGATGGTCTCAATCTCCTGACCTCGTGATCTGCCCACCTCGGCCTCCCAAAGTGCTGGGATTACAGGCGTGAGCCACCGCACCCAGCCTAATTTTTGTATTTTTAGTAGAGATGGGGTTTCAATATGTTGGCCAGGCTGGTCTCGAACTCCTGACCTCGTGGTCCGCCTGCCTCGGCCTCCCAAAGTGCTGGGATTACAAGCATGAGCCACCACACCCGGCAATTTTTCTATTTTTAGTAGAGACAGGGTTTCACCATGTTAGCCTGGCTGGTCACAAACTCCTGACCTTAGGTGATCTGCCCTCCTTGGCCTCCCAAAGTGCTGGGATTACAGGCTTAAGCCACTGCACCCAGCGAGTGCTTTTCATTAAAAGGAAAAACGAATAAGAGTAGCCCATGTTTTGGCCAGACATGGTGGCTTATGCCTGTAATCCCAGCACTTTGGGAGGCCGAGGAGGCGGGAGAATCACCTGAGGTCAGGAGTTCAAGACCAGCCTGGCTAACATGGCGAAACCCCATCTCTACTAAAAATACAAAAGTTGGCTGGTCCTGGTGGCGCACGGCCATAATTCCAGCTACTCGGGAAGCTGAGGCAGGAGAATTGCTTGAACCTGGGAGGCGGAGGTGGCAGTGATCCGAGATTGCTGCACTGCACTCCAGCCTGGGCAACAGAATGAGACCCTTCCGCAAAAAAAAAAACAAACCAAAAAAAAACAAAACAGTGTAGCCCATGTTGGCTCTGGGTGCTGGGAAGTGGCTTGTCAGCGTTGCCTCTGGTTTCCCTCTCCTGCTTGAGAAGGAAACTGCCAGGCCTATGGCCTGAAAAGTAAGTTGGTGTGATGTAGATGCTGCCAGAGCACCCCCTTATAACCAAGAGTAAGAAAGATGGGGACTTGGCTGGATGCAGTGGCTCATGCCTGTAATCCTAGCACTTAGGGAGGCTGAGGTAGGTGGATCACCTGAGGTCGGGAGTTCGAGACCAGCCTGGCCAACATGGTGAAACTCTGTCTCTACTAAAATACAAAAATTAGCCAGGTGTGGTGGCAGACACCTGTAATCCCAGCTACTCAGGAGGCTGAGGCAGGAGAATCACTTAAACCTGGGAGGCAGAGGTTGCAGTGAGCTGAGATCACGCCATTGCACTCCAGCCTGGGTGACAAGAGTGAAACTTGGTCTCAAAAAAAAAAAAAAAAAAAAAAAAGGAAAGATGGGAACTTGCAGCCTTGACCTCCCAGGCTGAAGTGACCTCCCAACTTAGTCCCCCAAGTAACTTGGACTAGAGGCATGCCCGGCTAATTTTTTTTTTTTTTTTTTTTTTTGAGATGGAGTCTTGCTGTGTCGCCCAGGCTGGAGTGCAGTGCCGTGATCTTGGCTCACTGCAAGCTCTGCGTCTCAGGTTCACGCCATTCTCCTGCCTCAGCCTCCCGAGTAGCTGGGACTATAGGCGCCTGTCACCATGCCTGGCTGATTTTTTTTGTATTTTTAGTAGAGATGGGGTTTCACCATGTTAGCCAGGATGGTCTCGATCTCCTGACCTCCTGATCTGCCCACCTCGGCCTCCCAAAGTGCCGGGGTTACAGGCGTGAGCCACCGCGCCCGGCCTGGCTAATTTTTTTTAAAAATTTTTTGTAGAGACAGGGTCTCACTGTGTTACCCAGGCTGGTCTCAAACTCATGGGCTGAAGCAATCCTCCTGCCTTGGCCTCCCGAAGTGTTGGGATTACAAGCATGAGCCACTGAGCTGGCCTCAAGACCCTATCTCTAAAAAAATAAATACAGAGATCCTTGATCAAATACTGGTTTAGAGTGCCTCAGAGGTGCAAGAGTTCAGCTAAAATGTCAGCTCCTGCTGAGAAGGTCAGAGGCCTGCTAAGCCATTCAGAACCCTGGGGAGTGTCTACATCCTCATCAGACACGTTCTTATTTGAGACTGGCTGTAAGCTGCTCCCATTATTTTTCATGCTACGAAGGCCTCTAATCTTAGAAATAGCTCTAATTTTTTTTTTCTCTTACCTAGAAAACGCCAGGTCTTCAAGGGTGTCTGCCACCACCATGCCTGACCCATTTGGCAGCAGCCTCGTGTGTGGTGGTCTGGTGTGGACGGTGGAAGCGTGATTCTGCTGAGTGTCAGGTTAGTGTGGGTGCTCTGCAGGTGGGCTGAGACTTGGCCCAGGCTTGCTGTCCTGTGCATGTCTTGCTAGAAGGAACCTTATTTCTCTTCCCCTGATGCCTCTCAGAGAAAGGCGTGGCCTTCCTTTTCGCAGTTTAATGCCTTTACCTTTCCTTTGGGTCCTGCTACCCCTTACTCCATCAGTGGTCGCCCCATCTCCTGTTGAGCAGTAGATTTTTAAGCCACTCATCATAGTGAACCCTGTGGGCCCTTTATTGAAACTGTCTGTTTGGTTCCTGTGCCACTAGACTCTGGCTCCGGCCTTCCCCACAGCTGTGGCTCCTGAACCTCTGCCGCCCCTAGATTCCGCCCCTTTCTTGGCAACAGCTGTCATCTTTCCAAGGGCGACTTCTCAGTCCTCTCATTTATCTAACACGTGAATGTGGCGCTTCCTGTGTGTCAGGAAGGCACTTTGGAGGCGCAGTTCTGCGATGAGGAGCGCTACGACTCAAAGCAGGGCAGGGGAGGGTGTCGGGGTGGAGGGGAGCTCTTCTGGTGGGCTGGCAAGGGGTACTCTGAGCAGGGGAGCAAGTGGAGGCCGAGTGGTGAGGAGTGAGCCAGGTGACGGTGTGTGGAGCATTCCTGACCTTTGTCCCCAGCCCTGCCCTCTCCTGTCCTGCAGCCTGCATCTTTGCTGAGTTCTCAGGGCCTTCCAGCTAGAAGTTCTGCCATCTGTTAAATGCGTATGTTTCCTCTCCCGCTGCCTGTCTGCCTCCCTCTCGGAGTGCACCTACAGAGCACTAGCCCTCCATTCCCTGCCAGCCACACCCAGGGTCTCCCTCTCTGACTCCCACACCTGCCTCACTGCCAGCCCAGCTAAGGTTCTCTTCAAATGTCTGTTTTCTGTCTGCCTCTGCCATTCCCAGTGTGACCACTCGTGCTCAGCCGTATCTCAGCAGGAGGACAGGTGCCGGAGCAGCTCGTGCAGCTAAGCAGCCAACTGCAGAAACGTCAGGTGGGTGGTGCATTCGCAGGCATGCTGAAGAAGCAGTTCCAGGCATGGGCCGCCGGCAGAGAGGCTGGCTGCAGCACCCCCCACCACCATGCACATCGTCCTTTGCTTCTTCCTAGAGTTAGCGGCTTTGGCAGGCCATGCCTTGTTTGTGTTCACAGCCTGCCTGTCAGGAGCGAAGACAGAACGTCTGACTTTTGGATCCGTAACAGGGGTGGGGGCTCCCCAGAAGAGAAGAGGCTTTGGGTCCTGGCCAGTGTCCACTACTCAGTCAAACATTCAGAAACTTACATGATTCTTCATCGTCCCAAGCAAGTCTGACTTGGGCCCTTTATTGAAACTCTGTTTCCTCTCCCGCTGCCTGTCTGCCTCCCTCTCGGAGTGCACCTACTGAGCACCAGCCCTCCATTCCCTGCCAGCCACACCCAGAAAGCAATGGGGCTTTCTGGGAAGGCAGAAATATTCTGTGACCTGGGCTATTCAGAGGGGTGGCGTGAGTCGTGTGTGCCTAGCAAACACTCAGGACATGGCCGGTGAGACAGAAGGGCTGAGCTTTTGTCCTAGCTAATATATTAATTAATTAATTCATTATTTATTTTGAGACGGAGTCTCTCTGTCGCCCAGGCTGGACTGCAGTTGCGCAGTCTTGGCTCACTGCAACCTTCGCCTCCTAGGTTCAAGCAATTCTCCCGCCTCAGCCTCTTGAGTAGCTGGGACTACAGGTGTGCGCCACCATGCCTGGCTAATTTTTTTTGTACTTGTAGTAGAAATGGGGTTTTGCCATGTTGGCCAGGCTGGTCTTGAACTCCTGACCTCAAGTGATCTGCCCACCTCGGCCTCCCAAAGTGCTGGGATTACAGGCATGAACAACCGCACTCAGCCTATTTATTTAATTTTTTCGAGACGAAGTCTCACTCACTCTGTCACCCAGGCTGGAATGTAGTAGTACGATCTCAGCTCACTGCAACCTCCACCTCCCAGGTTCGAGCGATTCTCCTGCCTAGGCCTCCCAAGTAGTTGGGACTACAAGCGTGCGCCACCACTCCAGGCTACTTTTTTTTTTTTTTTTTTGAGATGGAGTCTCGCCCTGTCATAAAGGCTGGAGTGCAGTGACCTAGTCTTGGCTCACTGCAACCTCCGCCTCCCAGGTTCAAGTGATTCTCCTCCCTCAGCCTCCCAAGTAGCTGGGTTTATAGGTGACCGCCAACACGCCCAGCTAAGGTTTTTGTTTTATTTTGTTTTGTTTTTGTTGTTTTTGGTTTTTTTTGAGACTGAGTCTCACTTTGTTGCCCAGGCTCGAGTGCCGTGGTGCGATCTCGGCTCACTGCAACCTTGCCTCCCAGGTTCAAGTGATTCTCGTGCCTCAGCCTCCTGAGTAGCTGGGACTACCAGCGCACACCACCACACCTGGCTAATCTTTGTATTCTTAGTAGAGGCAGGGTTTCACTGCGTCGGCCAGGCTGGTCTCAAACTCCTGACCTCAAGTGATCCACCCGCCTCAGCCTCCCAAAGTGTTGGGATTACAGGCTCATGGGATTACAGGCATGAGCCACTGTGCCGGCCTCTCCTAGCTAATTTAAATTTTAAATTTAAGTTGTCACACATAGCTGTGGCCACCGTATGGACAATGTGGGTCTGGCTGCATGTGTCAGGCTGTGTCACATGTCAGGCTGTTGGCTGTGGCTGTCCCCACTGTGCACCTTTGCTTTTGCGGTCTCGTTTCCAGAACTTCTCTGCCAGTGAGAACCCCATGACACACCCCCATTTTAAAGCCTTCTCTGGCTTTCCTGCATTCGTTAGGAAGGCATACTGCCTCATGCTGCCGCGGCCATCCCTCTGCAATGAGTGCTTGGTGTCCCTCAGACTTTGTGCCTGCAGCTGCCCCTGGCCTTCACATGGTTCCGCCGGCATCGCAGCTGTACTGTGGCCAAGCTTGGGGCTTTCCTTGACTCCATGTCCCCACCAGGTGTCCCATTGCTGGCTCTGCCACGGAAACTCTCCAAAGGGCTCTCTCTACCCACTCCTGTGAGCTTTTTCTCCACCGGAAACTGTGTTAAGGTCACCTTTGACTTCATCATTGTTCTGCAGGTTACCACTCCCCCTTTTAAAAAGATTGTGGTGAAATAATACATGACCTAAAATGCGCCATTTGAACCACTGTTCGGCGTGCAGTGCCGTGGCATGAAGTATGTTCACAGTGCTGTGCGGCCATCGCCACCTTCCGTCTCCAGAACTGAGCCCCGCTCTTCCCTCCCAGTCCCCGGCAGCTGCCATTCTGCTCTCTGTCTCTATGGCTTTGAGGACTCTAGGTACCTCCTATTTAAGTGGAATCCTACAGTGTTTATCCGTTTGTGACCAGTGTAGATCATTTCGTGTAATGTCCTTCAGTTTCAGCCGTGCCGTAGCTTGTGGCAGGGTTTCCTTCCTTTTTAAGGCCATGTGACATTCCAGTCCCACCTTGCTAAAGCAGTTTACCTGGTCACTGGGGTGACTCTGGAGCTCCCCTCTGGCCTCACTGCCTGTGCTTGGTCATGTTGGCTAGCTGTCCTCCCTTCTCCACCTCTGAGTCTACAAGGGCTGCACTCCACGGAGGTCCCATGCGTCAGCCCCGACCGCAGCGCTTGGCTCTGCTGCTGTGTCCCGTCCCCGTGAAGGCTCAGCAGGCACTCACTGGGCCTTCTCCCCTGCTCACTGCTCCGCACTCTGCACCCCACCCGCACTGTGCGTCTTCACCCTGCCTGGCCTGGGCCACTGTCCCTTCCTGCTCAGATCAGTCAGCAGGGTGCCTCAGCTTGTTCCCCACCTCCACCCTGGCCCCCTGCCATCTTTTCTGCACATGGGCATGAGTGAACCTATTCAAGTGAAATTCACATTTTCTCATGTCTCATCAGAACCCCCAAAGCCTCCCCAGTCTCTGATAACACATCCAGGGTCTTTCGGTGGCCTGGAGGAGCTATAAGATCTGCTTCCTACAGCCTCCACCCTGTCTGCTGCTGCTCTTTGGACACCGGACCTTACACACCCCTCAGACAGTACAGCACCCACCCTGCCCTTCAACTCTTGCTTGGCCCCGTAAGCCAGTCCTTCCAGGCTCCTGCCTCCTCTGGTCATTCCCTGCGTGGGCCTCTCGCAGGAAGCAGTTTTCCTGTGTCCCCCGCCGACCCCCTGCAGGAGGTAAGCTGCATGAGGGCAGTATCATGTTGCCTAGCACCTTGGCCCACATGGAGCAGGTGCCAAGCAGATATGTATTGGGTGGAGGACCCTCTCCCTGTGGCCTTTTATCTATTTGTTCTCACAGGGTTTGCCAGGTTTGGCTGCAGTTCATGTCACTTGAGGACATTCCTTTCCAGCGCCGTTGGCTTTGTGGCTGTGGCTCTGTCACAGCTCCAGCTGTGCTATCATTGGTCCACATTGTCCCCTCCCCTATTTGCTGTGACTCCCATGGGAAGATCCTATCTCTGTTCCTCTCGCACTGGGGCAAAGCAGTGCTGGCAGGGGGCTGGGGAACTGGCGGGTGGCCTCTCCTGGGCAGGAAGTCCATGGCACCCAGGTGCTCCCTGTGCTCCAGAGGGGCTGGGGAGGTTTCATGGAGTCAATAGGCATTGGCAAGCTGACATGTCCCCTGTCCCACGCAGGCCTGTTGCAGTCTCCAAGGCACCATGAATGCCATCGTGGCTCTCTGCCACTTCTGCGAGCTCCACGGCCCCCGCACTCTCTTCTGCACGGAGGTGCTGCACGCCCCACTTCCTCAAGGGGATGGGAATGAGGACAGTCCTGGCCAGGGTGAGCAGGCGGAAGAAGAGGAAGGTGGCATTCAGATGAACAGTCGGATGCGTGCGCACAGCCCCGCAGAGGGGGCCAGCGTCGAGTCCAGCAGCCCGGGGCCCAAAAAGTCGGACATGTGCGAGGCAAGTGTCTTTGGGGTCTTGGTTTTGTGATCCCTGCAGTAGGTGTGGGATGGACAGGAGGACCTGAGAGCAGTGGACGGGGCCTCCCGGGGTGACACAGACTGCTTCTCAGGGGCCCTTCAGTTCTTTCCGCTCATCCTGACTGTAGCTTTTGTTTTGTTTTGTTTTGTTTTTTTTGAGACAGAGTTTTGCTCTTATTGCCCAGGCTGGAGTGCCATGGTGTGATCATGGCTCACTGCAACCTCTGCCTCCCGGGTTCAAGCAATTCTCCTGCCTCAGCCTCCCGAATAACGAATTACACTTGCCTGCCACCACGCCTGGCTAATTTTGTATTTTTAGTAGAGATGGGGTTTCACCATGTTGGGCAGGCTGGTCTTGAACTCGTGACCTCAGGTGATCCACCTGCCTCGGCCTCCCAAAGTGCTGAGATTACAGGCGTGAGCCACCACACCCAGCCTATGTTAACTTCTTTAACCCACTCTGCCTCCCTGCCGTGGCCTTCATGTTTGTATTCACACACTCCAGCCTGTCCTGGAGGCGGGTCCCCAAAGTCCCGTGCTCCCAGTGGAGTTTCCTGCTCCCAGGACCCCCAGTGTTCTCGGTGGGTCACTCCATCAGCTCTTGAACTCTCGGGAATTAGTGTGAGTTTTCCCCAGTGGGCCACTTGTTTTTGTGGAGGACCTGGGTCAGGGCCCAAAATCAGGGGTGGGTGTTGGACCTGCCACTGCAGTGCAAACGGGAACCCAAGCTTGTTCTTTTGGTTCTGCTGCAGAAGCAGAGGACGTGTAAGAGCTGCATCCATTGCTGGAATTGCCTGTAAGGAATGGGGGATGGGGAGCACCTCAGACCTGGGAAGGAGGGCACCGCCAGGCTGCTGGGGCATCCTTGAGCTGGTTTTGGGGTTGCCCATGGAGGAATCCTGCGACACTGTGGGGAGAGTCTTGCTGACGCACTGCCGCACAGTCCTGGGGTAGGAGCAGCTCCAGGGCGCACAGCCTCAGCATCGGAGTGGCTGTGGCTGCAGCGGGGCAGCGGGGCAGCAGTGGTGAGCTGCCACACCAACATCCTGGAGCTTGGTGCTCGCCCTATTTATTGGGCCTCTCGCCTGTGGCTGAAGCCCCTTCCAGGTGTTAGTTCAGAACCAATGATGGAGGCTGGGGGCAGTGGGTAGTGTTACCACCACAGAGCCCCTCACCCTCGGGCCAGCTACTTCTCACTTCAGCCTCAGTTTTGTCTTCTGTAGAATGGGGCTTCTCACTGACATTATCTCAGAGGGTGGCACTTGGGATTGAATGAGATGGAGCATGCAGGGCCCTTTTCATGTTACCTACTTCGTAAGTGCTCAGCAAATACCTGTTAGGAACAACCTCTGGCAATCTCTGCGATCTCTGTGTTCTGTTTTCCTCTTTAGGAAACATTTAAATCTTCAGATAAGTATAAATCTGGAAGCCAATTATTTTTTTACAAAAATAGCTTGAGTTTTCCGAGCTCAGATTTGCATAAACCTAAGAGAGTTTGTCGCCCTGCTTCCCAACTAACAGATTTACTTTTCCTTTTCATGGACAGGGCTGCCGGTCACTTGCTGCAGGGCACCCGGGATATATCAGCCATGATAAAGAGACCTCCATTAAATACGTCAGCCACCAGCACCCCAGCCACCCCCAGCTCTTCAGCATTGTCCGCCAGGCCTGTGTCCGGAGCCTGAGCTGTGAGGTGAGCCTTGTGGCCACAGAGCCTGTCTCTGTGGGAGCCCACATGCTCCCAGGTGCTCTGGGTGGGCTCGGAGCCAGCATTGCACAGGGAGGCAGGCACTGGTCCTCTCTCAGGGCGGACCCGCAGATCAGCACAGCACAGGGTACAGGACGCCTCCCTTGTCCAGAATTGCGGGAGGAGTCATGTTGGACTTGCTGAGCATTTTCTGATTGAGTGCTAGCTTTTGCACTTTAAGCACCGAACTTTTATTATTTGTCCTTTCTTTATTATTATTGTTTTCTTTTTTCCTTCTTTTGTGTCAGGGTCTCGCTCTGTCGTCCAGACTGGAGTGCAGTGGTGCCGTCATGGTTCACTGCAACCTCAAACTCCTGGGCTCAAGCGATCCTCCCGCCTTAGCCTCCCAGGTGGCTGGGACCACTGGTGTGTGCCACCATGCTCAACTGGGGTTTGTTTTTTGTTGTTGTTAAGACAGAGTCTCACTCGGTTGCCCAGGCTGGAGTGCAGTGGTGCAATCTCGGCTTACTGCAACCTCCACCCTGGGTTTAAGTGATTCTTCTGTCTCAGCTATCCTGAGTAGCTGGGACAACAGGCGTGTGCCACCATGCCCGGCTAATTTTTTGTATTTTTAGTAGAGAAGAGATTTCACCATGTTGGCCGAGCTGGTCTTGAACTCCTGACCTTGTGATTTGCCCGCCTCGGCCTCCCGAAGTGCTGGGATTACAGGTGGGAGCCACTGTGCCCCACCTTTTTAAAATTTTTTTGTAGAGATGAGGTCTCAGTATGTTGCCCAGGTTGGTCTCGAACTCAAGCAATCCTCTGGCTCATCCTCCCAAAGCACTAGGATTACAGGTGTGAGCCGCCATGCCCAGCCATGTGTGTCTATTCTTGATGGATGTATTCCTAAGATAGGAAGCATTTCTAGGTTAGGTGGTTCATTGCATCAACATCACCTTTTTTTATTATCTCAGTCCTCATTCCAAGTCTCAGTGATGATCCCGTGCTGCTCTCAGCCTGCTGAGGTGTGGATGATTTCTTCCTAAACTACGTCGCTGCTGCTGTTGCTCTTGACTCTGAGCTCAGGTCTTTGTTACAAAGAATTCGTCGTTCAGTTACTAAACTTCCTTGTCATTGGTGTCCACCCAGTTCGACACACCAAGCTCCCTTACTGTTCTCATTCAGTGTGGCTGTGTGCCTGCCCTCAACTGTCCTCTCCTTTTAATTTCCTACCGCTGGTCTGCTAGCAGGCAGCTCGGCATGTCTGTTAGAATTGTGTGTTAAGGAAGAGTAAGTATGTAATGAGGAGGGACTGAAATCCTCTTATAAGAATAAAGTACGTGGGGCTGGGCATGGTGGCCCACTCCTGTAATCCCAGCCCTTTGGGAGGCCAAGGCCGGCAGATCACCTGAGGTCAGGAGTTCGAGACCAGCCTGGCCAACATGGTGAAACCCCCTCTCTAAAAAAAATACAAAAAAATTAGCCAGGCGTGGTGGCACACTCTTACAATCCCAGCTACTCAGGAGGCTGAGGCAGGAGAATTGCTTGAACCCAGGAGACGGAGGTTGCAGTGGGCCAGGATCACACCACTGCATTCCAGCCTGGGTGACAAGAGCGAGACTCCATCTCAAATAAAGAAAGAAAGAAAGAATAAAATGTGCGGATTTCAGTGCAGGGAGAGTGCAGTGGCTGCTCTGACCTGCTGGTTCTTCTGCATGCTCCAGGTGAGTAAGCTGGTACATTTGAGTCTGGGAGAGGTGTGACATATGCATGGGAGTTATTTATGGCTCAAGGTGGAAGAAAAGCAATAAGCCTTGTTACCGGCCCTTGCAGTCCACAATGACAAGTGTTGTTGGAAGCTTGATCACAGGAGCAGAAGAGTACAGTCTTCGGCTCTCATGGCCCCCACTGTGCCACTCTCCCCGTTATTAACGCTGGCTGATTTGTGCCAGCTGACTCTGAAAAGTCTGAAGAAGAGGCTTTGATTTGGTGTCACTAAGCGAGGAAAGGGCTGTCTGAGTCGCCGGTGTCCCTCCAGGTCTGCCCTGGCCGTGAAGGCCCCATCTTCTTCGGAGATGAGCAGCACGGCTTTGTGTTCAGCCACACCTTCTTCATCAAGGACAGCCTGGCCAGGGGCTTCCAGCGCTGGTACAGCATCATCACCATCATGATGGACCGGATCTACCTCATCAACTCCTGGCCCTTCCTGCTGGGGAAGGTCCGGGGAATCATCGATGAGCTCCAGGGCAAGGCGCTCAAGGTGAATTCAGAGATGAGGTGCCGGGGCGGCAGGGGGCCCTGCACTGCATGAGCCGCTCTGTGCTGAGGTTGAGGCCTGGAGACCGCGTGGCGTCTTCCCCTCTGCTTACAGCCAGTGCACTGTGTGAATTGTAGTCTCTTGGCTTCAGAGCTGGAGGTCGTGAGGAGCCTCCCAGGCCATCCCGCCTGCTTTGCTGGTCTCTCTTGTGCCCGTTGTCCTGGTTCTCGCTCAGCTCTGGTTTCTTTGCTGCAGTCAGACCCCTGGTGTCTTTGTTTCCTCTGGCCTTCATCTCAGGGATGTCTGTTAATCCCATTGAGTTGCACCACCGAATGTAGGCCTCCAGCTGTGGAGATGCAGCTCAGGCCAGGCCAGGCCAGGTCGTGCTCTGGTAACAGCCTCGGATCTCAGCACCTTCAAGCCATAGGGCCTGTTTCTTACTCATGGTGTGTGCATTGCAGGAGAGTGGGGCTCTGCTTGCTGTGGTCGTCCTGGCAGGCAGAGCGGCAGCCATATGAAAATGCTTCCCCTAGGCTGGGCGCAGTGGCTCACGCCTGTAATCCCAGCACTTTGGGAGGCCAAGGCGGGCAGATCACCTGAGGTCGGGAGTTTGAGACCAGCTTGACCAACATGGAGAAACCCCGTCTCTTCCAGAAATACAAAATTAGCTGGGCATGGTGGTGCATGCCTGTAATCCCAGCTACTTGGGAGGCTGAGGCAGGAGAAACGCTTGAACCCATGAGGCAGAGGTTGTAGTGAGCCGAGATCACACCATTGCACTCCAGCCTGGGCGACAGAGTGAGACTCCATCTCAAAAAAAAAAAGAAAGGAAAAAATGTTGCTCCTTCTGCCCTCCAGAAGCACAGATGGTGCTGAGGGCCTTGTTTGTCTCAGCTCATTGACCAGAGCCAGTCACGTGTGCCTTAGCCAAGTAGTGCACCCAGAAGGGGAGGTGGAGACAGGTGGGGAGCAGCGCAGATGGCCACTCACGAGAATCCCCCTGGGTGCCTTGGGTCACTCATTAGGAAGGGGACAGGAGAAGCTCAACCGATTTCTGTTCTCGGATAGCTCCTGATGTAGCCGGGGCAGAGCTATGCTGTTGGGAATGATTGGACTGGTGGCACTTTGTGTGCTCTGCATGGAGAGAGTATAGTGGGACTGATCCTCCAGGAGTCAGGTCCTGGAGTTGGCTGTGAACGAGTAGGGGTCCGAGCTGCTGGCAGCTTTGGCTTAAAGAGGCCATCCCTTCCCTTTGCATTTCAGGTGTTTGAGGCAGAGCAGTTTGGATGCCCACAGCGTGCTCAGAGGATGAACACAGCCTTCACGCCATTCCTACACCAGAGGAACGGCAACGCCGCCCGCTCGCTGACATCGCTGACAAGTGATGACAACCTGTGGGCGTGCCTGCACACCTCCTTTGCCTGGTAACGGGCGTCTCTGCTTTTGGCATATCTGTTAGGATAGAGCAGTCACGATACATTGGTTGGCTTGTCCATGGATTTGGGAGAACAGTCCTTAGCCGTGTTTGCTTGCTGCCTCTGTGAGGAGCACTGGCCTGTGGGCACTTGTCAGTGAGCACAGATCTGGGCTGGGAGTCCTTGTTCTGTAGGCCTCTTCCCCTGAGTGTGCTGAAAACATATTGATGTGGAACTCACTTCTTCCTGGGTTCAAGTGATTCTCCTGCCCCAGCCTCCCAAGTAGCTGGGATTACAGGCGCCTGTCACCACACCCAGCTAATTTTTTTATTTTTGGTAGAGACGGGGTTTCACCATGTTGGCCAGGCTGTTCTCAAACTCCTGACCTCATGTGATCCACCTGCCTCAGCCTCCCAGAGTGCTGGGATTACAGGTGTGAGCCACCGCGCCCAGCCTTTTTTTTTTTTTTTAAAGCAAATCTGAGTCGTATCATTCCAGCCATAAATATAATCACAATACTGTGATCATGTCCGACAAAACGGACAGACTCCTGAGTGTTCTCCAGGCTGCAAGCCCTTGTGCAGTTTACCTTTTGTCTCACAAGTGACTGCATTGGCATCGGAGCAGCGCCCCAAGTCTCTCTGGTTTAGAACAGCTCCCCCTTGCATCCCCTCCCCTCCAAGTTCCTCCCATCCATCTATTGAAGGACCTTGGTCGTTGACTTGTGGAACTGCCTGCATGCGGGATCTGGCTGGTTGTGCCCTGCTGGTGTTCTTTTATACCCATTTTTTCTTTAAACTGGTAGGATCAGGGGCTGGGTGAGCGTCAGGTTTGCTTTTTCCTTTGGCGAGAACGCTCATAGCTGGTGCTGTGTTCTCCAGGCTCCTGAAGGCGTGTGGCAGCCGGCTGACCGAGAAGCTCCTGGAAGGTGCTCCGACCGAGGATACCTTGGTCCAGATGGAGAAGCTCGCTGGTGAGGCAGGGGTGCTGTTGCCGGGGCCTTGGCCCGGATGGCCGTGGGGCGGTACCAGCTGTCTGCTCTCCTGGCAGGAATCGCTGAGGGAGGGAAACGCGGCTCTGAATCAGCCCAGAACGAGCCTTCGGGAAGCTCACCCTCCGATCTCGGTGTGATTGTTGTGATTGTTGTGATTTCCTGTCTCGTTTGCCTTGACCGCCATGTGAAAGAATCTGTTCCCCAGCTAGGTGGGGAAAATTCACAGGTGGGCTGTCTGTAGAGAGAACTGGCTGATTAAAGGCTTCTCGTCCCGATTTTGTGATAGCCAAGTGCTTGGCCTGGTCGACGGTCTTTGCTCCTTTACAAATAAAGTGTTCTGTTTCAGTTCGTCCCAAGTTTTCCATGAAGGGCAGTGGTTCCCTGACCTCCCAGGTGCCTGGGCTTCCCCAGGTTCCTGATCTGGGGCTTGGGGCCCTGTGTTTGGGGATCGTGGCACTGTGTGCACCAGCCTGGAAGCACTGGGCCAGTCTTGGCCAAGCTTTCCATCAGGGATGATTTGATCTTGGTGCTACAGGTCTGTGGTACGACCATTGTTCCACACCACATGTCATTAATAATGCTTCCCATGCTTCTGCTTGCAAATGACCAGCCTTCCAAACAGCCAGAGCTGTTTCGAGGTGTTTCTGCAGGCAGGTGCAGGCGTGCCCTCAAATAAGCTTTGCCAATGGAGTCTCAGCAAGAGCAAAACCTGGTCAGGAAAGACAAAGCCTGGGAATCCACCCCCATGCCCTGCAGGTTGGCTGGCCCTGGAGCCATTTATTATAGTGCTAATCATGTTTCTAGGCAGGTGCAGATGGCAAGGGCAGTGTCTTGGTGAGCTTTTTAGCACGAAGAGCCAGGTCTGTCGAAGCCTTTGTGAGAGCTGGAAACGCAGGTGTGCTGGGCATGCGCAGTATGGGGTTTCGGGCTCAGGGCTTGCCCTTTGGCATCAGACAGACCTGGCTTCGCATCCTGGATTTGCTTCTGACGTGCACCCTTCCCTTTGGGTCTCGTGATGTGAAATGGAGATGTTGTCATTTGTGAGGGCTCCATGAAGTTTCGTTGAAATGACAAATACTAATTTCTTCATCTGTGAAATGGAGATAATAGTGCTGACCTCAGAACAGCTGAGAGGACTAAATGAAATGATGTTGGATGTAGCCATAAAGAACGAAGTCAGGCACTGGTGCACGCCTGGAATCCCAGCTCTTGGGAGACCGAGACAGGTGGATTGCTTGAGCTCAGGAGTTTGAGACCAGCCTGAGCAACATAGGGAGGTCCAGTCTCTACAAAAAATATGAAAAGTAGCTGGGCGTGGTGGCGCATGCCTGTAGTCCCACTACTTGGAAGGCTTCGTTGGGAGGATCACTTGAGCCCAGAAGATTGAGGCTGCAGTAAGCCGTGATCGTGCCACTGCATTCCAGCCTGGGCAACAGAGCGAGACACTGTCTCAAATAAAAAAGATGGGAATAGTAGACACTGGGGGCTCCAGAAGGAGGGAGGGAGGGAGGAAGGGGAGGAAGGGCTGAAATGCTTTCTATTGGATACTATCTGGGCATATTACTTCCTGTGGTTCACTGTCTGGGTGACAGGATTCATAGAAGCCCAAACTTTAGCACCACGCAGCATACCCTTGTAACAAAGCCGCACACGTACGCCCTCAAGCTAAAACAAAAGTGGACCGGGAGGCCGAGGTCGGGGGATCATGAGGTCAGGAGTTTGAGACCAGCCTGGCAGATAACGGTGAAACCCCGTCTCTACTAAAAATACCAAAAAAAGTTAGCCGGACATGGTGGCAGGTGCCTGTAGTCCCAGCTACTTGGGAGGCTGGGGCAGAAGAATCGCTTGAACCCAGGAGGCGGAGGTTGCAGTGAGCCGAGATTGCGCCACTGCACTCCAGCCTGTGCGACAGAGTGAGACTCCGTCTCAAAAAAAAAAAAAAAAAAAAAAGTGGAAAAAAAAGAAACAACGTGTAGATCCTCGAGAACTGTGGCCGACTGGGTGTGTTCCGTAGACACGCTGTTGGCATTTTTCTTACTGATTTGAGTTTTCTCACCAGCAGAGAACAGCTGACGGTCTTTCCATAAGTGCTTCTAAGAGAGATGTGTGGTACCCCGGGCTAAGTAGACAGCAACTGAGCCCTCCCTCCCACCCCAGGGCTCCCAGAGCAACAGGGAGCAGGGAGCATAGGACCTGGCCGCAGCCAGGAATCTACACTGACCGGCTCAGCCCATGAAGTATCTTGGGCTGAAGTCACAGGATGAGACTGTTTGTATCTGTAACTGTCCTTGTCATCTGTCTTGCAGATTTAGAAGAGGAATCAGAAAGCTGGGACAACTCTGAGGCTGAAGAGGAGGAGAAAGCCCCTGTGTTGCCAGAGAGTACAGAAGGGCGGGAGCTGACCCAGGGCCCGGCAGAGTCCTCCTCTCTCTCAGGCTGTGGGAGCTGGCAGCCCCGGAAGCTGCCAGTCTTCAAGTCCCTCCGGCACATGAGGCAGGTAGGCGGCAGGGGCACAGCGCATCAGGAGCTCAGGAGGAGAGCCAGTCATGGGCTGTCCCTGCCCACACGCCTTGCCTCTGGACCCTCCACCTTCAAAACCCTGCAGGAAGTGACTGACAGCCTCCTCGGTGGGTGGCTGAGGGCACAGGGCGTTGGGGGTATTAGCCATAGGATCAGTGCTCCCCTTTCAGTGATGACCTAAGTATCTTCAAAGAAAAGCCCAGATAGTTGGCATCCCATGGTCCTCTAATCCTCTAAGAAGCTCCTAAAGGCATTGAACAGCACTGTAATTGGTTTGGATGCAGCCTGGACCCTGCCCATTGTAAGTGATGGTCTGGCTGGGCGTGGTGGCTCTCACCTGTAATCCCAGCACTTTGGGAGGCCAAGGGGGAGCGGATCACGAGGTCAGGAGTTCGAGACCAGCCTGGCCAACATGGTGAAACCCCATCTCTATTAATACAAAAATTAGCTGGGCATGGTGGCATGTGCCTGTAGTCCCAGCTACTTGGAGGCTGAGGCAGGAGAATCGCTTGAACCTGGGAGGTGGAGGTTAACAGTGAGCCAAGATGGCACCACTGCACTCCAGACTGGTGACAGAGCGAGACTCCATCTCAAAAAAAAAAAAAAAAAGAAAGTGATGGTCATTCTTACAAAAAATTAGGAACAACTTGCATATCAAACCATACTAGTAAACAGTAGCCAAACCATGGAATATGATTAATTAGAAGAAATAAAGCAGGCACTGTGTGTTCAGGGTGATGTATGTACATGTGTGCCTGCCAGACACGACAAAATCTAACAGTGTTGTCTCCAGTTACATCGAGTCAGATGCCGGGAGAGAGGGGTGTGGGTTGCTGGATTACAAGGGCAGGCTGCCTTCTTATAAAATTCTTCTGCATGAATTTTTCCAATGAGCACTGATTCATTAGAAGAGAGTTATTTGTTTTTGAAAATGGAGTGAGACTGATTTCATGGCAGATGTCCTTGGGGCTTCTGGATGTAAACACCCATTCCATCAAAATCCTGCATTTGGCTGAAACCTTCCTTGTCCGTTGCTTATGTTGATGAAGGTTGGAAGGGGTCTGGAATTCCTCTGGAGGTGGGACTACTTTGAGGCTGTTGGGGTTTGGTGAGACATAGTATTGTGGCCTCTCTCTTATGTTGTGTTTCAAAGCTGGGTTTGGCTTCTTAGAAGCCGTGAGACAGCAGGCTGGACTCTCCTAAGGTGTCAATGTCATGGAAGTTAATAACAGGTGGGGTGTGGGGAGAGGCTGTTCTAGGTTAAAGAATAAGGACGTGACAACTAAAAGCCATGATGGGTCCTGTAGTATCTCCTGGATCCAAAGAACAGCAGCCGTCAAGCAGGCAGCAGCCCTGGGCTTGTGCACACGGCTGGATGTCAGATGCGTCCGTCCAGGCACTCCTGGCTGCAGTCATGGTCTCAGCTGTGGAGATGCCCTTATTCTCCTGGGTGCTGCCATGTCGAGGGCCCTACAGCTTGCTTTCAAATGGTTCAGCAGAAAGTGTCTGTAGAGAGAAGGTGAATATTGCACAAAGTTAACATCTTTTTGCTTCAAATTTTTAAAAACAAAACTGGGAGAAAGATCTTGGAGCAAGAGCTTTGGAATCTAGCATTTATGTGCAAACCTGGAACTTCTCTCTCTGCCCCTTTAACCCTGGGCCGGGCACCCGCCTCCCTGAGAAGATAAGTGTCTTTCTCCTGAGCCCTGTCTTTGCTCTACAAAGTTTTATGAACACACAAATAACTTCATGGGAAGGGAGAGAAAAACCATTTCTACTAGTCACGCTGAAAGCACTGCACTCTCTTGTTTAGGTCCTGGGTGCCCCTTCTTTCCGCATGCTGGCCTGGCACGTTCTCATGGGGAACCAGGTGATCTGGAAAAGCAGAGACGTGGACCTCGTCCAGTCAGCTTTTGAAGTACTTCGGGTGAGAACATCTTTTCCTTAGGTGTGCGGCGCAGGGCAGTATTGGCCTGGTGCCTGGCGTCAGGTGGGGATGCCAAGGTGCACCGACTGCCCAGCACAGAACCGCTGTGCACCACACGGTCTCCACTGGGGGCGCAGTGGGCACGGAGACCCGGGTCTGGTCTGATGATGTTTAAATCATCAGAAGGATGCGTGTGCCTGCTGACTGCCCAGGCCTGAGAGGGAACAAAAATGCATATGACACAGTCTTGGTAAAAGCTTCTTTGTGGGATGCGGTAGGAGACAAACATCTGTGCAGGCAAACATTAATATGAGTTAACACCACAGAGCGAGGGGCGGTACAAGCTGGTGTGTGACTGGCGGTCCAGACAAGAGTTAGGGACCTGGTGGTGGAGGACCCTCCCCCCTCACCCCCACTGTGGGCTGAGAGTCTGGGGACTCCTCTGGCAGGAGGGAGGGCTTGGACCGGGCTGCAGGAGGCGTGTGGGGTTTGGGTAGTAGAGCATGGATGGCCGGGGCTGAGGGCTTCCTCGTGTCCTTGGTCTGAGTCCTGCTGTCCTCCTCAGACCATGCTTCCCGTGGGCTGCGTCCGCATCATCCCATACAGCAGCCAGTACGAGGAGGCCTATCGGTGCAACTTCCTGGGGCTCAGCCCGCACGTGCAGATCCCCCCCCACGTGCTCTCCTCAGGTGCGTGCCCCCGCGGGCTGTGGGGCCATGCCCTGCGCTGAGGTTCCCCACGCCTCAGGCCCAAAGTGGAACCAGATCTCTGTCATGGGTTGTGGAGAGGAGGCCTCATTGCAGGGCCAGCTTCCCCCATGGCTCTGGGCCTCCGTGTTCTATCTTCACACAGGTAGCGGTGGGTGAGTGGACCTGATGGGAAGGTTGGCTGGCAGGGACTGTCGTCAGTGGGCTGCAGGTCACCATCGTGGGGTGGGAGGATGTGTCCCTGGCCGGAGGATCCTGGTCGTCCTGGTGATTGGGTGCCTATGAGATGGAGGCCTGCTGAATGCTGGGTGTGAGCTGCCTGCTTCTGTGGGCCCTGCCATCCTCTCCTCACTCTTCTACTGTTCCCCTGTCCTGACTTCTGCTCTCCTCCAGCCTTTTTCTTCACCTCATGTGCCCGAGGTCTTCCCGGCCTTCACTGGTGTGGTCAGGGCTCAGCAAACCCCTGGTCTTTTGGTTTGGGGATGTCCAGGGATCAGCCCCCCAGGCTCATCAGTGACTTCCCCCAGCACAGCGGTGACCAGCAGCTGCTGACTCATGGTCCGAGTGGAGCTACCCTGAGCCCCCAATCAGCACCCAGGCTGGGTCCTGACTCCCTGCGAGGCAGTGCCTTTTTTCCGGGTAGCATTGGAAACACAGGCTCTGGTTTCAAACAGACTTCAAATTCTTACCACTACGAGCAGGTTATTTAACGTCTCCAGGCCTGTTTCCCCATCTGTAGAATAGGGTCATGGTGAGACCACCCTCATAGGGCTGCTTAGCCAGAGGTAAATTGATGTATATAAAGTACTTTGTGATTATTGTAATATAATAAATTATTAGTTTAACTGAGGCAAAAGTTAACCCTTAACTATTCACGAATAACCTGAAAGGTTTTAAATACCAAAGCATTGATTTGGGCCAGTCTTTTCACCAGCAGCCTTCCCCACTGACCTGGGATGAGCGGAGTGGGGCCCACGGTGGGCTAGCGCAGGGGAGGTGAGGAGCATGGGGGAGATGAGGAGCCACGGGCCTTGTGTTGTTACAGAGTTTGCTGTCATCGTGGAGGTCCACGCAGCCGCACGTTCCACCCTCCACCCTGTGGGGTGTGAGGATGACCAGTCTCTCAGCAAGTACGAGTTTGTGGTGACCAGTGGGAGCCCTGTAGCTGCAGACCGAGGTGGGTGCCCCCAGGCAGAGTGTCCTTTTTGTGAGAAGATGCCCCCGCCCCGCGCTAACGCCTGCCCTTGCTCTGCCCCTGCCCTTCTCCCCAGTGGGCCCCACCATCCTGAATAAGATTGAAGCGGCTCTGACCAACCAGAACCTGTCTGTGGATGTGGTGGACCAGTGCCTCGTCTGCCTCAAGGAGGAGTGGATGAAGTAAGCAACAGTGTGGGTGAGGCCCCTTTGCTTGCGACCCTGGAGAAAACCTGGAGCTGTTTCCAAAAGAGGAGCTGGGCCGTGGCCACTGAGGGAGGAGCCGAGAGAAGAGGTTGGGGGCGGGGTTCCAACTCCACGTCCGCCACTGCAAAGCTCAGGTGGCCTCGGGAGGCGGTCATCATGTCTGCCTCCGGCTCCTGCATGGGGAGGTGGGGGTGGCGCCTGCCTTGGAGAGCGACTGAGGCTTGGGCAAGGGCTCCAAGCTCACAGGAGGGTTCATAATGGAAGCTCTGTCATCTGCTGTGCAATTAACTTCAAAACCTAAAAGCCCAGTAACCCATGCCCCACCCCGCTTTTTATTTTATTTTATTTTTATTTTTTATTTTTTTTGAGTCAGAGTTTGGCTCTTGTTGCCCAGGCTGGAGTGCAATGGCATGATCTTGGCTCACCACAACCTCCGCCTCCCGGGTTCAAGCGATTCTTCTGCCTCAGCCTCTGGAGTAGCTGGGATTACAGGCACCCACCACCATGCCTGGCTAATATTTGTATTTTTAGTAGAGACAGGGTTTTAGCATGTTGGCCAGGCTGGTCTTGAACTCCTGACTTCGTGATCCGCCCACCTTGGCCTCCCAAAGTGCTGGGATTACAGGCGTGAGCCACTGCACCTGGCCCCCCGGGTTTTTTTTTTTGTAAGCAAATTTACTTTATTTCCTCCTGCCTCGATTCTTGGTAATTTTTTGGGTCAAATTTATTAATCAAACATTGTCCTGATTTAAAATCATGCAGTGAAGCTTAGGAGCAACCAGTGTCTTCCACGAGTTTAAGGAAGGTTTTTCTTTCTTCTTGGCGTCTTGACAACAGCTTGAGGGAGGGTGTGGGAAGCGCACAGGCCCCATACCCATACCCGACAGAGGGCCGAGCCCAGCCCCGACAGCTTCCCTTCCTTGCTGGGACACAGCTCCTTTCAGCAGTTCAGGGGCCAAGCCTGCTGCCCCAAGGGTGTGGATTCCAGCTCTGCCTGCACAGCTCCTGCTGGTGCCAAAGCCGTGTCACCCCTGGTTGGCCCCGTGACCAGGGCTCGAGGGATTGTGCTGTGGTGTCTGAGTGTTTTGTTTTGGTTTTCTTCAGCAAAGTGAAGGTGCTTTTTAAGTTCACCAAGGTGGACAGTCGACCCAAAGAGGACACACAGAAGCTGCTGAGCATCCTGGGTGCGTCCGAGGAGGACAATGTCAAGCTGCTGAAGTTCTGGATGACTGGCCTGAGCAAGACCTACAAGTCACACCTCATGTCCACGGTCCGCAGCCCCACAGCCTCGGAGTCTCGGAACTGACCCGTCACACACACCTGCCTAAAGACAGGGATGGCTGTCCACAGGATCCTCCAGCCCCGTGAGAGGGACTGTCCCTTGAGTTTCTCAACTGCTGGAAGGAGCTGTGTCCCAGCAAGGAAGGGAAACCATCAGGGCTGGGCTCGGCCCTGTCAGGTTTGGGGCCTGTGTGCTTCCCAGACTCTCCCTCCAGCCGTTGGAATCGCTGAAGATGGCAATGAAAGGCGGAGGGATGATGGGCTCTCTCTGTGTTCAAACTCCTTGGAGAGACGACTAGGAGGACAGCTTGCCTCCCAGGCCCCTTGTGGACTTAGACTCAAAACCCGCAGGAGAAACAGGTCCGACTCAGTATGCAGTCGCAATAACATGTCTGCTCCCGAGGTTAACATTCAAGCGTTTCTACTTTGAAATTCAGCAAGAGTTTCTGGGCCTTATGTTTGAGGGTACCTTTTGCTGCAGTTGTGAATATTCAGTACATTGCCAGCTCTTGGTCACTGAGTGATTGAGTTAGGGCTCCGCAAGAGACTTTGGGGAGTGAAGTGGATCTCTTCCTCATCTTTTGGTCCTCTGAAATGTGTGTTCTGAAGCCATGGGGCTCGTCTTCTGGGGTGTTCCCCTGCAGGTGCTGGTGAAGGTAACCTGGGGCTTAATGATGGAGTCCCTGATCATTTTTGCACAAGACAGGTTGCTGAGGGGTCGGCAAGCATCTGACTTGCCCAATCCCCTGGATATGGTGAGCCCCGCCATGCTTTTATTCTGTATCGCTTTTGTCTTTATTGCTGCTTTCAACATTTACGTTTGGTTACAGTTAACTATTTTCGGAGTGTGGTGATTGAAGACAATTTCATCATCCCACTGTACTTTTTTTTTTGAGAGGGAGTTTCACTCTTGTTGCCCAGGCTGGAGTGCAATGGCACGATCTTGGCTCACTGCAACCTCTGCCTCCTGGGTTCAAGCAATTCTCCTGCCTCAGCCTCCAGAGTAGCTGGAACTACAGGTGCCCGCCACTATGCCCAGCTAATTTTTGTATTTTTTAGTAGAGACGGGGTTTCACCGTGTTGGCCGGGCTGGTCTCAAACTCCTGACCTCAGGTGATCCACCCACCTCAGCCTCCCAAAGTGCTGGGATTACAAGCGTGAGCCACTGTGCCTGGCCCTTTTTTTTTTTTTTTTTTTTTTTTTTAAAGAGATGGCATCTTGCTATGTCGTCCAGGCTGGTCTTGAACTCCTGAGTTCAAGCAGTCCTCCTGCTTCAACATACAGCTACAGGTACCCCCCACTATACATTTTTAATAAGGATTCATGGCTCAGAGGGATTTTCTGATGGTTTTGCTGATTTGTTTCTAGTTTTTTTGTGTTTATATTTAACATGAAGACCAAGTTTATATAACTAGGTATCTGTATAATGCAACAACATTGGAACACAATAAAGATGTATTTTTGTAAATTGTTACTACATGGTTTTATTGGTTTGATGCCTACTATTTATTTGCGCTCAGGCACAGGAAATACTATGGTTAAAAAATACCAGTGAGTCAGCCGGGCGCAGTGGCTCATGCCTGTAATCTCAGCACTTTGGGAGGCTGAGGCAGGCGGATCACGAGGTCAGGAGATCGACACCATCCTGGCTAATACGGTGAAACCCTGTCTGTACTAAAAATATAAAAAATTAGCCAGGCATGGTGACAGATGCCTGTAGTCCCAGCTACTCAGGAAGCTGAGGCAGGAGAATCACTTGAACCCGGGAGGCAGAGGTTGCAGTGAGCCAAGATCACACCACTGCACTCCAGCCTGGGCAACAGAGTGAGACTCCATCTCAAAAAACAAAACAAAATACCAGTGAGTGGCCAATTCGCACAGTTAAGCTGCTATAATGATCGTAGACAATCTTCTCCAAGTTAGTCGTTGGAGTTGGTGTTGGAGAGAAGCAAACACTCATTTATCCCAAGGACATCTGTTGAGTACCTATGCCCATGTGCTTTTCATTTTGTTCAGCATTAGAAATGGCTCATCCCTTAATAATGATGATATTTAAAAGACATGTCCATCTGAGAGGAAGATGGCTGGAATCACCCTGGGTGACCGTGGCAATCCCTAAAACAGCAGGTTCACGGTTTAGTCATCTACCTCGAGTGGGAGGGGACCCCCTGGCCAATGTGGGTCAAGGGAGAGATGACCACCCACTGTCCTCCCCGGCTTCGGGTACAGATTCCTGTCTTTCTCTCGTGCATGGCATTCCTGGGAACGTGGTTCTATGCTCAGTTTTTGCCAGTTGTCTGCCAGTCTAGTGGCTGAATCCACTTGGCAAGTAGGAGCCCAGTGTAAGTTAGCTCTGCATTCACTTCAGGGGCATGTGTGACCTGGATTTCCCATGTCTAACAGAGCTTGCTGGCGAGGGGGCAGGCAAGGCCCTATGCCGACTGGTGGTTTTGTTTTTGTTTTTGTTTTTTGAGACAGAGTCTTGCTCCGTTGCCAGGCTGTAGTGCAGTGGTGTGATCTCGGCTCACTGCAAGCTCCGACTCCCTGGTTCAAGCAATTCAGCCTCAGCCTCCCGAGTAACTGGGATTACAGGTACATGCCACCACACCCGGCTAATTTTTGTATTTTTAGTAGAGATGGGGTTTCATCATGTTGGCCAGACTGGTCTCGAACTCCTGACCTCGTGATCCGCCCGCCTCGGCCTCCTAAAGTGCTGGAATTAGAGGGGTGAGCCACCGCACCCAGCTGCCAACTGGTGTTTCTAGGCAGCTGTGGGCTTTTTCTCCCCACAGGCATGCAGTTCTTGAAGATTTTTCCTATTGGTCATGAGTGCAGAAGAGCAGGAGGCTGAGCTGAACCTATGCCAGCCCAAGACCAGGCCAGACTCTGCTGTCCTTGTGAGGGAATAGGGGTTCCTGATTTTGTAGCTTTTCACAAAATGGAAGAGACAGAAAACAAGTTCCAGATCTTGAACCTTCCCCATGTGTTTGAAGGCAGTCAAGGGTTTCCTGATTTTACATTCAAGATACTTACACTCAGGGCCGGGCATGGTGGCTCACGCCTGTAATCCCAGCACTTTGGGAGGCCGAGGCAGGAGGATCACCTGAGCCCAGGAGTTTGATACCAGCCTGGCCAACATGGTGAAACCCCGTCTCTACTAAAAATACAAAAAAAAAAATTAGCCAGGCTGGTGGTGTACGCCTGTAGTCCCAGCTACTCAGGAGGCTGAGGCAGGAGAATCACTTGAGCTCTTATATATTGTGGAAATTAACCCCTTATCTGATAATATAGTTTGTATAAGCTTTTAAAAAATAAATTGTATATATTTAAGGTATACGACATGATGTTAATGACATACACACACATATTAAAATGGTTATTATAGCCAGGCACTGTGGCTCACACCTGTAATCCCAGCACTTTGGGAGGCCAAGGTGGGCGGATCACCTGAGGTCAGGTGTTCGAGACCAGCCTGGCCAACATGGTGAACTCCCATCTCTACTAAAAGTACAAAAATTAGCTAGGCGTGGTGTCAGGCACCTGTAATCCCAGCTGCTCAGGAGGCTGAGGCAGGAGAATCGCTTGAACCAGGGAGGTGGAGGTTGCAGTGAGCTGAGATGGCCCCATGGCACTCCTGTCTGGGCAGCAAAGCGAGACTCTGTCTCAAAAAATAAAAAATAAACACAAACGGCCAGGCACGGTGGCTCACACCTGTAATCCCAGCACTTTGGGAGGCCAAGGTGGGCGGATCACCTGATGTGAGGTGTTCGAGACCAGCCTGGCCAACATGGTGAAACCCCGTCTCCACTAAACATACAAAAATTAGCCGGGCGTGGTGGTGGGTGCCTGTAATCCCAGCTACTCTGGAGGCTGAGGCAGGAGAATTGCTTGAATCTGGGAGACGGAGGTTGCCGTGAGCCAAGATCACGTCACTGCTGACAGAGCAAGACTCCATCTGAAAAATAAATGAATAAAAAACTAGGCCGGGCACGGTGGCTCACGCCTGTAATCCCAGCACTTTGGGAGGCCGAGGAGGGCAGATAGTGAGGTCAGGAGATCGAGACCATCCTGGCTAACATAGTGAAACCCCATCTCTACTAAAAATACGAAAAATTAGCTGGGCGTGGTGGCGGGCACCTGTAGTCCCAGCTACTTGGGAGGCTGAGGCAGGAGAATGGCGTGAACCTGGGAGGCAGAGCTTGCAAAGTGAGCTGAGATCGCACCACTGCACTCCAGCCTGGGCAACAGAGCAAGACTCCGTCTCAAATAAATAAATAAATAAATAAACTAATAACTAAATGTTGTAACACAAAAGAGGATAAATGCTTAAGGTGATGGATATCCTGTTTACCCTGATGTGATTATTACAAATTGCATGTCTGTACCAAAATATCTCATGTACCCGATAAATATATATACCTACTATATACCGACAAAGTTAAAAATAGAAACTGGAAGACAAAAAATAAATAAAAATCAAATAAAGCTTCTCATTTTGTTGTCTGCCTTTGGTAGATTTCCAGCCCTGAAGTGGCTGTTTTTGAAAACTGTTTTCCCCCAGTTTTATTTTTGTTTATCCCTCTCTGGAGGGATTTGAGTCCTTCTTTATACCTCCACAACTCCAAGTCCCTCCTCTCATTATCGTTTTAGATGAGGAAAGTGAAGCTCAGAAGAGATGAATCAATTTGCCCTAGACCATGCAGCTAGGAAGCCTGGGAGCCAGCACTAAACTCAAGTGTTCTTTTTCTTTGTTAAGAATTTTATTCGCCAGGCACGGTGGCTCACACCTGTAATTCCAGCACTTTGGGAGGCCGAGGCAGGCTGATCACGAGGTCAGGCGATCGAGACCATCCTAGCTAACACGATGAAACCCCGTCTCTACTAAAAATACAAAAACAAAAATTTAGCCGATGTGGTGGTGTGCATTTGTAGTCCCAGCTACTTGGGAGGCTGAGGCAGGAGAATTGCTTGAACCCAGGAGGTGAAGGTTGCAGTGAGCCGAGATCGTGCCACTGCACTCCAGACTGGGCGACAGAGCGAGACTTCATCTCAAAAAAAAAAAAAAGAAGGCCGGGTGCGGTGGCTCACGCCTGTAATCCCAGCACTTTGGGAGGCCGAGGCAGGTGGATCACGAGGTCAGGAGTTCGAGACCAGCACGGCCAAGATGGTGAAACCCCATCTCTACTAAAAATACAAAAATTAGCCGGGTGTGGTGGTGGGCGCCTGTAATCCCAGCTGCTCGGGAGGCTGACGCAGAGACTCACTTGAACCCCGGAGGCAGAGGTTGCAGTGAGCCGAGATCGCACCACTGCACACCAGCCTGGGCGAAAGAACGAGGCTCCGTCTTAAAAAAAAAAAAAAGAATTTTATTGACATAATCACTGACATACATTTTTAGTTATTTACACCATACAATTTGACATATGTATATACCTGTGAAACCACCACAGTCAACCCGATAAGCACACATCCATCACTCCACTTCCTTGTGGCTTTGTTGGCCTCCAGGCTACACTGGTCTGCTTTCCCTCAATCTAGTTTGCATTTTCTAGAATTTTATGTAAATGGAATCATACAGTATGTACTCTTTTTGTCTGGCTTTTCCCACTCAATATTAATGAAATTCATCCACGTCGTAGCACATGTGAGTACTGTTTTTTTTTTTTTTTGGTGGGGGGGGGATAGGGTCTTGCTGTGTCACCCAGGCTGGAGTGCAATGGCATGATCTTGGCTCACTGCAACCTTAGTCTCCAGAGCTCAAGCGATTCTCCCACCTCAGCCTCCCGAGTAGCTGGGATCACAGGCACGTCAGCGCACTCAGCTAATTTTTGTATTTTTTGGTAGAGACAGTGTTTCACCATGTTGGCCAAGCTGGTTTCGAATTCCCGAACTCAAGCTGTCCTCCTGCCTCAGCCTCCCAAAGTTCTGGGATAACAGGCATGAACCACCGTGCCAGGCCACTTCATTCTATTTTATTGCTAAATAGCATTCCCTTGTACAGATATACAAAAGCTTATTTACCTGTTTACCTGCTGACGCCTTTTTGGGTTGTTCTAGGCACATACGCCTGCCAGGACACGTGCTTGTGTTAATGGATCCCGCCCTTTCTCCTAGGAGTGGGATAGCTGGATCATATGGAAGGTGCAAGTTTAATATTTTAATAAACTTTTAATTTAGAATAATTTGCTTTACAGAAAAGTTTCGAATATAGAACAGAGAGATCCATTTACCCCCACGCAGCTTCCTTTGTTAACCTTTTACATTCCTTTCATACATTTGTCAAAGCTAAGAAACTGACATTGGTACAATGCGATTAAGCTCCAGACTTTATTTGGCTCTCACCAGTTTTTCCGTGAATGTCTTCTTTCGGTTCCAGGATCCAGCCCAGACCACCACATTGCCCCGTTTCCCTATGCCCCCGGCCCAGTGCCCTCGGCTGCCTTAGTCTCTTCCTCTGTTTATGCTTAAAGCAGGGCAGGCCTTCCAACAACGCCGGCTGGAAAAAACCTCTTGGGCTAGGAAAAAACCTCTGGGCCGACACCGCCTCCAGTATGCTGGGTTCCAATGCTGCCTCCAGCTGTGTTGATTCCCTGATTATCTGTGTTCCCAGGTCATTCCCCAGCCCAGCCTAGCTGCTCCCGAGAAGACAGTGAAGGTGTGACCCCACATTTCCAGAGCAGCTCTGCTGTGCTCCATGCGAGGAAAGCCGGGGTTGCTGTGGCTTCTAGCGCGGAGAGCGGTCTCTGGCCTGGGCAGGTGACGGGTGTGCTAGGGCCCGTGGCCCGCGGGTGTGCAGGTGCTGCCTGGTGGCGCGGGCTTGGGGACGTGGCTTGGCACGTGGTGGGAGGTGGAACCTGGAGGGCGTGGCCGAGCGCCTGGCTGGAAGGAAAATGGGGGGCACAGCCTGGCGTTGGGGGGTGGAGGGTGTCTGTGGCAGGGGGCGTGGCCTGGCGCGTGGAGGGAGGCGTGGTCACCTGTTGAGGGTTGGGGGCGGGCTGATGGGAGGCGTGGGTTCAGCTTGGTGCGTGACAGTTGTGGGGGCATGGCGCGGCCTAGCGCGTGGCCCTCGGGGGCTGAGGGCGTGACCTTGCACGTGGCCGTTGGTGGGGCGTGACGGGGGCGTGGCCTGGCGTGTGGCCATGGGTGCTGGGCGTGGCCTGGCACGTGGCCTGGCACGTGGCCGTTGGCGCTGCGTGACGGGGGCGTGGCCTGGTGCGTGGCAATTGGCAGGACGTGATAGGGCGTGGCCTGGCGCGTGGCCATGGGGGGCTGGGCGTGGCCTGGCACATGGCCGCTGGCGGCGCGTGACGGGGGCGTGGCCTGGCGGTCTAGGGCTGGGGGCGCGCAGACTCCGCTGCGGCGGCGTGGCTGTGGGTCCCGGATTAGCGGCGGCATGGGACGGTTGAGTTGGCAGGTGGCGGCCGCGGCGGCTGTGGGCCTGGCTCTGACTCTGGAGGCGCTGCCTTGGGTGCTGCGCTGGCTGCGGTCCAGGCGGCGGCGGCCGCGGCGCGAGGCGCTGTTCTTCCCGTCTCAGGTGACCTGTACCGAGGCCCTGCTGCGGGCTCCGGGCGCGGAGCTGGCCGAGCTCCCCGAGGGCTGCCCGTGCGGCCTGCCCCACGGCGAGAGCGCGCTAAGCCGCCTGCTGCGTGCCCTGCTGGCCGCCCGCGCCAGCCTGGATCTCTGCCTGTTCGCCTTCTCCAGCCCGCAGCTGGGCCGCGCCGTGCAGTTGCTGCACCAGCGTGGGGTGCGAGTGCGGGTCGTCACCGACTGCGACTACATGGCCCTCAACGGCTCGCAAATCGGTCTGCTGCGCAAGGCAGGTAGGCCCGGCGGGGTCCAAGCGGAGAAGGCCGGCTTGGCCCACGCGGGGTCCTAGGCGCAAAGGTGGACACTTAGGGGAGGGGGTCTGGGGACGGGCTGAGGCCTCATTTACTTTCCTCGTGGCCTTGTGGGGTCGGGGTGGTGTAACGCGGAGAAAGCAGAGCCCCCACAGAAGGTCTAGCCGGCTGCGTGGGCATAAGCGAGCCGGACCCTCGGTGCCTCCGCGGTGGGGGCGGTTCTCTCAGTGAACTGTCCCGGCATGCTGGAAGCAGGTGGGCCTGCGTGTGCCGGGTTAGAGGCGGAGCAGATTCCCCTAGCAACTCCTCGGGCGCCGCCGGCGGAGTTTTCGTGACTGCTGCAGCCCGGGCCCGCCCTCCTACGCTGCCGGAGATCCCCGGACGGCCTCTGGTAACCTGGATCCTGGTGGCAGGGGAGCTGGACGCCAGGGTTGTGCTTGGACTTCCAGACTGAAGGGCTCTGGGGAGAGGCGGCCACCTGCTGCCCAGTGAATCTCAGGCCACTGGGCTCTGGGAGACCTGAACATGTTCTAGAAAGCAGCGCCAGGACATTCGGTTGTTTTCCCAGCTGCAAAAGGAGGGGAACACATATTTCTGGCGGGGGCGCCTCTCTCATGGGGTGGGGACAGAAGGGACCAGGAAATGTGAATAATTGGGATCCTTGTCCCACCTGAGGATTCTCAGTCCATCCTGGCCCAGTTCGGCGGCCCAGCCTGCTGTTGCCTTTTGTGTATCTGCACTCACAGACTCTTGGGCCTGTCTCTGTCTCCATCACTCAGGCACCCAGAAAGTCACGCCTGCACGTGCAACGGTTGGATCTGATAATACTGGTGGTCGCAGTGACCGAGAGATGTGTGGAGCCCTGGGAATTGTCCAGGCTGGGCAGTGGTCACCGCCGCGCTGTTCCTTCTGCACAGCCATAGCCTCTTGTTGACTTGGGCCTCAGAGCAGCCTCTCCAGAGTCAGCCAGGGTCCCTCCCTGCTCTGGGTGGTGTGGGGCATGTTGCACGCCATGTGGGAGCAGAGTGGGGCACGTGGTTTTCATATTGAGGATGTCTCCTTCTCTTTGGGGCAGCCACAAGAGCTGTCCTCCCATGTGTTGGTCATTTTAACGGGAGGTTTGGGGACCTCCAGGCATGCACAGTACAGTTCTGTTTGAGTTGCTTTTACAGTCGTAGAAGCTGAGGTTGGTGAAGACCCTTCAAGGGCCCCTAGACCAAGGTCCCATCGGATCCCCTCTGGGATGGCCTCCCAGCATCCTCGCTGACTTCGAGGCTGTCCAGTGGCATTCACTGTTCAAGGAATGTCCCCTCTGTGCCAGTATTTGTGAGGAGCTGGAACATCCTAGGGCACAAGGGCACAAGGCCAGGTTGCCACGGAGATGCCAACTAAGTCATGAATATTTCATTTAGGGCACTGAGAAGGGCCAAGAAAACTTCATAAAGCAGGGTAAGGAGGCAGTGGTGTGGGAGGAAGTGGCGTGGGCCAGGTCAGCTGCCCAGGGGCAGTGACACTCAGGGCAGGGACCTTGCTGACACCAGTGGACTGTTCGGAGGGAGAGGCATGCGGCTGGAAGGGGCAGCAGCACAGTCGCCCTGGGTCACAGACTGACTTCCTTTTGAGGAAGGGCAGGAAGTCCCCTGTGGCCAGAGGTGGCAGGCCGCGGGGAGGGGACGGGGAGGTGGGCAGTGGATCCCAGCGGAGGCAGGAGGTGTGGGCGATGGTGGGGTTTTACATTGCCCACCGTGTGGAGGAATGTGTTTGGAGGGCTGTGCCGACAGGACGTGCCAGAGGAGTGGCCAGAGTGTGAGAAGAAGGGCTGGCTCCTCGAGGTAAGGAAGCCACCACGTCTTCATCCTGCCAGGCCCAATTTAGGGGGCACAATTAAATATGAGTTCCATGCACAGGGAGTGATTTTTAGGGTATGTTCCCAGTACTCCATGGGACACACTTCCCTTCAAAGATTACTCTTTATCTGAAATTCCATTTAACTTGGATGTTCTGTATTTTGATTCGGAAAATCTGGCAACTGTGTTCCATGGCAGCCTGTTTAAAACTTCTTTTAAGCCCCATTTCTGACGGCCTCATTCCTTAAGCAGGTCGTGAGTGAGGCAGTGTTATTCCAGGGGAGACAGACACAGGCCCTTCCCAAGAGGAGTTTGAAAGCTGGGAAGAGCAGAGGCCGGGATGCCTGGTTCTTTGGTGAAGGAAGCAGGGGGGTGCGGAAGAGGAGAATTCATTTGTGCGTTGTTAGTTAGGGCCCTTCCTGCCTTGGTGGCCGAGGTTGTGCCAGCAAATTGGGCTCTGCTCTCAGACGCCGGGGCCTCTCTGGGCAGAGTGGGCACGCTCTCAGCCTTAGCTGTGGAAGAGTCAGAACCTGAAGGCTCACACGCTGTCTTTGCCCTGGTCACCTCTGACTGGGTTAGTGACAGCCTTGGCAGCAAGCAGTAACCCCGAAGGGACATACTGGCTGGCATAGACTCGGAGGTGTGGCCTCACCCAGACCACGGCCTGCCCAGTCCCCCATAGCCTGTGTGTGACGCTCTGGCCCTGTGTGTGATGTCCCCTCTGTGGTTCTCAGCGTCCCTCCTGGGAGCTTAGCCGCCACCACTCTGTGAAAGCATGGCGGGCTTTCCTGGCCCACCAAACTGGAAACATATAGTAAAGCCAGTAGCCCCCAGGAACAGTCCACACTGGGGGCGGGACTCCTGCATGGAATGAAATCACCTTGTCCTTTCTGCAGGGATCCAGGTCCGGCACGATCAAGACCCAGGCTACATGCATCACAAGTTTGCCATCGTGGACAAGAGGGTGCTCATCACTGGCTCGCTCAACTGGACCACGCAAGCCATCCAGAACAACAGGGAGAATGTTCTCATCACGGAGGACGACGAGTACGTGCGGCTTTTTCTGGAAGAATTTGAGCGCATCTGGGAACAGTTTAACCCTACAAAGTATACCTTTTTCCCACCAAAGAAAAGTCACGGAAGCTGTGCCCCACCTGTCTCCAGAGCTGGAGGGAGATTGCTTTCATGGCACAGAACTTGCGGCACCTCCAGCGAAAGCCAAACCTAACCAAGAATGGGGCTGAGCCCTCCCTGCGGGCTGCTGTGCGTTCTGAGGGAGGGAGACCTCGGCACTAGAAAAAAATCGTTAAACTAAAGTCTCGTCTATTAGAATACTAAATTGAACTAAAGAAGGTTAGGAAAGGGAAATTTCTGTTACTTCGGGTCAGTTATTTCGGGCCAGACCTTTTTCTTGCTCCTTTGCCAAAATAACTTCAGTCACGACCTGCCACGGGGTGCTTTCATGAGTGTGGTCCGTATCTTGGTTTGGAATCGAAACTTCTGCTACAGCACAGAAAAGGCACAGTGCCTCTTCCAGGTCGATCCCATTCCCTTCCCTGATTCTAGAAAAGTCCCTCCTGCTTTGGCTGATGTGGGCCCTTTCAGCATCTCCCTGAGATTTCATCCCTCTCTCCATGTGGCACGACTGGGGTTGGTTGGGGCCTACAGTCTCCTTGTCCCTCACAGTCTGCCCCTGTCAGGGCTCGGTCCTCAGAGTAAGGAAAGGAAATGGAAGTCAGGAGGAAGGGAAGATGTGAGTGTGCGGTGCGGGTGGCAAAAGCAGCCTTCGGGGCAACCCCGTGAGCGTCATTGCCACCAAAGGCTGGCTGTTCCCTTGATTCCTTGCATAATTGCTCTTTAAAACCAGTATGCACGCCAGTGCCAAGCTCTTCAGCAGCCTGTCCTTGGGTAGTAAGTGCTGTGGTCTGTCAGGACTGATGGCCAGCAGCTGTTTCTATGTTGGGCTTTTAACTTTTTTTATTTTATTTATTTATTTATTTATCTTTTTTGAGATGGAGTCTCACTCTGTGGCCCAGGCTGGAGTGCAGTGGCACAACCTCGGCTCACTGCATCCTCTGCCTCCTGGGTTCAAACGATTGTCCTGCCTCAGCCTCCCGAGTAGCTGGGATTACAGGTGCCTGCCACAACACCTGGCTGATTTTTTTTTTGGTATTTTTAGTAGAGACAGGGTTTCACCATGTTGGTTAGGCTGGTCTCAAACTCCTGACCTCAAGTGATCCACCACTTCCGCCTCCCAAAGTGCTGGGATTACAGGTGTGAGCCGCCATGCCCGGCCGGGCTTTTAACTTTTAATGTCCTAATGTTAAGGTAATTTTGTTGTGTGTTTAGAAGTGACCTTACCTTTAACACCTGTGGAGTTAGTGCGTGCACATTGCTGGCTCAGCGTAACCCATCACGGGACCGGAGGAGAGGAGAGCGGGGAAGAGGAGAGCAGCTTCAGGCCGTGGTGTCTCCCACGTCTGTGTTCTTATTTGCAGCTCAGGGTTTGCATTCCCAGGTAGAACAGGTGTCGTACACTGTGAAATGTTCCAGGTTATTTGTTTATAATGTGTGTGTCATATACAGATAGCTCCGATGACATCTGAAGTTGTGACTTCATCATCTTGTCATATTTCTGTATGATGAGCCCCAGGGCCCATCCTGAGGTCTGCTAGCCATGTGCTTAGTCTCACCTCCCCAGCCCACGCTGGCATTACCACCCAGAGACCCTTCAGTGCTGTGTGTTTTTCCTTTTTAGGGTTACTTTTGACTCACAGTGTTAGGCAAGCCAGCTTGGAAGTTAACTTTTAAAAAAATTCAATTGAAGCTGTAAAGTATAATATATAGATTGGAAGTCACCAGAAATTGTTTTAGTTTGTGAATTCCCCCAGTGTATGTTCTGAAAAGAAAATGGGAGAGCTTGTAAAGCATCTCCTAAATGCGAAGCCGCGTGACCCTGGACTTCTGGCACATCTGAATAAACATGTTCTTATTCTGGAATGTGAGCGCTGGGTGTCTTTGCCTTAGCTTGCTGCTAAATCATTCAAGTAGGGGCTCCTCTTTGTTAAATATAATTTTGCGGGGGGGGGCAGTATACAGCTATTTAGAAACTGTTGGTCAAAGAACAGGAGACTCAAAGAGGAGTAAAACTTTAAGCTGTTATTTGGGTGAAGGAAATAAGGTATACGGTGGTCCATTTTTAAGACAAAGTGCCTTGAATCGGCTTCGGTCAGCAAACTACGGAAGAAACGGGTTGTACTAGGCCCCTCAGGCTAGCCGATGCCTTATCGGCTTCCCCGCCTGCCCCCTTCCCCCTTCCTTGGTTGCCCTCACCCGAACCAAAAAAGTTTAAAATGAAAGTTTACTGGCCTGCAAAATAGCTCGCTTTGTCTCTTCCTACCAGCTGGCCTAGCTACTTAGGTCATAAGTCAAATACTTGAAGAGCCCCTAAGCAGACTAAGATTGCAATGCACTGTGGGCTGTAACAAAATGCAGCAAGACAACCCTAAAAAAAAAATACCTAAAGCCCCCGCCTAACAACCAATAAGCAATGTCTGGGAAGATTGTAACCCCATAGTACTCAGCCTGTAAGGAAGGAGCCTGCACACTGGGGGATAAATTGCTTGTTGAAACTGTGCTGGGTGTGCCTGCTCATCAGACACCCGATCTTGGAAGACGTTATTAAAAGTATAGAAGATCCTTGGCCCACACGTAAAGACTGCTGTGCCAGTAACAGGCAGGCATGCCCAGGAGACCCTAGAACTGCACGCCGGCCTCTGCTCCAACACCTGAGGCGAGTGATGCTAGAAGGCAGGGGCTCGCTGAAGATGAGGGCTGGGGAGGGGGTTGTGTAGTGTGTGTGTCACCTGAAGCCTCTTTTTGCCTACAAGATTGTCTTGGCTCCTCTCAGAGAGAAACTTTAAAAGAAGTAATAAATTTGCCAAGTAGGCTCAGCAGTCACAAAAGAGGCTCTAGGAAGATTCCCCTCTAATTGCCCTCGTCTCCTGGGATGAGCTTTCATCAGCTTAGTGGTTTGGATTCAATGTTGTTAACTATGCGGGCAGTGATACAGCTTGAAAACGGTGAAACCCCATCTCTACTAAAAATACAAAAATTAGCCGGGCGTGGTGTCGGGCGCCTATAGTCCCAGCTGCTCGGGAGGCTGAGGCAGAATGGTGTGAACCCGGGAGGCCCAGCTTGCAGTGAGCCGAGATCGCCTGGGAGACACAGAGCGAGACTCCGTCTCAAAAAAAGAAAAAAGATCGGTCTGGGCAACATGGCAAAACTCCGTCTCTACTAAAAATACAAAAATTAGCTGGGTGTGGTGGTGTGTACCTGTAATCCCAGCTACTCGGGAGGCTGAAAAAGGAGAATTGCTTGAACCCGGGAGGTGGGGGCTGCAGTGAGCCAAGCTCACACCACTGCACTCCAGCCTGGGTGACAGAGCTTGACTCTGTCTCAAAACAAACAAAAAATTCTGATAGTACCATATGCCCTTAACAGTCTGCCCACACTGTTGAATATTCCTAGGTTGTTGGAATGAACCAATGCAATGATGCCATATTTTAAAGCACTATGTTGGTTCTATAGGGTTTTTGTTTTCTTTTGAGACGGAGTTTTCGCTCTTGTCACCCAGGCTGGAGTGTAATGGTGCAATCTTGGCTCACTGCAACCTCCGCCTCCCGGGTTCAAGCGATTCTCCTGCCTCAGCCTCCTGAGTAGCTGGGATTACAGGCGTGTGCCACCACCAAGTCCAGCTAATTTTTTTTTTTTTTTTCTTGGTAGAGACGGGGTTTTGCCACGTTGGCCAGGCTTGTCTTGAACTCCCGACCTCAGGTGATCCACCTGCCTCGGCCTCCCAAAGTGCTGGGATTACAGGCATGAGCCACCACGCTCAGCCAGTTCTATAGGTTTTTAAAGCAACCCACAATTTTTTTTTTTTTTTTTGAGACAGAGTCTCTCTCTGTCGCCCAGGCTGGAGTGCAATGGCGCGATCTCAGCTCACGGCAACCTCCGCCTCTCGGGTTCAAGTGATTATCCTGCCTCAGCCTCCTGAGTAGCTGGGATTACAGGCGCCCACAACTACGCCCGGCTAATTTTTGTATTTTTAGTAGAGACGGGTTTTCACTATGTTGGCCAGGCTGGTCTCGAACTCCTAATGTCATAATCTGCCCACCTCGGCCTCCCAAAGTGCTGGGATTACCAGTGTGAGCCACTGTGCCGGGCCCAATTTTTTTTTTTTAGTCTGATCCAACAGAGTATATTCATGTCAATTTCAGTTTACAATCCTTGCAGTCCCATCAGTTTGTGAGATTATGCCCAGGTCATCCACACTGGAGGTCTGAAAATGTTCTTAGTTGTACTCTAGTTTCACTAGCTGCATAGTTTTCTGGGATAGTCTCAGTCACTTGAATCCTTTAAAGATGAAGCCCAAAGAACCATGGAGATGACTTTAGAGGCATTAACAATGAGCAGCAGAGGCAGCCCTGGGTGGATCCCATCTGGTGTCACTGGGAGTGACATGCCTGAGAGACATCCTACTTTGGGTCCAAGTGGAGGTGCTGACTCAGGGCAGCTGCTACAGTGTGGCTACTAGAGGATCCTTCTCCAGTCTCAGAAATTGAAGCTGAGAATGGACCATTTTCAGAAATTTCATCATGAAGATCCTTACACTCAAAATCTTAAGGTGGCTGGGCACGGTGGCTCATGCCTGTAATCCCAGCACTTTGGGAGGCCAAGGCGGGCAGATCACGAGGTCAGGAGATCGAGACCATCCTGGCTAACATGGTGAAACCCCGTCTCTACTAAAAATACAAAAAATTAGCCGGGCATGGTGGCGGGTGCCTGTAGTCCCAGCTACTCGGGAGGCTGAGGCAGAAGAATGGCATGAACCCGGGAGGCGGAGCTTGCAGTGAGCCGAGATGGTGCCACTACACTCCAGCCTGGGCGACAGAGCGAGACTTCGTCTCAAAAAAAAAAAAAAAAAAAAAAAAAAATCTTAAGGTGATGATGGGTTTCCACATGACTCTTTTCAAGACCACAGCCGACGCCTTTAAAATCATGACTGGCTTATGTGTCGACATGTATTCTCACACTCAAATTTCAGAATAAGGCATGAGGTGGATGTATGTGATGGCACCAACTCTGCTTTCTCTTTTCTAGTGACCACTCAGGCCCTGCCTGCACCTATTCTTACTCATTTTAGGGCTCCATCCATTACTCTGAGCCTTCAACCTGCAGCTCTGCTTTTCGCTGTCTGCAGATGCTGAAGAAAGGCGTCACTAAAGGCCTCGGGCTGCTGGCTGCGATCAGCACCGATGGGAGCTGCCAGGATCCAACCCAGTTTTTAAAAACACACTTGATCAAGATTCACATACCATAAAATCTGCACATTAAAAGCATGAGATTCAGTAGTGGGTTTTAGTATATTAACAAAGTTGTGTAACCATCACCCCAAAAAGAAACACTGTTCCAGTAGTAGTCACTCCCCACTCCGTACTACCCTCCAGCTCCTGGCAATCACTAGTCTACTTTGTCTCACAGATTTGCCTACTCTGGGCATTTCATAGAAATGGAATCCTCTCTGCAGCCTTTTGTCTCTGCCATCTTCACCTCGCGTCATGCTTCAAGGGAATCTGTGCTGCAGCATGTTTCAGCACCTCATTTCTTAGTTTGGCTGAATAACATTCCATTGTATGGATAACAAATTTTGTTTGCCCATTCATTCGTTGGTGGGAATTTGGGTTATTTCTATCTTTTGGCTGTTATGAATAATGCTGCTATAAACATTTGTGTACAAGTGTTTGCACAGACATGTTTTCATTTCTTTAGTATACACCTAGGAGTGAAATTATTGGGTCATATAACACTATTTAACCATTTGAGAAACTGCTAGACTTTTTCCAAAATGGAAGTATCATTTTATATTCCCACCAGCAGTGAATGAGGGTTCCTTTTCCTCCACATCCTTGCCAACATATGGCATGATCTAACTTTCTGATCATAGCCCTTCTAGTGGGTATGGTGTCTCATTGTGGTTTTGACTTGCATTTCTAATGACTTAAGATGATGAATGTCTTTTCATGAGCTTATTGGCCATTTGTATGTCATCTTTGAAGAAATGTCTATTCAAATCCTTTGCCCATTTTTTTGGGTTGTCTTTTTATTGTTGAGTTTTAAGAGTTCTTTGTATATGTTCTGGATATAAGAATCCCTTAACAGATACATAATTTGCAAGCTGGGGACAGTGGCCAACGCCTGTAATCCCAACACTTTAGGAGGTCGAGGCAGGAGGAATGCTTGACCTCAGGAGTTCGAGACTAGCTTGGACAACATAGCAAGATCTTGTCTCTACCAAAAATAAAAAATAAAAAAAATAAAAATAAGATTAGCTGGGCATAGTGGCACACTCCTGTAGTCTGAGCTACTCAGGAGGCTGAGGTGGGAGGATCGCTTGAGCCTGGGAAATTGAGGCTGCACTCCCGCCTGGGCAACAGAGCGAGACTCTATCTCAAAGAAAAGAAAAAGTCATTTGCAAATGTTTCCCTTCTTTGGGTAATAGGTGTTGATGGAATTGTTTGCAGCATGTAAGCTTTTGATTTTGGTATAATCTATTAATATTTTTACAGTTGTTGCTTGTGCTTTGGTGTCATAGCTAAGAAACCATTGCCCAACCCAAGGTCACAAAGATTTGCTCCTATGTTTTTTTCTGTCATATATATAATTTTTTTCTTTTTGAGACAGTCTCACTCTATTGCCCAGGCTGGAGTGCAGTGGTGCAATCTCAACTCACTGCAACCTCCGCCTTCCAGGTTCAAGCGATTCTCCTGCCTCAGCCTCCCAAGTTGCTGGGACTAGAGGCGCCCACCATCACGCCCAGCTAATGTTTGTATTTTTAGTACGGATGGGGTTTTGCTAGGCTTGGTTTCGAACTCCTGACCTCAAGTAATCTGCCTGCCTCGGCTTCCCAAAATGTTGGGATTACAGGCGTGAGCCACTGCACCCGGCCATTCTTGTATATTATATTCCTATCACTCATACTTAGGTCTGTGATCCGTTTTGAGTTAATTTTTGTGTATGGTGCAAGGTAGGAGGCCCAACTTCATTTTCTTTTGCATGTGGATGTCTAGTTGTCCCAGTACCATTTGTTGAAAAGGTTATTGTTTCCTCACTGAATGGTCTGGGCATTATTGTTGAAAATCAATTGACTGTAAATGTAAGAACGCTTTTTCTGAACTCGCAATTCTGTTTCACTGATTTATCAATATCTCTCTTTATGCCAAGACCACACTGTTTGTTTGTTTTTTTGAGACAGAGTCTAGCTCTATAGCCCAGGCTGGAGTGCACTGATGCAATCTTGGTTCACTGGAACCTCTGCCTACTGGGATCAAGCGATTCTTGTGCCTCAGCCTCCCAAGTAGCTGGGACTACAGGCATATGCCACCACGCCTGGCTAGTTTTTGTATTTTTAGTAGAGACAGGGTTTCCCCATATTGGCCAGGCTGGTCTCGAACTCCTGACCTTGTGATCTGCCTGCCTCAGCCTCCCAAAGTGCTAAGATTACAGGTGTGAGCCACTGCGCCCGGCCTTTTTTTTTTTTTCTTTTTTTTGAGACAGATTCTCGCTCTGTCGCCAGGCTGTTATGAAACAGTGTTGGATTTTCAAATGCCAACTGATTTTAAAAATTGCATTTACATAGCTTTACAAAAATAGCGTATGTTAAAACCATAGGAGGCCAGGAGCGGTGGTGCATGCATGTAATCTCAGCACTTTGGGAGGGTGAGGCAGGTGGATCACTTGAGATCAGGAGTTTGAGACCAGCTTGACCAACATGGTGAAACCCCATCTCTACTAAAAATACAAAAAAATTAGCCAGGTATGGCAGTGTGCTCCTGCAGCCCCAGCTACTCAGGAGGCTGAGATGGGAGAATCACTTGAACCCGGGGGGTGGGTGGTGGTGGAGGCTGCAGTGAGCTGAGATCCCGCCACTGCACTCCTGCCTGGGTGACACAGTGAGACTCCATCTCAAAAAAAAAAAAAAAAAAAAAAAAATTAGACAACTGGAATAGCAGACTGAAAATGTGTATCTTTTTATGCCTGTACTTAACTTTTTTTGGCTATGTTTTATACATTTCTTGACTTTTTGTTTTGTTTTTTTGAGACAGAGTCTCACTCTGTAGTCCAGGCTAGAATGCAGTGGCGCGATCTCAGTCACTGCAACCTCTGCCCCCCATGCTCGAGTGATTCTCTCACCTCAGCCTCCCCAGTAGCTGGGATTACAAGTGTGTACCGCCATGCCCAGCTAATTTTTGTATTTTTAGTAGAGATGGGGTTTCACCATGTTGGTCAGGCTGGTCTTGAACTCCTGACCTCAAGTGATCCACCTGCCTCGGCCTCCCAAAGTGGTGGGATTACAGGCGTAAGCCACCATACCTGGCCTCTTAAATTGATTTATTGGTAGAATCAACTTTTTTTCAATGTTATCTGGATAAAAGTTTAGATTCCCACAAATTTCACCCATTTCATTCTAAAGGTTGTGAATATATTGTTTAAAAAACCCAGTTTTTCTTTTTTGAGACAGGGTCTTGCTCTGTTGCCCAGGTTGGCAGTGCAGTGGCACGATCTAGGCTCACAGTAACCCCCACCTCCTGGGTTCAAGCAATTCTTGTGCCTCAGCCTCCTGAGTAGCTGGGATTACAGGTAGGCGCACACCACCATGCCTGGCTAATTTTTGTATTTTTAGTAGAGACAGGGTTTCCCCATGTTGGCCAGGCTGGTCTTGAACTCCTGTCTTGAAGTGATCCACCTGCCTCAGCCTCCCAAAGTGCTGGGATTACAGGCATGAGCCACTGCGCCCAACCTAAAAATCCCAGTTGTTTGTTATTTAAAATTTATTTAGTGGGTCACAATCAGAATTTTTAAAAGTGAACGAAATCATCAAAGTATATATAGTAAGGGTGCATTATTTTGTTAAATTTCAGGTTGTTGGCGTGTGTGTATATTGGGTCATGATGTAAAATGCAGTTTCTTTTTTAAGCAAAAGGTAAAATTTTATTGTAAATAAATCTATTAATAAGAGGGACAGGGATGGGGAATTACAAGACCTTGATTAATAAAAGCATCACCACCATTAGCACTTCTCGTTGTCCCTTTAGCCCCTGAAGGCTTCTTTAACTGGGGCAGTGTACCTTAATTAGATTCTGCATGTAAAGTATTTCTTACAATGGCTTGTGTGTGAACAGGTAAAATCCAAATTTTTATGTGAACTACCGTAATTCTAAAATGCTGAAAACTGGCCAGGCACAGTGGTTCACACCTGTAATCCCAGCACTTTGGGAGGCCAAGGCAGGTGATCACCTGAGGTCAGGAGTTCGAGACCAGCCTGGGCAACATGGTGAAACCCCATCTCTACTAAACACACACACACACACACACACACACAAGCCAGGTGTGGTGGTGCATGCCTGTAATCCCAGCTACTTGGGAGGCTGAGGCGCGAGAATCGCTTGAACTTGGGAGACGGAGGTTGTAGTGAGCTGAGATCGCGCTACTGCACTCCAGCCCGGGCAACAGAGCAAGACTCTGTCTCAAAAAAGAAAAAAAAAAAAAATCCACTGTAATTCAAAAGGAGGTAATCAGGCCCTGGCACTGTGTTCATGCCTGTAATCTCAGCAATTTGGGAGGCAAAGGTGGGAGGACTGCTTGAGTCCAGGAGTTCGACACCAGCCTTGGCCACACAGGGAAACCCCGTCTCTACAAAAAATGCAAAATTAATTGGGTGTGGTGGTGCATGCCTGTAGTCCCAGCTAGTTGGGAGGCTGAGGTGGGAGAATCTCTTGAGCCTAGGAGGCAGAGGCTGCAGTGAACCAAGATCATGCCATTGCACTCTAACCTGGGTGACAGAGTGAGACCCTGCTCCAAAAAAAATAAATAAAATAAAATAAAGGCCGGGCACGGTGGCTCACACCTGTAATCCCAGCACTTTAAGAAGCCAAGGCGGGCGGATCATGAGATGGAGAGCATCCTGGCTAACACGGTGAAACCCCGTCTCTATTAAAAATACAAAAAATTAGTTGGGCGTGGTGGCGTGCCCCTGTAGTCCCAGCTACTTGGGAGGCTGAGGCAGGAGAATCACTTGAACCCCGGGGGCAGAGGTTGCAGTGAGCCGAGATCCTGCCACTGCACTCCAGCCTGGGCAACAGAGTGAGACTGTCTCAAAAAAAAGGAGGTAATGAAACTGAAATCAACCCACTCTAGAGCTGGAGGCTACTGTTCAGTTTGCCTTTTGACCTGCGTGCTTATTTTGCAGATGTCTCTCAACTAAACAAAATCTCATTACACAGCATGCAAAGGGTGATGCAAAAATAGTTTATTATGATATAGTTTATGTAAAGTTAGGTAATATTTACAAAATAAAAATGATCAGCTACATCCAGGGAATCTAGCATGTCACACAAAGGAATAAATATTCTGACAAAGTAACACTTCAATTGTAGTGAATCGTTGATCACAAACTAACTTTGTAAAAAAAAAAAAAGCCTCAAGACGCCCCTCCCCCCCCCCCCCCCAAAAAAAAAGCAGCAGCTCAGCTGGTCAGGCTTTCTTGAGACACTGGCCTGACAGTGGATGGCCCACCCTACCCCGGGGCTCTACTTCTTAGACCCGAGCGCTGTGCTGGAACCTAGGGAGGCGGTACTCATTCAGCCCTTTCTTCTGCACACAGCTTTTAGTCTGTTTGTTAAGCGTTACCACTTAGCATTAGAACAGAAATGAAACACCAGTTGGAATTATACAAGCTGCTTCTTTTCATCATGTGACAGAACGTTTGTGAGAACTGCTGGAATCACAAGCTGCGGCAGAGGTGACTGAAGCATTTCCACTCCGTTCACATATAGCGCCCCAGCTTGGCACAGTAGGTTTTGCCTTTGATAACGAATTTTGACACTGACCCTGACAGAAGGGCACAGCTGTGAGAAAAATCATTAAGAATTGTAATTGTTGAGGAGCCACTTGGATGCTTTCTACCTTTTATAAATTGTACCCTAGGAAAACCACATGAAGTAATTCTTATACTTAACTGGTTTTGAATCCTAACAGTATGTCAGTAGATACGTTGTTAATACTAAAGGTAAATCCTAAAATCCTTTAAAATCCATTTTAATTGAAGCTTGTGATATAAATGTAACACAGTAGTGAACTGAGTGTTCTTCACAATCTATTCCTAGCTGTCTATAAAACTAAGGATGTGACACCACTAACTTCTCAAGGGCAGTGGGGGGCAGGGAGTGATGGGCGTGACCGTGAGGCTGCCAGCGCTGTGTGTGTGGCTGCGCCTCCGAAACACCCTTTCCTCAGGTGGCCGAGCTGCGCCTGGGGAAGGCCCCCACTGAGGCTGTGCCCGAGGAACATGCCGTGTCCACCCCTTGGGACTTGGACGTCCTCTCAGGCCATCCTACATTACTGGAGTCTCCAATTCTTAAGTATTCTGTGACTCAGTGTTTCCTTACCAATCTGACAAAAATAGGTGCTGTAAAAAACAGCTGCATCTAAGTTCTGCAGCCTCCACGGAATTCCAGGATATGACCAAAGGGCTGGGGAATCCAAACAGCTCCAGTGCTCCACAGAGCCCTGCCCAGTGAGTGGTCTTGAAGGTTCTCAGAAACTGCACATTTAGACCCTGATCCCAGAACTGTGCCTTCAACCAAGTCTCCCTAGGATAGCGTTAAATTACTGTGCAGAAGTCTGGTCAAGATGGCACCATCATTTTCTTAATTTTCCTGATTTTCCTTAAGGACTCTGGCTCTACCAAGAAGAGGCAATAGAGAATTCTTTCAATGAAACAATGTATGGATACAGGGCTATCGTTATTTTGGATATTGTACACTTTAAAACCATCTGTTAGATGACCAAACGTTTTACAAAGATGCAGCAGTCATTAAAAACATTTCCTTATAATGCTGGGCGGGCTTCAACGGTGCAGTCAACCCTGTTCTCCCCATCTTAAAAAGGGGTGTCTAAGATTTTTTTAAAAACCCATACAAACTCTGTCACAAAAATCCCTGCAGTAACTTCTCAGTAATATTTACATTGCTTGCTCTAAATAATATACAGGTTATTTTGAAGAAAATAAACACAGCTGCTTTTAAATACAGAGAAATTGCAAGCTACACCAAGCATGCAGTAGCTTAAGTATTCACAAAGTACTGCATCCGAACACCTAAGGACTCGGACCCAAGACGTGTTCAGACAGAAACTTGCCCCATCTCTAGGGATGATCTAGTGTTGAGCTACTGACTCCCCTACCCTGCCAAGAGCCTTTTCTTTTGTTGAAGGATTTCAGAGAAGGGAGATGTCTTCCCTTTACAGAGAAGCAAGAATACTTGAAGCTCACAGTTCTGAAAAGGGCAAAAGAATGAACAGGGTCTTGTCCCTGGCAGACAAAATTTGAGATAACTGATAATGTTCCTTTCCATGCTGGGTTTATGCCAGGCTTTCCTTTTAAAGAGCCTACAGCACGGTATTACTAGCCTTCAGCTCAGGCTGGTTCTTAACTGCCCATCAGCTGTGGACACATGCCCTTGCTGAAAGCTGTTTGGCCCAAATGTGTAAACACAAGAACTGTACAAAGGTAAAACGAAGAGCCCCCTCTAAGGGGTGGCTGCAGAACAACCTGCCGTAGCTGCTGTGCAAGGAAGAACGGCCATCTCAGAACGTTCTGTTGCTTGGCATTGAGAACAGTGGTGGCCTTCACCTTTCGATGTGAAGATGACCGTTCACTGGATGAAAAATCTACTGAGTTTACATCTTTAAAGTGGGTGGTGGCATGGAGAAGCCAGGGGAAGGAAGAAGTGTGCTTGTATATGGCACCTCCAAGCCTGAAGTCCGTGGAAAACCCACGTTCAGCTGCTATTACCTACTGGAGACGCTCGCGCTGAGCGGGCTAGGAACCTCTCTAGAGAAGAATGCTGGAGGGCAGGAAAGCCCAGGAAGGTGAAAGGTGCGAAAACAGTGGGTAGATACCTTAATTCTAAGGAACTTTTTAATAAGCAAGTTCCCAGCAGCTTTCTTCCCAAGTCCTTTTAGAAAGTGGGCTCTTTTGCCAGCACTGAGAACCTTCGCTCACTTCAGCTGAAAGGAGAAAACACAGGGCTGATCCCAGCTTGCAGGGAAGGGGAAACGAAACGTTGTCTCTGGCCTGTGTCACCTCTTAGTGCTCCAACAGGGACCTTAGGGCAAGTTACAACTTGTTTAGAAAGCAAATTCCTTGTACAACAGACCTATGGCTCCCCTAGCCAGGACTTTTATCTCATGCCCTAAAACGAATGAAGTTCCCAGGAAAGTGAAGCTTCTCATCAACATGACAAATTTTCTTTAAAATTTCAACATCAAATTCCTTTGAAGTATAATATCATACATTTCCATTCTTTATAGAACTTTGACAATACTTAATTTCTTTCTCCCTTAGTGACAAAGGGGTCACAGTTTTTTTTTTTTACCGTATCTTATAGGCCAGGCGTGGTGGCTCACGCCTGTAATCCCAGCACTTTGGGAGGCCGAGACAGGCGGATCACGAGGTCAGGAAATCGAGACCATCCTGACCAACATGGTGAAACCCCGTCTCTACTAAAAATACAAAAAAATTAGCCAGGCGTGGCGGCAGACACCTGTAGTCCCAGCTACTCGGGAGGCTGAGGCAGGAGAATGGCATGAACCTGGGAGGCAGAGGTTGCAGTGAGCCGAGATCATGCCACTACACTCCAGCCTGGACAACAGAGCGAGACTCTGTCTTGAAAACAAAAAACAAAAAACAACCCCCCTCCACCCAAAAAAACCCCCACTATATCTTATAAAGGAAAGTCTTATAAATTCCAAGCTTCTTTAGGACCATGTTAGGCAAACTCTTCTTTTCAGGAAAAGTTAATGTTGATGTGTCACATTCTTTTCTAAGTGCGAACTGTCTTAGAACTTACCCAAGTCAGTGAATGAGTAGCTGGGAGAAAGGGGTATGTGGCCAGCCATTAAAGTCACCCAACATACAAAGGAGCAGGGGCCAGCAGAGCTTCCCCTACACCCCAAATTAGGCTGCAGGTCATATGCAAAACCTAGGAGGCCAAACAGGATTACTTGTTTGTGTAGGGACCTGGCTGCCAACAGGGACCCCACACAGGGTGGCCTTGGCCTCCAGGGCCCTGCAACACCTAGCGGGCTCTGCTGTGTCCCAGCTCCGTGGCACCCGGCAGCCTCCCAGGAGACAGCCAGGCAGGAGTGATGATCAGGATTGTGTTCAGTTTTCAGCATGTTTCCATGTACCCAAAAGTTAAGAGTCCCATCTACCTCTATAGTAAAACAAAATGATAGTAAATACATTCCATAAAAATGTTTTTCAAGCCATCAGTTTTGTTTCCGGCCTTATCTGTCAGTATTCCTTTCAGGCACATTCTGAGATTCACAACTGTGTTCTTTAAACAGCCAAAATTCCCTCTTCTCCAGCATGAGCTGGAGGGTCAAGGGGTGATGGGAGCTGGTGGCTGCTGCAGAAACAGGTTCTTGCTGGGCCTTCCAACTCACTAAGCAGGCTGTGGGGCCTTGCTCTCCATGCTCTTCTGCCTTCATACTTGCTGAATCCGAAGGCAAGATCCTCTCCGATGTTACCTCTTGTTCAATAAACCTGCAAATTCGCGATACTGCCACCTCTAGTCGCCCTGGGATGTCCACTGCATCACCCACTTAGCACAGGCCCATTATGACTCCCTGAAGCACAGGCTTCCAGCTCAGAGGGCAGCGCACTGTCTCCACCCCTGCCCAATGATCCACTCAGACCCGGGAGGCTGTGGACAGCGCGTCCTCTGAAATGCTGGTCTCCACACCTGCCTGGGGCTGGGGCACCATGGGTGGATAAAGAAACTGACCAGCAGAAAGTGACTATTCTGCACGTGCAGGCGTGCACACAAGGTAATTACCCACAAGCCTGCAGAAACTCACACGAGCACAACTGCCTCGCTTTCCCATTCATATGTGTGGCACAGCTTACTGGCTGGTGCTAGCATACTACACATAAATACATTTATAGGAAAATAATTAAAATGCTGAAGTCTATCTATTTGAACTTCTTCCTCATCGGTAAAGCTGGGAAAGCTCACTACTGTGTAGCTGGTGCCAAGGAGCAGCCTGAGACCCCGCCTGCAGCTGTCCCTAAGACTTTCCTCTCCCCATACAGAAACCAGTTCTACTTCTTCACTGTTCTTCTTTCTTCCCTCTGGAATTCAGGGGTTAAATCCCTTCCAGGGTATTTGGATGCCTGCAGGAAGGAAACTGGAGAGAGGGCCCAGCCCTGTGCAGCACAAGGCTCCCTGCTCAGTGTGGCACCAGTTGGGCAGCCGTCAACATCTGTGCCAGTGTTGCCACCTGGGCAAGTCTCTGTTCCTGGGGCATGTCCAGGTGCAACATGAAGAACATCGTCATCCTTTCTCGCCTGGTTCACTCCATCGCAGGATGGAGCCCACCAGCAGGGAACCCAGACTTCCTTGACCCAGATGGTGGCTGTCCCTGTATGAGGGCTCTTCAGAAACGCCAGGACAGGCCCAGGGCATTTTCAGGAGCTCTTAGCAAAGCAGCCTCAGTCCGTTTCCTGGCAATACCCTACACTAAACCAGCCTCTGGGGAGAGACCTGTGGCAGGGAGGAATGCAGACGCCCTGCTGGCCTGTCTCTGACCCCTCACATGCTGCACTCATATTAATTTTCCAGGATTCCTGAAGTCCAGCCTCAAGGGATATGTGACAGAAAAAAGGGAATCAAATGCTCTTTTGTCCTATGGGCAAACTTGCTTTAATTTAAAGCACTGTGAGGGCTGAAGGCAGATGATCCTGTCTCCAAGCATGGACTCTGGCCAGAACCCCCTGGAGGGCAGAAGGCAGGGAGCTGTCTGCAGAAGGGCCAGTGGGGTCCACCCCCAGGGGCAGCAGGGATGGTCACGAAGGAAACCATGCCAGGAAGGGCAGGTGGTGGACCTCAGAGAACGGCACAAAATCGTAGCACCCAGACACGAGGCAAAAACTCCTATCTGGTCAGATCCTGATGCACTCCAGGTCCCTGTCTGTCCTGGAGCATTCGTGTGACCCAGCAGTGTCCTGGAGACAACAATGAGGCTGTGGGGGACAGCGGGGTCCCGAATGTTCCTTCTGTATATTCCCATTGACACAGAAAGGTCATAGTGCATTTCTCAAAGCACTGCCAATCTAAATGGTCAGGGGGGGTCTGATAAGTATATCTATATCTGATATGGGGCCTTGCTTTGTCACCCAGGCTGGAGTGCAGTGACACGATCATGACTGATTGCAGCCTCGACCTCCCGGGCTCAAGCAATCCTACTACCTCAGCCTCCTGAGTAGCTGGGACTACAGCTACGCAACTGTGCCACCTCAGAGAAGTAGATTTTTAAACAAACCCAATTTTCTCTTGCTGTTAACAACACTGAAGACTAGTAGCAGAGGAGTGAAAGTGTGGGTTAAGAGCCTTAAAAACTTGTGGAAAGGGCTCGATGCCAGTGGAGAGCACTTAGTTATTTCAGTGAGAAGAGAGCACCTAAACCTGGGTCTGAAAACACATGAAAACTCCAGGCCTTGCTCCCGGCCCTTCTGCACATTGGGGGCGGGGCCAGAGCTCCACTGATGGCCTTGCTCATGACTTCATCTAGAAACTGAGCAACAGGATTTCTAGATTTCAACGCCCAAAGCATCCACCCACCCACAGAGACCATCACACCAACACAAGCATGAATACAAAGTGAAAGCATGTTCTTGGCATGAAAACCATCTACTCACACCCCACCTTGCTCCTAAAGTAGCAGAACCTGTTCCACCAGCCAGGGGTTTATACTCCCTATCTTAATGGGATTAATGGTTTTCATGGGGCCATAATAGACTCCAATTTAAGAGATTTTCAAGAATTGCCATAGAATGTTTTGTGGTGGTTAAAAAGGTCTTCCTCAAACTGTTAGAAAAAGCAAAATTGTTAGTATAGGTTTACTTTAACCAGGCTCTTTTAAAGATAAATGCTGCAAGATAGGTTTTCAGAGCTCAGATTAATTAAATGAGAGTTAAGATCGGAGTCTCAATAAACACTAATGTGCTGTTCTCATCAGATTCTGACATCCTCTGTACTTTCTTCTTGACTTAACAGGGGTCTCCTCTCAACCTTTTCCAAAGCAATGTGACGGTTTCTTTTCCAAAAGGTAAAAAAAAAACCCAAACCCCCAAACCTTCCCCCATTTTGAATGATTCCTGGGGGGAATTCATTTGTTTTTTGCAATCAGAGTCTGAAACCTGGGCTGCAGGTCAACAATCTCGAGCAGTTATGAAAAGACCAGGGTTACTGGAGACCAAGAAAGGAACGAGCGGAGGAAGGAAGGAAGGAAGGAAGGAGAGGGGCCGGGGATTTTGTGCAAGATTTAATAAAAAACAAACAAAAATAGGAATGGTTGCTTTCAACATTTTCCAGGTTGTGAAAGGTTTGCCACGACTCTCAGGGGTGTGGTTCTAAGCTGCATCAGTGGAACAAATACAAAATGCTGTCCTCCTCCTGGGCTGGAAGGCAGTGCACTTTCTCCTCTTAACAGCCAGACTAGCGGGTGAGGAGTCAGTGCTGTGACCCAGGCCAAGCTGGAGTGTCCGCATAGCTTTTTCTCTGACCAGTGGGGATTCCATCTACCTTGAGGCGTGCTGGCTGGGCCCCGTTTCCACACCAGCACATGGTGAGACAGGGTAGCTTATCAACAGGCTGCTGGGCCTTAATACTGACAGTGAGTGTGGCGGGTCACAGCCAGGAAAGGACTAACACAGATGCCCTCCCAGCCCCCACTGCTGGCCTAATTTTAGAATACCACGGAAAAAAGCTTTGATGAAGACAACAGGAAGTCAACACAGCAGAGAGTGGTGTGGACAACCCAGAAGCCAGCCTCACGCATTCCATGCCCACAGTTAACGATGACAACAACAGCAATAATAATAATAATAATAAAACAAAGGTACAGGTGAAAAGCAGCGCTTGGGGTGTGCTGCTGCAAGCTGGGGAAGGCGCGTGCTCAACTTGGATGGGACACACCTAGTCTTTCTTCAAGTCCCTGGATTCAAAGAGCTTCAACCGTTCTTGCACCGTCAGGCCTTCCTTCAGACTCTGGGTAGAGACAGAGCAGGAGGAGAAAATAAACACACCGTTAGACCCCCTGCACTGGACCGGACCGGACCAGACCGGACCGCTGGTGGAGCCGGCATCAGTCAGAGAGCCGGGTGCAGGTGCGGTTAGTGGGCATGCCAGGAGGAGAGTCCCCGGGAAATGCTGTTATTGGAGGATGTTTTCCCCTTCACAAAATTACTTGGATGAAAAAGGAAAAAAAAATCAGAGAGACAAGACCATGTGTTTAAGCAGCTAAATTCTGAGCTTAGGGCTCTTTAGAGAAGCAGTGATCAAACGAATCCAGCCAGGGAAAACAGTGCAATGAGCAAGGAGACTGCCCATCCCCGTGTCTTGTCTTGTGAATGGATTTGTCCACATCCAGCTCCAGAGATTCTTCACCTGACAGCCTCAGCTGAGGAGGACCAGATGCTCCAGGGAATCCCCAGCAGGATGGGTGTCCCGGGACAGGGCCTCGCTCCTACAGTGCCTCCGCAGCACCTGCTGCCCTCAGACCCATTTCTGGCATTCCCTCATCAGAGGCCTGTGAGTGTTATGGGGATGTGGGAACACGCCAACGTATCTAGTAAGATTTTCAAAACATAAAACCAATACTCTGTTCACGTGGAATCTTGCTAAAGCTTAAATCTGTATGTCCAGAGATGAATGAGATCTTACTAACTAGGGGACAGAGTATTTCCCATCTCATTCTTACAGACTTTCCTCAATGATTTAATTTCTGAATAAGAAAAGGAAGAGCACTTTTCAGAGAATGACTGGAAATGAAGGGCATTCCAGTACTGACTGGAAAGTGCTGTGGCTCTTCACTTATCTCCCTCTTCACGCTAAGTGTCGCCATCACACTCAGCCCTGCTGACTCCCTGTGGCTTACCCTTGCCAGAGCTGGTGCAGGTACAGGCTTTACTGAGAAACTGGAAGCTGAAGGGATGGGCTCTAGCTCAGGGTCTGCCTGATTCTACCAGTTTCAACCAAAAACCTGAGCAACGTGAAACTGCAGGCTGTACCCCATCTACTGGGAAGTCGCCAGCTTAGGCTCAGGCACACTCTGGCACTGTCCTGGAGACTCTGGTGTGATAGACTGGGGACTGAGCATGGGCTGGTCAGCTTGAGGCTCCCTCCAAAGCTCAAGGGAAGGGGGAGCTCCACTGTCCCCCACCCCACCCAGCTCTACCCAGAACAGACCTGCTTGTTTGCTATATTCTGGAGCTATGTGTCTGTGTAAATAAATAAACAATGTGATTTTTAAATACAGGGTTCTGCTGCTAAGCATTTTAAAACTCACTGGTCCAGGCCGGGCGCGGTGGCTCACGCCTGTAATCCCAGCACTTTGGGAGGCCGAGGCGGGCAGATCACGATGTCAGGAGATCGAGACCATCCTGGCTAACACAGTGAAACCCCGTCTCTACTAAAAAATACAAAAAATTAGCTGGGCGTGGTGGCAGGCGCCTGTAGTCCCAGCTACATGGGAGGCTGAGGCAGGAGAATGGCGTGAACCCGGGAGGCGGAGCTTGCAGTGAGCAGAGATCGCGCCACTGCACTCTAGCCTGGGCGACAGAGCGAGACTCCGTCTCAAAACAAACAAACAACCTCACTGGTCCAGGTGAGCCTCACCTCAAGCAGTTGTCACAGCTTGATAATTGTGTGTTTCTGAGAGGGTTTCTTTGGAAGCCTGCCACAGAGAGTGGCTGGGGGAATGGGGGGAAAATCCATCTCCCATTCTGAGCCCAGATGTACCTCAACACCCATGCCTGCTTCCAGGTGCCCTTGGGGGGTCCCTCCCCACAGAGTGCAGGGTTCTCACAGCAGTCAGTCTTGCAGAGGACCTGGGTAGACATCTGGTCACCATTGAAGGGGCTGGGGCCAAGCCAGGCAGGCAGCCCTGAGCCTAAGTGCTACTCAGAGGCAGGCCCCGGAGCATGGCTGGGGGATGTCACTGACATCCCGGTTCCTGCTTGTTGGGGACTTTCTGTCAGGACTGTAGTGAGTTTGATCACTCCTAAGGCCTGGGTTTGCTCCTTGCAGGCACTGCGTCAGAAGCCCCAGATTCCTGCTACAGCAGGCCCAGGGGAGGGGAGCGCCCTGACAGCCACAGCACCCAGCATGCTCGCTACTGGCTCCTGCCCCAGTGACAAAGGGCAGAGCTCAGGCTCAGGTGATGCTGGGCTTGCTACAATTCCAAGGGTGGGAAGTAAGTGAAATCCCCTACGTTATTCCCACACTGGCTGCAGGAGGCTGTTTCTCTCTCTACGTCCTCTGGATTCTCTCCCGGTGGCTGCTCAGCCCAAGGCTCAGCCAGCTCCCTCTGGGGTTCATCTCCCCCTAGGCTGTTGTCTCCACTGAGTGCCTCCTGTAGCCCCACATACTGAGCTGACCACAGACACGGGGGCCCCTTAAGAACCCCGAGGGAAGCATTCTCTGGTCTCAATCCCAGAAAAGGCTGTGCTGCTCCTAAGCAACTTGCTGTCTTTGATTTTGTAGCAGCTGAGACTTGCGGTCCTTTCGAGCGAGGCAGGACAGAAAAACAGAACAGAACAAAAGACACAGATCAGTGCACATCAGATGCCACATCAAAAAACACCACTGAGAAGTACGGTTTCTGGGCAACTGCATTTCCATCTTCTTGAAGGGTTGGGTGGAGTCTTCAGATACAGTTGAGGAAAAGGATGACACCCACCCATGCCTGTGCCTCCTAATGTCTCCTGGGAGCGCGAACACGGCCCCATCCTGCCCTGTTGCACCACAGACATCTAGGAAGTCCTCGACTTTCTGCTGGGGCCAGCAGGACTAGCCCTGCACTCCAAGGATTTTTATTACGGAAACCCAGCCAAGCCAAACATCAACTTAAAAACACATAAGGAGGAGGACCCCATCCTGGGGTTTCTCTCCATCCTTTTCAGTCTGCCCTGGGGCCCAGACAGTCTGCTCCCTCATCCCTGCTCTGGCTGGTTCCCAGCCACTGTGAGAGGCCCCCACCCACTCACTGCACAGAGTTACTGTCAGGGGCCCGTGGGTGTTGCACAGCCTCCCTGGAAGGGTCCTGTCAGTGACAGCCGGTCCCATGTCACTTATAGACATGGTCCAAAAGCCCAAATCACTAATAGTGAACTTCAAACTCCTTCAAGAAAAGCTCAAAGATACTAGCTACAGTTTAGCCTCAAATAAGTAGTAGAATCTTCAGTAAGAAAACCGTGAACCAAAAAAGAACAAGTTTCCTTTTGCTAAACAAAACGTTATGTTTAAAGAAAAATGCCCAAGCTAAGTTTTCAATCAAGCCTAAACCATATTTGGGTATAGGGGACTTAGAACTGTAGAAAAATAAAACCAAACTGACTAGGCTTAAAACCTTCAACTCTTTAACCAAGCCTCAGGATGAAGTCCTTCGGACGGCGGGGTGCTGTGGGTGTGCCTGAGAAAGGGCCAGCATGGGGAGGAAGACGTGGTTCTTGCTTTCCTCCATGTTCTCATTCCGGGATGAACGAGATCAAGCTACTGAGCCGGCAACTACTCATTCTCAGGGTGTCTCCCACCATGGGCCCTCCCCCACCTCCTCTCTGGCATAGGGCCTTCAATGGCACCTAGTGAGAAGCTTTTGTTTTATTAAAAAAAAAAATACTGGTAAATATTTCGCCCCTATTGCTTGTAGTTATCACGCTCTTCTGAACCATCTTCACCAAGCTCTAGTCCTGGTTTATCCATTCCTAGAATGACCACCCTGTTAGCCTTGACAGACAGAGGCCACTAAGTGGCTCACTAGGTGGGCGAGGCCTTTGGTGACGGTAGACTTCACTTGCCAGTGTGGACATCTGTAAATTCCACCTCGTGACAGAGGGCAAGACAAGTGTCCCCTGAGGGGGTGGAGTGAGTTCAGCCGTTGTGCACAGATTATCCAACATGCATGCTGATGGGTGCCTGGCTCTCTGCCTGCCCACCAGGCTAGAGGAGCACCTCACTGCCAGGGTCATCTCTGTTAAGAGGTTAGAGTGCCAATTAACTCCCCAGAGCAGGTTAAAGAAACCTCACTTGGATTTGGTATGTGTTTGTTGGAGCAGGATGAATTGAAATAAAGTAACCATGACACAGGCGTTTGCCATGGGGGTGTGAGCAGTGCATGCAGGCGGTGGGAGAGGCGGTTTACCTCCTGCATGGGCCGGGAAGCGGGTGCATTTCAGGTATCCCACGAGACCTGCTCAATTACGGACTGTCAGAGGAGAGAGCAGACATGAGACACACAACCAATCCCAAACACACGCGGTGCCGCTCCCACCTCCGCCCGCCCTCCTGTGCATGGCTGGCTCTGGACAGCACACTAAAGATGTACTGCTTCCTGGCTGGGGAACAAGAGCAGGCAGCATCATCTCTTGGAGGCGGCACCAGTGTCACAACAGTGATGTGCAAGGAACAACACAGGCACAGCTGACAGCAGGCCGACATGAGCAGGGCTGGGTGAAACCTGGCCTCGAGGCAGGAGCTGATCATGCCAAGCACTGCTCTTCACAGCCCTGGCCTGTCAGTGTCATTGCCAGGAGGTGGCTCCAAGACAGACACAGAGCTCAAAGCCACCAGAACCAGCCCAGCAGGGTGAGCTCGGGCTGGCTCAGTGCTGGGCCCTGGGGCTTTGGCAGCTGTGGCCCATGGGAGCACTCATACTTCAATTTGGGCTACTCTCCCCAGTGTCCCTCAAGCCCCTCCCACCAGGGGGCTGGACCCCAGACTCACCTTGGACCTGATGTTTCTGAGTTGCCGGGTGACACAGGATCTGTCTTTCTTCAAGAAGTCAGGGTTGCTTTTAGATTTCATTATATCTGCGGTATATAATGAAAACAAACAGACCTGTTACCTTTGCTTTCTAAAACCCTCTGGAACCAGACTAAATCCTGAAACATTTCCCAAGCTTCCTACTGCAGCATACTTAGGACAATTCCTTAAACAACTCTAAGGGAATTCAAAGCCAATAACCATAAAACATGCTAGATCTCTTCAGACCACCATAAAACACCAGCACAATGGGAGAATGTGTATGTGGGGCCCCGCCAGGGCTTCCTGCACTGTGACTGTAGCCCACAACAGCATTCCCTTCAAAGGGACTTGGTCCCCTCACTCTGGTGTGGGACCTCAATGCTGAGCAGACCCCTACCCCCATTATCCATGATTCTCTACCTTCCTCCTGGTAGCACAGGGCTGTCTAAAGCAAGATGATAAGGCCAAGGCCTTCTCATTGTCCACCCACCCAGATAGCAGTCCTTTAGGCTTCTTAGAAATGTCTACTTAAGTACCTGTAACACAAACAGATACTGAGTCATATCACACATCCTGTGCATGTGTGGGGTTTTTTGTTTTGCTTTTTTTTTTTTTTTTTGAGATGGAGTCTTGCTCTGTCGCCAGGCTGGAGTGCAGTGGCACAAACTCAGCAGCTCACTGCAACCTCTGCCTCCTGGGTTCAAGCGATTCTCCTGCCTCAGCCTCCCGAGTAGCTGGGACTACAGGTGCGTGCCACCATGTCCAGCTAATTTTTGTATTTTTAGTAGAGACGGGGTTTCACAATGTTGGCCAGACTGGTCTCGAACTCCTGACCTCGTGATCCACCCGCCTCAACCTCCCAAAGTGCTGGGATTACAGGCATGTGCCACCATGTCCAGCTAATTTTTGTATTTTTAGTAGAGACGGGGTTTCACAATGTTGGCCAGACTGGTCTCGAATTCCTGACCTCGTGATCCACCCGCCTCAACCTCCCAAAGTGCTGGGATTACAGGCGGGTGCCACCACGCCCGCCCTCTGTTTCTTTTAAGAGACAGATTCTTGCTGTGTTGCCCAGACTAGAATGCAGTGCCTATTCACAGGTGTGATTCCACCACAGGTCAGCACAGGTTTTTTTTTTCTTTTTTTTTTGAGGCAGGGTCTCATTCTGTCACCCAGGCTGGAGTGCAGCAGTGTAATCATGGCTCACTGCCATTTCCACCTGCTGGGCTTAAGTGATCCTCCCACCTCAGCCTCCCAAGTAGCGCTGGGACTACAGGTGCATGCCAGCAGTCCCAGCTAGTTTTTTTGTATTTTTTGTAGAGACAGGGTTTTGCCATGTTGCCCAGGCTGGTCTTGAACTTTTGAGATCAAGTGATCTGCCCACCTAGCTTCCCAAAGTGCTGGGATTACAGGTGTGAGCCACTGCACCTGGCCAGCACAGGAGTTTTGACCTCTTTCATTTTGACCTGAGCCAGTTCACCCCTCCTTAGGCAACCTGGTGATCCCCTACTCGCAGGAGGTCACCATATTGATGCCAAACTTAGTGTGGACACCTGATCGACTTAGCTTTGTGTGTGACTGCCTAGAACTCCTGGGCTCAAGTGATCCTCCCACCTCAGCCTCCTGGGTAGCCAGGCCTACCACCAAGCCTGACTACTCAAGGTATTTATGGAAAAATGAAGTCTTCCTCCCAGCATCTGTCAGTACATAATCACTATTCCTTGCCTGACAGAAAAAAAGTTGATTTTTTCTTTTTTGATATTAGTGAGCTAGCACATCTTTTCCTGTTTGTGCGTCTCTGTATAAAAAATCAAGATGAAGGTCAAATGAAATTATGTATAATCTGGCCAGGTGCAGTGGCTCACACCTGTAATCTCAGCACTTTGGGAGGCCAAGGTGGCTGGATCGCTTGAGCCCAGGAGTTTGAGATCAGTCTGAGCAACGTGGTGAAACTCTGTCTCTACTAAAAATACAAAAATTAGCCAGGTGTTTTGTGGTGCACTCCTGTAGTCCCAGCTACTGGGGAGGCTAAGGTGGGAGAATCCTTGAGCCTGGGAGGCGGAGGCTGCAGTGAAATCACGCCATTGCATTCCACCCTGGGCAACAGAGCAAGACCCAGTTTCAAAAAAAAAAAAAAAAAAATTACGTATGAGCTGAAAATGCTTGATAAAATGTTAACTCTTTCATCCTTCCTGCCATCTATTTTTTACAGGGTACCTAAATGTTTTTAGCCAAGAAAAAAAGGGCCAGTTCTGTTGTTCATTCCAGAAAGCAGGGAGCTCCCTCCCATTCTCCACTCTATGGCCTTTTACAGATATTATAGTCAAATCCTAGGATCAAGCAGCTAGTGAGAGCTACTTCTGCCCAGTGGTTGAGTTCTTTAGAAAAATAAGACTTGTTATTATTTCGAAAATATTATGCTGATACTATGGGTTCTCCCTAGAGCAATCAGCACAGCATCCACTGCTGCGATGGGGAGAGCAAGGCCTGTCTGGGGCAGCCGTGTGAAGCTGGTGCTCCTGCTCCACTGGGATGCCTGGGTCTACAAGCATCACTGGGACTCTTCTGCTTCAAGTCAAGCACCGGGAAACCTCTACGACCAAACCCCCATAAGCCCCCCAGCAATAACCGAGAGGGCATGACCCGAGGACGCACCATATCCGGACACCGTGGCACTGTCAGGGGACTTCTCCCCCAGTGCTTCCGTTGCAGCCTTGAGCTGCTCCTTCAACCTGCTGATGTCACAGTCAGCCTTAGCCTTCGCGATGCTGAGCTCTGTGTAGATGTCTTTGTACTTGTCACTTGCGTACTTCTTGTCCTTGGGAGTGAAATGACAGAGAATGGTAGTTACATCCAGGAAAGAGGAGCACATACAACATGGCCTGTCTTCCTGGGGACTGAACACGGTAGGGAGGCTTGCTGTGGGCGGAAGAGGAGGCTTGTTCACCTCTGTCTTCTAGAGGCAGACAGTGGACAGAGAGGAAAAACCACGGGGCCTAAGGACACGGGCACAGCCATCAGGACATGGCAGGATAATCTCCAGGCCCGGTGAGTGCAGGAGGCAGTTCCGGGATTGCCCGACCAGCCTGGTGTGGCCCTGAGTGCCCAGGCCCCTCCCTTGTGGGCTTCAGCCTGGAAATCCTCTCTGTGTCCTAGATTCCCTAGGTGACTGAGTGACCACCAATGATTCTGTCATCTCCCCTGACTCCAGGAGTCCCTGGAGGAGGCTGGTGGAAGCCAGGGGGCGGCTCAAATGGAAGTCAAGCCTTGCCTCACTTCACAGGCCTTTTCTCTGGAACATTCCTCCCAAGGCACACAAAAAGCACATACACACTGAAGCTGGAGCCAGGCCAGGCAGGTTGCTCATGTCCACGTTCCCACAGCACCTGCCTGCAGGCTGGTCTTTTAAGAGGGCTTGATTTTGGAAACCTCCTTCCTCACAAGAGTAAAATCTGCTTCAGAAGAGCCCGCGCTGAGCACCAGCCTGAGTTCAGGAGGCGCATGTCACCTAGAGCCTGTTCCCGTACCCGCCCTCCTGTGGTGCGGTGGCCTTACCCGCAGTGCCGTCTGCAGCTCATCCTTGAGGGAGCTAATCTCCTGTTTCAGGTACTGTATTTCCGATTCCTTTACCCGCAATAAGACCTAAAATGACAGAGAGATCAGGGACCAATATTCAGGAGCAAAGAAACCTCCAGAGTCTCCACAGCAGGCTGAAGCGTGCAGAGGGCTCTCCAATCACCAGTGAGCAGGGCAGCCTCGTGGTGCCCAATGCGGGCAAGCATCGTTTAAACACCGCTCACAGCTTCAGCCTCACATACAGAAACAGGAAGAGGAAGGAAATGGCCGTGATTCCTCCCAGTGCCAAGGACTCCCTCCTCAGCCTGGGGTGCTGTGAACTAGACCTGCTTGTCTCTGGGGACCAAGCCCGCGAGAATCAGGAAATGTTACCACTGACACTTGTGTCAGACTCACTCAGCCTCTCTTGCCCGCCCTTTTGGTAAAGCACTCATTTAGTACAAGGCACAGGCACAGCAGACAGCGGCCCAACACCTGGACTCGGGGCAGGAGCTGATCACACCAAGCACTGGTCCCTCCCAGCCTTGGCCTCTCAGTGTCACTGCCAGGAGGCGGCTCCACGACAGAGACAAAGCTCAAAGCCACCAGAACCAGCCCAGCTGGGTGAGCTCTGGCTGGCTGAGTGCTGAAATTTTAGCACATTTTAGGGTGAAATTTTAATTGAATGTGGAGAAATCTAAGTGCCTTCCTAAAAGGACACCCTATACTCCAGAATCCATCATTCTAACATAAAGCGAGCCTCCCTGACCTGAGCTGCAGCAGCCACATGGCTACAGAACGTGTCCTTTTGAGTGGTCAGTGTTTGTGGCATAGCAGAAATGGAGGGGAGTGGGTGGAGTGAGATGGGGTCAGGATCCCCACAGCCCCTCGAGGGCTCCACTCGGCTAGTGGCTCTCATGCCACCTGGCAGCTCACTGCTCCTCGCCGCCTTCGGGTGATTTGGATCTTCCTGGACCCTGTGACTCCTGCTGTCTCAGGTCTGTTCCTCCCACAACCCTGTAAGACAGGGGCCATGCTGCACTCCCCTGGGGTTCCTGGGTGCAGAGCTGAGTCAGGCAGGGCCTGGCTCCTGATGGTACCTCTAGTTCATAGGCATCCTTGCCCTGTGCAAGGGGTGACCCAGTGGCCTCCCCACCGCCGTCCCCAGTCAGCAGCGTCCGCAACCGTGTGATCTCTGCAGCCAGGCGGTTGTTCAGCTCCTGGGGGACAGCAACACAACAGTGACACTCCAGAGCTGCCTGGGGCCAAGTCGCATGACACAACCCGGGAAGGCCATTTCCCTAGGTTCTTTGTGTATCTGTGGAACTGCGTAGGCAGGATCCAATCGATAACCCTTAATTCCTTTCTGTCACAATAACTAGTGTCAATCTGTTCCATGGCTGGTCCCATCTGAGCTCCTGTGGGGTAATCTTTAAGCCACAGCAGCAGTGAGTGGACCCAGTCCTGCCTGAGCAGCCTCATACACAGCCCTGTGCAGCAGCCATGCCCCTTGGGAAGGCCTCAGGTGAGAAAGGGACTATGTTCCCAGCCCCAGGGGGTGTTTGTGCAGGGCAGGGTCATAGAGGGCTGTTTTAATTTGGTGCCCACAGAAAAGCCAATATTGAACGAATCCTGGCTTGAACCTTTCCATTAGCCAGGATTTAAATGCACCCCAATTAACTAAGGAGCAAGCAAATCTTTTTTTTTTTTTTTTTAGACGGAGTCTCGCTCTGTCACCCAGGCTCCGCCTCCCGAGTTCACACCATTCTCCTGCCTCAGCCTTCCCAGTAGATGGGACTATAGGCGCCCACCACCACACCCAGCTAATTTTTTGTATTTTTAGTAGAGATGGGGTTTCACCATGTTAGCCAGGATGGTCTCAATCCCTGACCTTGTGATCCGCCCGTCTTGGCCTCCCAAAGCGCTGGGATTACAGGCGTGAGCCACCGCGCCCGGACAGAGCAAGCAAATCTTAAGAAAAAAAATCTGACAAAAATAAATGTGAGCCGTAAGCCTGACCCTGAGAAGTGTCAGCTCAATCCCTGGGGGACAGGATCCTGGAGGATTGGGATGACCCTGCCAGGCCCTGCCCAGAAACAGTGAGCCAGAGGTTCAGAGGAGCACAGAGAAGACACCAAGACACCCGAGAGTCTCAGAAAGGGTCAAAGCAAGAGTGATGTCATGTGTAAGCAGGTGGTGCACGTGGCAGTACAGCGTTGCTCTAGCTATCCGCGGTGATGTTTCTGACAACACAGATGGCCACGCTGGGTGGCAGGGAGAAGCCCTGGGGCAGGTAACCACTCTGTGGTTCAGGGACCTTCATGCCACTTTGAGGGTGAGGCCTGGCTCCAGCTCCAGTGTGGACTCACCTGACTATGGGTCTACCTGACCTTGAGTGCCCCTGACTAACCTTGGGCTCACCTGGCTGCAGGCTCACCTGGTTGTGGGCATTGAGCTCCTGGTTCTCACGCTGGCACTGCCGCAGGGCCTGCCGCTCGGCCTCCAGCGCCTGGGCCAGATGGGCATTCTCCAGGCACTTCTGCGAGTACTGCTCCGAGAGGACCTCCAGTTCCCGCTGCACCGACTGCAGCTCCTCCCTGGGGAGAGGGCAGCACTCACTCCTCTGCCTGCTTCTGGACAAGGCCTCTCAGAGGCCGGTGTCCCTCCTTGACACCAGACACAGCCAAGCACAGGTCAGGCCCACACAGTCTGTTGTCTTAATCAGCCTGGGTCATACAGAGTAAGGGATCCCTTACAGAGATGGCCTCACGCCCCTCCCTGGTCCTTTCTCACAGTCTGACAGTCCTACAGCTAGCACTTCTCTGGGGATGCCAGTCAGGACAGAGTCCAGTCTGCAGCCACACAGAACCCCCATTTCTAGAACTCTCTTCTGACTCAGAATTTGTTTTCAGTAAACCCACTTTTGAAGCCATCTGTGTCTGACAGCCAGGACCAGGCTCTACACAAGACCCAAAAACCCAAGCTTCCTGAGGCTGTTCTGCCACCCTGGATCCAGGAGGGCCGTCCTCCTGCAGGTGAACCAGGGATGAGGGGCTTCCAGGTGGGCCACCCTGCTCTGACCAAGGTCAGCGTGAGCCTCTACAGGGTGCTGCTGACTGCTGCCAGCTCCTGAGGCAGGGCCCCTGGCTTCGGCTATGCTATAAAGGCTCCTGGTAGAGCCTGAGTGCCGTGAGGCTCATGGTGGCCAATCTGTGGGCTTCTGGCTGTGTCAATTCTACCAAGTGAAAAAAGTCTACAGCAGTTTTTCTGGTATTTTTCTATCCTGCCTGTGCAGAGGGAATCAGCACGTGTGGTTTTAAACCACAGTGCTAGTTCTCACTTCTGCCCTGTACGACCAAGCCCGGCTGCCTGGCTCCTGGTGGGCTAGCAGGGCAGCTGTCGAAGAACACATCTGGGCAGTTGCTGGGATCAGCCCTGGACAAGAGGGGAGTTTAAGATTTCGTTTGTTACATCTCGTTCTTGGCATTTCGAGGAACAGTCTCTCTGAATAAAGGAGGCCCCACTTGGGCCATATCCTGCACTGGACAAGAGGGCATCTGAGCTGCCCTCAGCACCCAGGGGCCCCAGGCCCCACTTCTGGAGGCCTCTGCAAAGACACAGGAAGGGCCCAGCTGTGGCCTGGTCAGCACCCCAGAGGGGCCCTCCCAAGGGCAGATGGGCAGGCCCAGCCACTTACAGGTACTGGCGCCGCAGGGCCTCAACATCCGAGTTGACGCTGCTGATCTGGGACCGCTGGCTCTTCTCCAGCTCCCGCTCCATTTCCTCCCGGTGGGCGTTCTTCATGGCTTCGATGGCTGCAGGCAAGGACACGGCCTCAGCACCGAGGGACCACGCCCTTCCTGCTGACAGGGGTGGGGGTGGGGAGCTCCACACAATGGGATGGCGCCTGCCACTGCTGATGCTTGCTTAGTCAATCAGCAGTTGGATTTTGCATGACAGGCTGGCCCCTCATGAACCAATTCTCTGAGGTGGGTGCAGGCTGGGAGAATTCTTCATGAACTCCCCCTGGAAGGAATGCACGTTTGGCTTTTTTTTTGGTGTTAGAAGAAAACCAAACTGATTAAATAAATGTCATTGTTAAATTCCAACATGAGTTTATAAAACAAGCAAGCTTTTGTGCTGGTGTATTTTCTTCCTTGGAACTAAATTAACAAACCACTGAGGTGGCGATTACATAAAGGGAAGGCAGCACAAGGCGGAGGGGACGTGCTTGTTTAGGGCCACCTGCCGGTGAAGCTACATATCTTCACGCTGACGGCAGGGGCATTCTGGCCAGAGGTGGTCCCACGTTGACAGGTGTCTGTCAGGGGGAAAGTCACTGGCTGGACTGACACTGGTCAGTCTACTTGTTGGAACTGGAAAGTCACAGGTTGGGACAGCTCCTTGTGTGCAGCCGGCCACGACGGGGCTGTCAGGGGTCGAAGTGTGCGCTCTCAGTTTACAAGCTCTCAAAAGGGACCTAAAATTGGCCTTTGCCTCAGAGTGAATAGTCAAAGAACCCTTCAACAATGAAGTTTACATCTCAGCCAAAAGGCAATTTAAAGGCTGCCATTCCTCTGAGTTGTGTGTCTAGCTCAAAAAAAGCTGGCCACCCACCCTGCCCTCAGGGTTACCCCACCCCCCAACCTGAGATGGTGGCCGCTGTCTCCTCGGCTAGGAGGCGGTCTTTCTCTTCTCGAAGTTTCTCTAGCTCCCGCTGGTGCTGCCTCTGGAGATCTTCAATCTTCTTCTGGTGCGTTTCTTCCATTGCTGCAAACCCTCGCTCGCACGTGGCCTGCAAAATGCAAAAGGGACTTCATCGACTTCTTTCTTTACCTCTAAGTTGGGGGCCCTTTTAAATAAAGGAGCCAGGAATCCCACCCTGTCCAGGCCCAGCTGTGACTGGGCATTCACTGAGCTTGCTCCACCATGGGCGCCCTGAACAGGATCCCTGGGGCTGTCTGGGGATTCTCAGCAATGCCATCAGAGCATTCAGAAAAGGGTGTTACCAGTCAACTCTACCTCTTATTTCTGTGACTGTACTGTGCCCCATTTCTTCCTGGGAGAAGTTGGTATGGTAGGTGGGGACAGGCTGCTATGAAATGGAAACCAGCCAACCCTGGACCTTCCTGCGTTGCTGCCAGGTGGGACCCACAGGAAGGAAGAGAGAGCACGTGGGCAGAGGCTGGCTGTGTCTGGTCTGGAGGGACACGGTGAAAGGCCCGTAAAACAGGGATGAGGGACTTGTCTGCTGGAGGGAACCAAGGCCATTCCACATATAGGGAGTGGCCTGGCGGGCACCGGGCTGGGAGCCTCTCAACCCACAGTGGGTTGGGGGTACATAGAGTCCACTTCTGGGAGCTGGGGGTTGGGACTCTGCCACTAGCCAGCTGACAACCTCCAGCTGGTCACTTAATGCTCAGGTGTTGACTGAGGGAGTAAGATCAGGCTACAGGCTCCCCTTCCTTCTAGCCTGTGTCTTCTTTCTTACTCTTTTCTTAAAGAAGGGCACCAATGACTTAGCACCTCTGCTAACTCTAACAAGTACATGACAGGAGACCTGCTTTCCAAACTCTCCTGTGCCTCCCTAGAGCGACATAGGCATGCCCCAGGATGGGAGCAAGCCACACCAGGAAGCCCAGGCCTGGTTATCAGAGCTGTGCTCACTAACAAAGCAGGTGAGCGTGCTGCACAGCTGCCGGGAAGGGTGGGTGTGCAGCTATTTTGAGCACGGAGGCACACACTTTCTGTCTAAATCCTTCAAGTGGTCTGCTTCAGAGAAGGGACTGGGCCTCTCGCTGAGTTTTAAAAACTGGAAGAACGTGGCCACATTCCATTCCAAATTCAAGTGTGGGGGTTTCCCCACTCTGGGCTGATAGCCTGCACCACTTGGTTAATCTTCTTGCATGTGGATTCAAGAAAGGATACCAAGAAATCCTATCAGCATGCCTGGGCATTTTTCTCTGGGCCCACTTTTGGTGATGGCCAACTCTGAGAGCCTCAGGCAGTATTTCCAAACTCGTGGTCAGTCTGGACTTGACTGCAACCTATGTGCTGCTCTGGGTGAATGTCTCAGCTATTGCCACTATTAACTAGGCGTCCCATCCCCTCTCCCAGCGGCTCCACCTGGAAGCATCTGTCTCTTTCTGCCACCCTCACACCTCAGGACGGCTGCAGGAGCTCGGAGCTCTGGAGCTCCTGGTCCTCAGGCCCCAAGGTTGAGCTCTTCTTTCTTCCTCCCACTCGCTTCTGTTTGTATGTGGCTTCTCAGTTAACACATTTAACTAATAGGTCTTTTTTAATTAAAAAAAAAAAAAATATATATATATATGGAATACTTCATGAATTTGTGTGTCATCCTTGTAAAGGGGCCATACTAATCTTCTCTGTATCATTCCAATTTTAGTATATATGCTGCTAAAACGAGCACAACTAGTATTAATAGATCTTTTAAGTCTTTTTTTTTTTTCTTTGAGTCTACTTGCTGGGAAAAGTCTTATTTTGATCTGAGTGCTTTGGAATATTATGCAGGTAAGAGTCAAAAATCTAACAGAAGCACTGGGACATCTTTAAAGACCTAGTTGCTTCTTTGGAGAGAAACTATATGCTAAAAAATAATTGATCTTGCAAACAAATGTTAATTTAAGCCAATCATTCCTGACACCAAAAGAAGTTCCCCGATGACTGCAATCGTGGTGTGGTGGGAGCCTGTGGATGTCAGAGGACGGCTGTTAGGCCAAGACCCTGTCCCCAACGACCCAAGTGGAAATCTGCATAAAGTGATGAAATCTCAAGGTGCTGTCTATTTACAAGTTCTGTAAGTCTGCAGGGGTGGGTGAGAACACCACACCTGGGCTAGAAGCTCCCAGGCACAGGAGGGGACACTATGCAACGGCAGCTAAGGCAGCAGGGAGTGGACAGTGTCCAAGCCCCTGGGAGGGGCCTCATCCCGACCTGCATCATCTGTTTCTCCCTCCTAGTGACACTGGCCCAGCACAATCTCTGGTCAGTTCTCAACATAAGGCAGTCCTCTTTTTTCTGATTTCTTGCTCACTGTTGGTATAATGGCACCTGCATGGGGCCTCCCCTGCACCTGGTTGGCTAACCTAAAGCAGCCTCGGTGTGGAGGGGCCTCTTATGGATGCAGACAGGAAGCAGGGCATTGCTGTGCCCAGGCCCTGCCCCCATGGACCCTGCTGATTGTCTGGGAAGCTGCAGGGAAGGGCACTAGCAAGCGTATTTGGGGTCAAAGCAAAGGTTTGTGCAATTAACTTTTCAAGGTGCACCTGGATCCACCCATCTCAGTGCTGCTCTTGGTGAACTGACCACAGTGCCATCATATACACACACTTTGAAAACATAGCTGTTGAAACCTTCTCACAACTCATAATGGTTTTTAAAAGGTTTTGACTGATTTGGGGAAAGAATGGTGAAAAAGAGCTTCTCAGTTCTCCTGAGGTGCTCGCTGACAACCACACCTGTGTGTCTGGGTGGGGCCGAGTCCGTCACACAGAGGTGACATGTGAGCTGCTGTTTCCATTCAGAGCTACAGGAGTAACGGGCTGGGAAAAACAGGTGTCCTGCTAGACAGTGGCTGTGAGGATGTGTAGGCAGGAGCAGTGGCAGCCACCTGGGAGTCAGGAGCTTGCAGCACAATGGTGCTGGCTGTGTGCGCGCCTGGCTCTGCCACATGAGCGTGGAAGGCACCACCTGAACATGGCTTTTGAGGGGCCTAGTCATCCTAGTCATTTACTGGGGCAGCTTCCTGAGTGGAAGGAACATAAGGGCACAGGTATCATGGTAAACTTTTGAGTCTAAGGGATGATGCTTGACAGCCACACATGGTGGGTGTGGCCTGCAGCTACAAAGGGTGGGGCCAGACAGCTGGGCCTCCACTCAGCCCACCACCACCTCCAGGGCCTGGCATTTCGCCTTTGTGCTCCAGGACCTCAGGGGCGGGGATGCAGGACAGTTCTGGGGAAAATCTACTTGTAAAGGTCCTGGGGAAGGGGACAGGAGTGGCTGGAGGCTGTGCTCCGTGGGAAAGTTCTTCTCACCAGAGCACACATCAAATGCCAGTTCCAGAGAGGGACCCTCCGCCCGACTGTGCTCTCCTAGGGCAATCAGGAGGAGACTGCCCTCCAACTGGGCCCTGGCTCTCCGGGGTGTTGCTGTGAGTACAAGGCTGTCCTCAGGCAGCTGCCTCAGATTTGGGCTGGGACTGGGCCAGACGGGGTTCCCGGGGCAGGGGCAGGAAGGAGGCAAGGCTGGCAAGGGGATTGGGGGCTGCTCTCAGGAACACGGAGAGGCCGCATTAGGCAGGCAGGGAAGTGCTGGGAAGACTACGTGCTCCTCTCCCACCAGGGACCCTGGCGGCCCTCCTGCTAGTTCTCCTCCTGGTGGAGGACACTGGGGGATGCCGAACAAGAGGCTAAGCCTGCGGCCCAGGCCCTGCTGAGACCACACCATGGCTAGCAAGTAGAGGGACAGCAGCATATCCCCTCAATTCTGCCTGCACGGTAGCTGAGCCAGACGTCCCCACACCCACCCCATTATCAAGGAAGATCTGCTCTGCAAATTGAATGGGGCGTTAAGACCTTAAGGCTCTCCAAGTCCCTCTGGTACTTCTCACGCAGTGTGGCCGCGTCGCCCTCCAGGTCCTTGTGTCCCAGCTCCTCCCGCATGACATCCATCTGGGCCTCCAGCTCCTGGATGCGCTCCCTCAGCCCCGTCATGGAGTCAGCCTCTCCCTGGGTGGCCTGCCAGTTGGGGGCAGGGGCTGGCAGGGCCTTGGGGTGTGGCCCCTGGTGGAGGCAGAGGGTGTCCTGAAGGCACCTCAGGCTCTGCGAGTAGTGCTCCTGCAGGGTCCTCAGCTCCTCCTCGTGGATCGTCTGCAGCTCCCGGACCTTGAGCTGGAACCTGTCCTCCAGGGTCTGTATCTGCTCACCATGATGCCTCTCCATGTCCTGCCTGTCTCTGACCGAGGCATCCAGCTGGCTCAGGACCCGGCTGCGCTCAGCCTGCAGTGTGCTCTCGGTCCTGGTCAGCTGCTCCACCACACACCGAATCTCCTCCTCATACCTGCCCCGCAGGGTGAACATGCTCATGCTGTGCTTGCTCTCTGCATCCTCCAGACACTGCTGCTGATGGTCTAGCTGGGCGGCCTTGGCCTTGAGCTCTGCATTCTCCCTTTCAACAATGGCGATCACATCCAGGTACTCGCTCTTCTGCTTGCGGAGAAGCTCCTCATACTCCTCCCTCAGGGCCCGGGCTGCCTGTGCCTGCTCTGAGCAGGAGGGCTCCCGGGTTTGCCAGGACTCCTTGCAGAGCTGGAGCTCCTTCTCATATTCTAGCCGGATTCTGCAGGACGCATAGCAAACCTGGGCCTGAATAATGGCATCCTGAACCAACAATGAAGAATACTGACCGAGGCCTCCCAAACAAGTGTTATACGAGAGACTCTGGGACACCTGGAGAAGCTTCTGGCAATCTCTCAGCGATTCCACAGGTGGCAGAGATGGTAAGGCAGCCGCTATCTCCTCTAAGAGGCTGGCCTTCTCCTTCAGCTGCTGGGCAAGCTCCTCCTGAATAGCAACAAAGGCCCCAGGGCTCTGGTCAGACACATCGAAGGGCTCCTGAGAGCTGTCTGAGTCTCGGCCCAGGACTTCTCCTAAGGGGCTCAGGTCCCAGGACAGCTGAACACCATCTTCATGGCCCGCTGGAAGCCTGAGGGCTTCCAAGACCTGCTGCATCACTCTTTCAAAGTCTGGGGTTTGGTAGGCTCCCAGGATTTCCCTCAGCAGGCATTTGTGCTGCCGCAGGGCCGTCTGGGTGCCCCGCAGGGTCTCCTGGATGCTCTGTAGCCTGCGGTGGAACGACTCCCTCACTGACTGTGTGGCAAAGCTGAGCTCTGCCCTGACCCATGTGGCATTGGCCAGGATGGGGGCCAGGCCCTGTGGGATGCTTTGCTGCCCGTCTCCTGAGGCACCGACTGCCTCTCCTCCCAGTGTCCCCAAGTGCTTCCTCAGAGACTCAACCTGGCTCCAGAACTCACCATCCACTAGGACCTTCCTGGCCCAGGTGTCTACGGGGGCCCCAGCAGATTCCATCGGTGGCTGTCCTGACCAAGAAATCTCATGGAGCATTCGGGAGACATCTGATGTTGTGTTCTTCAGGGAATCTGCTATCTGGCTGATCAGCGAGGCCTCCAGAGCAATCTGGTCAGAAAGAAGCCTCACCTGCTCCTGCTCTGTCAACTCAGACTGGGAGCACTGCTGCAGGGAGGCAGGCTTCCCATTCTCCTCGGTGCCACCTGTCTCCAGCTGTGCACGGGCCCCGCCATGGGCTGGGGCCGGCCAGTGCTGCAGGGCTTGGATGGCGCTGACGAGTGCACTCTCCACACTGGCCAGGGAGGCTGCGCGTGCGTCCTGCTCATCCTCCTGGCTGGCCCTAGGCAGAGATCTCAGTTGTTCTCGGCAATTTTCCAGGCACATCAGGGCCTGACTATTCTTGACCTGGAAGTCCCCAAGCTCTCCAACATGCCCTTCAACCCTCCTGGCCCTCTCCTGCCTCTCCTGCTCCAGCTGGGAGGCCAGTGCGCCAACCTGGAGCAGGCTGGCGCGGAGCTGCTCACGCAGCTGGGCCTCGGTGCCCGCCCACTGGTGGTGCAGTGCGAGCAGTGCCTCACGGCTCTGACCCTGCTGGCTCTCCAGCCTCACGGTCACGTCTTTGAGCTTTTCCTCTGTGACGTAGAGCTTGGTCTCCAGGGAGTGGATGATGGAGAGGTACGTGTCAGAGTCGCCAGTTGCAGGCAGTACACTGGGTGCAGGCTCTGAGGACATGCTTTCTTCCGAGGGTGACCGGTCCTGGCTGGTGTCGGAAGATGTGCTGCTGGTCCAGGTCTTCTCAGACCCTTCGGGGTGAATGTATCTTTGGCACTGGATTGTGGAGAACCGGATTCTTTGCCTTTTAACACCAGGTGCCCCTTGGTCGAGTTTGGCTGTGCCCTGCTGATGGCCCTCCCTGTCAAGCACTTCCACTGACTTTGGGGGCACCATGCTGTCTTCCCTACTGGGGCTGCCATCACCGTACTCTTCCCCCGGAGGAGCCCCCAGGTCCTCGTCCTCATCCTCGAGCCTTGTGTGTGGGAGGCCTAGAGGTGCCCTAGTGGCTTGGACTGGTTGGCCTGGGAGCAAAGTGCCATCCCTTTCTGTCTCTTCAGGGGTACTCCGTGGCTCTTCCATGTCCTTTGGAGATTCACTTGCAAATTTCCTTAAAATCTCTTCTTTTGCCTGGAGCTTAATTTCTGTTTCCTCTAAGCTGCTCCCCAAGGCAACCATTTTAACCAAAGCCTCATTGAGGTCCTGCTCCTTCTTCTCCAGAACCTTCTCATGTGCTTCCTTAATGCGCTCCAGCTCTTCCTCCTTCTCTCTCAGCAGAGTGTGCATGCTCTGCAGCTGGCTGGAGACCCTCTGGTAGGAGTGCTCCAGGCTCTGGTTGTCAGCCTCTCTTCTCCTCAGCTTTTCCCGGAGCTCAGCCACATCCTCGTCGGACGTGGCCACGCGCTCTGTCAGCTCCTGGAACCGCTGTCTGAGGAGGTCCCGCTCGTCACAGAGGCTCTGCACGTGCTCTGCGAGCCTGCGCACGCTGGCCTCTCGTGCCTCCAGCTGCTCCTCCAGCTGGTGCACCTGCTCACTGCCCTCGAAAGTGGCGCTCAGCTTCTCCTTCTGCAGGGTCTCCACCTGCTGTGCCTGACCCTGCAGCTGGTCCTCATAGGCGCTGGCCTTGTCTTCCACTTCCTTTAGGTTCTGCAGCAATGCCTGCTTCTCCTTCTCACAGCTCTCCAGCAGCAGCTCATAGTTTCTCTGCAGCTTCTCCTCCATCAGCCGCTGCGCCTGCTCACTGGCGCCCAGTTGCTGGCTGAGGTCGGCAATGCGCTCCTGCAGCCTCTGGACCTCCTTCTGCCGGTCCCGCTGCAGCGCCTGCTGTGTCTCCAGGCCCCGTAGCTCCTGCGTCTTCTCCAGCAGCAGGGCCTCAGCACTCTTGAGCTTCTGCTCGCTAGCCCTCAGCTGGCTGCTCAGCGCCGCCTCGCTGTGTTGCCGCTCCTCCAGCTGCTCGCGGACCCGGCCCTGCTCCCGCTTCAGGTCGCCCTTGAGCTTGGCCAGCGCCTGCTCCTTGATGGCTAGCTCAGCGGCCGCATTGCTGAGCCGTGCCTGAAGGCTCCGGATCTCAGCCTCGTGGTGCCGGATCGTGTCCTTGGCCTCCCCATAGCTACGCTTCAGGGTCTGAATCTGGTGTGTAATCAGCTCCTGGCGCTGGCACTGGGCTTCAAGCTCACTTTGAAGGTCTTGGTTGACTCTATGGAGCCTCTGCCAGGCACCCGATGGGGAGGCGGCCACTTCAGTCTTAAAAAAACCGATTAAATACTGGTTAGTAACACTCGGGCCTCCCAGTTCTGAGTGTCACACCTCTGGCCAGGAACAACCACAGAAAGCTCCTTGATGGCTTTGGCTTTTATCCTTTGTACAACTTTATTTTTTTTTCCCATTAAAAAAATCCAACAAATTTTCTTTTTTTTTTTTTTTAGTAAGTAGCTGCTTCCAGGTAAACAGAAAACATGGACAATAACATCAGAAAACAGCTTTAACCAAACAGCTTCTAGGAGAAATAAACCAAACAAAACTGAATAATGGAACACACTAAGAAGCAAAACAAAGACTAAAGGACAAGAGAGCGCCAGGAAGAGGGACAGGCGGGAGGAGCACAGCACCTGCAGCTGTTTGTTTCACAAAACAAAAAGTACGCAGTCTTGACAACAAATCCTAAACAAGCGCAGGACACAAGGTGTAGGTAAATGATGCCACTTCCTTCTAAGACAGGAGGAGAAGGAAGGAAGGTAACACTCGGGAGATGTCAGCAAGGTGACATCCAAACATTTTCCTGTGGAAAGTGTAGTCAGTCCTCTAGAGTAACAGGAAGAACTAATCTCTACCTGTAAGAAGTCAAAACGAGGGGGGAACGGGAACCATGGAGTAAGATACAATAATCAACAAAACAAACAAACCTTTGTGGAGTTCAAAATAAGAAAAAGTGAAGCATGCAAAAACAAAACACAACGTAAATGAAACAAAACTCCCCACACTGAAAGGCATGCAGAGACAGAACTCATTAATATAGGGAAAAACAACACAAACAAGAGTGAGCCGAGCCCAGCCTAAGAATCTGGCCTGCCTATGGCTCCCTCTCGGTCTGCTGGCCGGGGAAGCCACAGATGTGACACTCAGTTATGTTAAGTTCAAGTTACACTTCACACTCAATGTCCAAATCATGCAAGCTCCTCCCAGCAGTTAGTATAGCACCCACCCCAGTAGCTGGCTCCTGACCCTTAACCCCACAGACCCCCTGCTCATTCTGAGTCGTGATTAAAAGCATTTCCAAAGCATAAAGGGTGGTGAGAAGTCACAGGTTATTAGACTTAGGGAAAAGGTATTAAAGACCAGCTTTGCCCAGTGCTGACCAACAGGGGCTTCAGTGTAGGCTCATGCAATTATGCAAGTTAGACAGAGGTAGGTTCCTAGGTTAGCAATGTGCAAAGTCCGCTGCTTAGTACAAGTTGAGTATCCCTTATCCAAAATACTTGGGACAAGAACTGTTTCGGATTTTAAAATATTTGCATTCTACTTACTGGGTGAGCATCCCCAATCCAAAAATCCAAAATCTGAAATGCTCCAGTGAGCATTTCCTTTCAGCATAATGTCAGCGTTCAGTTTTGGATTTTGGAGCATTTCAGATTTTCGAATTTGGGATGCTGAACTTTTATCTTTACTACCTGATTTGAAGCCAGTTCTTATAGGATGAGGCCCAATCAAGAATTAAAAAGATGCTCCTCAAACCTGGAGGGCAAGCGCAAATGACCTTGGCAGGGAGGCCCACAGGGAGGCCCTGTTCACCAGGTCTGAACAGGGCATGGCAATGACTATGGCAGAAGAGGCTGGAGAGGAGAGTCTAGGGCATGTGGGGCAGAAAGAAAGAGAAGGCCCAGGGAGCACACAGGAGAAGAAACAGCAGAGAGTCTGCAAAGAGGCAGACTATGGTCAGAGGCCAGCTGAGTGCCCCTGTTCCATCTGCTGCCTGGGACAACTCAGACCAAGGTCAGCGCACTGCGGTCTGCAAATGTAGACAATACGTGACAGAGACTCGGGGTCTAAGAGCCGGAAGGGCCCTCAGGGATCACTGGGTCTAAGTCTACACAGGCAGCAGACTGCCGCTGTAGAGGAGGGGACACATGCACTTGCTTTGGGGGTCAGTAGCAGGGCCAAGTCTTGAACCTAGGACCTTGATTCTAATGTTATACCCTCAGCCTTTGCCGAGAACTTAGGCTCCCTGTTCTGGTACCCCACTTCACTTCTCCTGCAGTATTTATATATCAATCTTCCTATCACAATCTCCTCTACCACTCAATGGGGACAAGAGTATATCTGTTTTATGCCCAATACCTGGCACAAGGCCTGGCACGCTGCAGGAAAGTCAGCAGACATAGGCACGCCCTTGGGCCAGGCTAGCTCCAGCCTTGTGACACCCCTATATCAGGGCTCTGTGGTACAGGATCTCAGTGGAGGTATCCCGGGGTTGGGCTAGTAGTGGTAAGAGCCCCAGCTCTGCCTGCCAGGTGTGGTATAGAAACAGATGGGAATGGGGTCCAGTACTAGCTTTGCCACTGACTTGCTGTTGGTTGTAAGCAGGCACTGGACTTGCTGTGTGATTCAATGTCTTCAATCTGTACAATAGGTCCAATATTACTATAGTGAAAACTATGAGAAATCACATGCAAATGTATGGTATTTACAATAAATGTATATTGGCTACTTTCAGAGTCAAAGGGAAAGGTCACCAAAATCATTTTATTACCAAAAAAAGTCCTTAGATATAGAGGTTTCAGGGAGATTCCCCAAAATGTCATATCAGGAGGGAAAAACAAACAGACCCCCCCAAGCACATTGAGTGTCCAGTCCTGTGGCAGAAAAGCCCAGGGGCATGAGCTCCTGGGAGACACCCCTGCTCAGCCAAGTTTTGCACACTCCTAGCCTGCCTGAGCATGAACCCTTCACACTGAAGCTCCTGAGCGCACCATGGGCCACAGCAGCCCCTCCACCCTACCTGCAGCACGTAGCCCTCACGGGCGCTCTGCTCCCGGCCCAGGGCCACCCTCAGCTGGTCCTGCAGGAGCCGGTTCTGCTCCAGAAGGTCTGAGGCCTCCTTCTGGCTCTGCTCCAGCTGTTGGCAAAAAGACACACACTTTTATGCAAAATGACAATGATAAACAAAGCAGCTGCACAGCACAGACTCTTTCACTGGTCTTCCATGTGGCCCAAGAGTTTTGGAGTCTCCACATTTCAGCAGATGTGCTGATATGGCCTTTACCAGCAGCATTTGGAAGTGAAGGTTCCAATGCAAGCCATCAGTAACAATGGCAGACTTGGTACCTTATGGGCACCAAGGGACTACCTTGTCCTTCCCTACTCCAGGCACCCCTGGATGCCCACATACTTCCCACACCTGCTCAAGGTTCCAACATGCACGCCCTATATAGGTGCCAAGGCCCATACGGGGTGTTCATTTCTGAGAAGGGGAATGTGTCCACTGGGGAACAAGGGTTTTGCATCTGCATCTGGAGGAAGCACCCCATGGGGTCCTTTGGGTGTCCTCAGCTGGTCACACAGGCCAGGCTAGGCTCTACAGGGACCACTGTGAGTGGTGGCCCCAAGCAGGCCTCACTCCAGGGCCCACTATGGTCTCAACTGAAACCACTCCATTTGACCAGCTTTACATGATGGATTCCACAAAGTTCTGTTTGCAAAAAGAGTTCCCGCAGTTCCCTCAAACAAGGTGTGGATACCCATGAGTAAGCTATTTTACACTCTTCTTGCTTTCAACAGCTTCAGCTACTCATTCATCCATCCACCTCTTCCCTACACACCTCCCAGGTGCCTCCTGATGCCTGGCCATGTGCAGGGCTACCCAACCTGCTCCCAGAGCTCGTGCTGAATGGAGCTGTGTGTGTGGTGGACAGTCAGGCCAGTGCCGCCCAGGGTGCTGACAGACTGTGCTGTGAGAGGCGGGGAGACCCCTGACTTTTATTTATTTTTTTTGAGATGGACTCTCGCTCTGTCGCCAGGCTGGAGTACGATGGTGCGATCTCAGGTCACTGCAACCTCTGCCTCCTGGGTTCAAGTGATTCTCCTGCCTCAGCCTTCCAAGTAGCTGGGACTACAGGAATGCACCACCATGCCCAGCTAATTTTTGTATTTTTAGTAGAGACGGGGTTTCACCATGTTGGCCGGATGGTCTTGATCTCTTGACCTTGTGATCCGCCCGCCTCGGCCTCCCAAAGTACCGGGATTACAGGCGTGAGCCACCATGCCCAGCCGACCCCTGACTTTTAAACAGTGAAGACTGACCCCCCAGATTGTTGAGCCAGTGTGTCGCCTGCTGGCTGGCCCATTTTGGTAGCCTGAAGTAATGTGAGTTTCAACTGTTATTTTATTTCATCTTGCCTTTGTTACTTGTTAATGGATGAGGAAAATGAAAAAGTACAAGTATTAGTGCTGGTGGTAACTCAGCCTCATACAGTTAATAAAATACAAAAAAGATGAGAAGCTTGAGGCATACCCAAGTGGCAAATCTTTAACAAGCTACTTACGTAAGAGAACACATTTGAAACACAGTGTTGAAAACTGTCCCTAAATGGAGAGTGAAACAGGGAGTTCTACAAAAACTGTAACGCTACACCTCCCCAGCTACGAGACTCCCTGCCCAGACATGTCAATCTACCACTGAAGTTCTGCAGACTGGATTTCTGCATACATTTCCATGAAAGAACATCTTATTTTATAGTTCGGGGGCCAGCTTGTTCATCTATGTACCTAGGTGCACTGAAGGCCTCGTGGAGGAGTGACAGTCACAGGGCAGCCTTCATCCACAGCCTACCCTGCCTCACCACTGTCTTCTGCTTCATATCCTCATGACCTAGGACCCAGCTGTCATCTCCTGCTGGATGCCCCTGGCTTCAGATCTGATCGGCCGTCCCCAAGCCACTGTAAGAGCACCTGGGGCTGGTCTCTGCCTACAGCTTTGACCTGTCCAAGCCAGGGCTGCGTAATGCAAAAGCCTTGCCCTGCTCGCGCCCCTCCTGCCATCGGGAGTCAGAACGAGGAAACCATCTAGGCCCTGCAACGCCGCTTGCCTCTCAATGGCAGGGGCCCCCACCATCGGAAGAATTCCTCTGTGCCTGGAAGGCCCCTTTCCCTGCCCTGCATGCACTGGCACGCTCCCACAGCTCTCAGGTCTGCCTCAACTATGAGGACTCATCTATGCGTCTGTCTCCCCTAGGGGTCTGCAAGTCCCTCGCGGGTAGGACTGTCTAGATGAACCCCTCAGGCCACAGCTGGGCACAGCTGATGCTCTGGAAAGGCTGCTGGGAGCAGGGTGGGGATCTGGTCCCAGGCTATTACCTCCTTCTCGAGCAGAGAGGTCAGCTCGTGTGTGGAGAGCCGGTCACCCCCATCTTCAGAAGACAGGTGGACGGGGGCGATGGGCACCTGCTTCTCTTCCCGGAGAGGTGTGGTCTCCACCTGATGCCACCGCTGCTCAATCTCCACGTGGACGTTATGCGTTTTGAGGTCGCTCATAGGCAGCCCTGGGCTCCGGTCCACCTCCATGCGCAGGGCTGCATCCTCAGTGCCTGGCCCGTCTGTGGCGTCGAGCATCCCGAAGCGCTTGCGGCGCTCCTCCCGCCTCCGTGCACGCTCCCGCTCCAGCTCCCCAGGCTCCGCCTCAGGGCGCAGGGGCTCGTGGGTGTCAGCAGGCCCCACGCCGCCCACCCGCTCCTGAGCCAGGGCCTGCTGGATGGGACGGAACTCAGCCCAGTCAAAGGTCTTGGAGCGGCCCTCTCGCCTCCGCTCCCGTGCGCGGCTCCTCTTCTGCTCAGGGTCCGGCTCCCCCAGCTCTGCCTCTTGCTTCTCAGTAGGCCTCGGGCAGGTCTCAAAAGAGCAGCTGCTCTTGTTTTTTTCCTCTGGCAACGAGCTGTGGGGCAGGAGGATGGACATAGCCTGTCAGGGGCGGCTCTGGTGTGGCCTGCCAGGCAGAAGCTGGCAATGCTGAGCCACAACCCAGCCCCTGTGAGCACCACATCCTTTTTCTATCCTAATCCCAGCTTCCTAAGTGCAGGGAGGACAGGAATACTCTGCCTTTACCCCACATCCCTTCCCAAACTGGTTCTGAGTGGGGGAGGGGGAGGGGGACGGGGAGGGGAAGGGGAAAGGAAGGGAAAAGAGCCTCAGAAAGCTGAGGTTTCCCACATAATGACACTGGGGGGGTCCCTTGACTGAAGAGGCTGTGAGGGGCTCACTGTGGTGGTCCCGTTGCCAGGGTATGGAGCCAGGGGAGTCCCAGGACTCCCACAGCCTCAGAGGCAGGACGGGCCAGCCCTGCCTTGCTCAGGGCCAAGAACTACATTAGGCTGCACCTGGGCACAGCCACCGTACCTGCCAGGTGAGGCCTGGGCCCTGTGCACCCCTGGACTGGACAGTGGTGACAGAATGAGGGAAAACTAGCACTTTCTAGAAGGGCTTACCTTTTAATAAGCAGGTAACGTGATCAGATCTATGTTTTGTTTTTTTTTTTTTTGAGATGGAGTTTCACTCTTGTTACCCAGGCTGGAGTGCAATGGCGCGATCT